>NC_000009.12:44120453-44485862 GCF_000001405.40 Homo sapiens | reverse complement strand
CCAACGAAATCCTCAAAGGTATCAAAATATCCACTTGCAGATTCTACAAAAAGAGTGCTTCAAAACTGCTCTGTCAAAAGGAAGGTTCAACTCTGTTACTTGAGTACACACATCACAAGGAAGTTTCTGAGAATGCTTCTGTCTGGTTTTTAGGAGAAGATATTTCCTTTTTCAACATAGGCCTCAAAGCGCTGCAAATGTCCACTTCCAAATATTAGAAAAAGAGTGTTTCAAACCTACTGTATGAAGGGAAGTGTTCAACTCTATGAGTTGAATGCAAACATCACAGAGAAGTTTCTGAGAATGCTTCTGTCTTGATTTCATATGAAGATATTCCCGTTTCCAACGAAACCTTCAAAGCTATCCAAATATCCACTTGCAGATTCTACAAAAAGAGTGTTTCCAAAATGTTGTATCAAAAGAAAGGTTCAACTCTGTTAGTTGAGGACACACATCGCAAATAAGTTTCTGAGAATGCTTCTGTCTAGTTTTTATTTGAAGATATTTCCTTTCTCACCACAGGCCTGAAAGCGCTGAAAACGTCCGCTTGCAGATACTACAGAAAGAGTGTTTCAAACCTGCTCTATGAAAGGGAATGTTCAGTTCTGTGACTTGAATGCAAACATCACAAAGAAGTTCCTGAGAATGCTTCTCCCTAGATTTTATATGTAATCCCGTTTCCAACGAAATCCGCAAAGCTATCCAAATATCCACTTTCAGATTCCACAAAAAGAGTGTTTCAAAACTGCTCTGTAAAAAGAAAGGTTCATCTCTGTTAGTTGAATACACACATCACAAACAAGTTTCTGAGAATGCTTCTGTCTAGTTTTTATGGGAAGATATTTCCTTTTTCAACATAGGCCTCAAGCGCTCCAAACGTCCACTTCCAGGTAGTGCAGAAAGAGTGTCTCAAACCTGGTATATAACAGGGAACATTCTACTCTGTGACTTGAATGAAAACATCACAAAGCAGTTTCTGAGAATGCTTCCGTCTAGATTTTATATGAAGATATTCCCGTTTCCAACGAAACCTTCAAAGCTATCCGAATATCCACCTGCAGATTCTACAAAAAGAGTGTTTCCAAAATGCCATATCAAAACAAAGGTTCAACTCTGTTAGTTGAGAACACACATCGCAAATAAGTTTCTGAGAATGCTTCTGTCTAGTTTTTACTTGAAGATATTTCCTTTCTCACCATAGGCCTGAAAGCGCTTGAAACGTCAGCTTGCAGATACTACAGAAAGAGTGTTTCAAACCTGCTCTATGAAAGGGAATGTTCAGTTCTGTGACTTGAATGCAAACATCACAAAGAAGTTCCTGAGAATGCTTCTCTCTAGGTTTTATATGTAATCCCGTTTCCAACGAAATCCTCAAAGCTATCCAAATATCCACTTTCAGATTCCACAAAAAGAGTGTTTCAAAACTGCTCTGTAAAAAGAAAGGTTCATCTCTGTTAGTTGAATACACACATCACAAACAAGTTTCTGAGAATGCTTCTGTCTAGTTTTTATGGGAAGATATTTCCTTTTTCAACATAGGCCTCAAAGCGTTCCAAATGTCCACTTCCAGGTAGTGCAGAAAGAGTGTTTCAGACCTGCTCTATAAAAGGGAATATTCAACTCTGTGACTTGAATGCAAACATCACAAAGCACTTTCTGAGAATGCTTCCGTCTAGATTTTATATGAAGATATTCCCGTTTCCAAGGAAATCTTCCTAGCTATCTAAATATCAACTTGCATATCCTACTAAAGGAGTGTTTCCAAAATGCTGTATCCACACAAAGGTTCAACTCTGTTAATTGAGGACATACAGCACAAAGAAGTTTCTGAGAATGCTTCTGTCTAGTTTTTACTTGAAGATATTTCCTTTCTCACCATAGGCCTGAAAGCGCTTGAAACGTCAGCTTGCAGATACTACAGAAAGAGAGTTTCAAACCTGCTCTATGAAAGGGAATGTTCAGTTCTGTGACTTGAATGCAAACATCACAAAGAAGTTCCTGAGAATGCTTCTCTCTAGGTTTTACATGTAATCCCGTTTCCAACGAAATCCTCAAAGCTATCCAAATATCCACTTTCAGATTCCACAAAAAGAGTGTTTCAAAACTGCTCTGTAAAAAGAAAGGTTCATCTCTGTTAGTTGAATACACACATCACAAACAAGTTTCTGAGAATGCTTTCTGTCTAGTTTTTATGGGAAGATATTTCCTTTTTCAACATAGGCCTCAAAGCGCTCCAAATGTCCACTTCCAGGTAGTGCAGAAAGAGTGTTTCAAACCTGCTCTATAAAAGGGAATATTCAACTCTGTGACTTGAATGCAAACATCACAAAGCACTTTCTGAGAATGCTTCTGTCTTGATTTTATTTGAAGATATTCCCGTTTCCAACGAAACCTTCAAAGCTACTCAAATATCCACTTGCAGATTCTACAAAAAGAGTGTTTCCAAAATGTTGTATCAAAAGAAAGGTTCAACTCTGTTAGTTGAGGACACACATCGCAAATAAGTTTCTGAGAATGCTTCTGTCTAGTTTTTATTTGAAGATATTTCCTTTCTCACCATAGGCCTGAAAGCGTTTGAAATGTCCGTTTGCAGATACTACAGAAAGAGTGTTTCAAACATGCTCTATGAAAGGGAATGTTCAGTTCTGTGACTTGAATGCAAACATCACAAAGAAGTTCCTGAGAATGCTTCTCTCTAGGTTTTATATGTAATCCCGTTTCCAACGAAATCCTCAAAGCTATCCAAATATCCACTTTCAGATTCCACAAAAAGAGTGTTTCAAAACTGCTCTGTAAAAAGAAAGGTTCATCTCTGTTAGTTGAATACACACATCACAAACAAGTTTCTGAGAATGCTTCTGTCTAGTTTTTATGGGAAGATATTTCCTTTTTCAACATAGGCCTCAAAGCGCTCCAAACGTCCACTTCCAGGTAGTGCAGAAAGAGTGTCTCAAACCTGGTATATAACAGGGAACATTCTACTCTGTGACTTGAATGAAAACATCACAAAGCAGTTTCTGAGAATGCTTCCGTCTAGATTTTATATGAAGATATTCCCGTTTCCAACGAAACCTTCAAAGCTATCCGAATATCCACCTGCAGATTCTACAAAAAGAGTGTTTCCAAAATGCCGTATCAAAACAAAGGTTCAACTCTGTTAGTTGAGAACACACATGGCAAATAAGTTTCTGAGAATGCTTCTGTCTAGTTTTTACTTGAAGATATTTCCTTTCTCACCATAGGCCTGAAAGCGCTTGAAACGTCAGCTTGCAGATACTACAGAAAGAGTGTTTCAAACCTGCTCTATGAAAGGGAATGTTCAGTTCTGTGACTTGAATGCAAATATCACAAAGAAGTTCCTGAGAATGCTTCTCTCTAGGTTTTATATGTAATCCCGTTTCCAACGAAATCCTCAAAGCTATCCAAATATCCACTTTCAGATTCCACAAAAAGAGTGTTTCAAAACTGCTCTGTAAAAAGAAAGGTTCATCTCTGTTAGTTGAATACACACATCACAAACAAGTTTCTGAGAATGCTTCTGTCTAGTTTTTATGGGAAGATATTTCCTTTTTCATCATAGGCCTCAAAGCGCTGCAAATGTCCACTTCCAGGTAGTGCAGAAAGAGTGTCTCAAACCTGGTATATAACAGGGAACATTCTACTCTGTGACTTGAATGAAAACATCACAGAGCAGTTTCTGAGAATGCTTCCGTCTAGATTTTATATGAAGATATTCCCGTTTCCAACGAAACCTTCAAAGCTATCCGAATATCCACCTGCAGATTCTACAAAAAGAGTGTTTCCAAAATGCCATATCAAAACAAAGGTTCAACTCTGTTAGTTGAGAACACACATCGCAAATAAGTTTCTGAGAATGCTTCTGTCTAGTTTTTATTTGAAGATATTTCCTTTCTCACCATAGGCCTGAAAGCGTTTGAAATGTCCGTTTGCAGATACTACAGAAAGAGTGTTTCAAACATGCTCTATGAAAGGGAATGTTCAGTTCTGTGACGTGAATGCAAACATCACAAAGAAGTTCCTGAGAATGCTTCCTCTGTCTAGATTTTATATGAAGATATCCCGTGTCCAACGAAATCCTCAAAGGTATCAAAATATCCACTTGCAGATTCTACAAAAAGAGTGCTTCAAAACTGCTCCGTCAAAAGTAAGGTTCAACTCTGTTACTTGAGTACACACATCACAAGGAAGTTTCTGAGAATGCTTCTGTCTGGTTTTTAGGAGAAGATATTTCCTTTTTCAACATAGGCCTCAAAGCGCTGCAAATGTCCACTTCCAAATATTACAAAAAGAGTGTTTCAAACCTGCTGTATGAAGGGAAGTGTTCAACTCTATGAGTTGAATGCAAACATCACAGAGAAGTTTCTGAGAATGCTTCTGTCTTGATTTCATATGAAGATATTCCCGTTTCCAACGAAACCTTCAAAGCTATCCAAATATCCACTTGCAGATTCTACAAAAAGAGTGTTTCCAAAATGTTGTATCAAAAGAAAGGTTCAACTCTGTTAGTTGAGGACACACATCGCAAATAAGTTTCTGAGAATGCTTCTGTCTAGTTTTTATTTGAAGATATTTCCTTTCTCACCACAGGCCTGAAAGCGCTTAAAACGTCCGCTTGCAGATACTACAGAAAGAGTGTTTCAAACCTGCTCTATGAAAGGGAATGTTCAGTTCTGTGACTTGAATGCAAACATCACAAAGAAGTTCCTGAGAATGCTTCTCTCTAGGTTTTATATGTAATCCCGTTTCCAACGAAATCCTCAAATCTATCCAAATATCCACTTTCAGATTCCACAAAAAGAGTGTTTCAAAACTGCTCTGTAAAAAGAAAGGTTCATCTCTGTTAGTTGAATACACACATCACAAACAAGTTTCTGAGAATGCTTCGGTCTAGTTTTTATGGGAAGATATTTCCTTTTTCAACATAGGTCTCAAAGCGCTGCAAATGTCCACTTCCAAATATTACAAAAAGAGTGTTTCAAACCTGCTGTATGAAGGGAAGTGTTCAACTCTATGAGTTGAATGCAAACATCACAGAGAAGTTTCTGAGAATGCTTCTGTCTTGATTTCATATGAAGATATTCCCGTTTCCAACGAAACCTTCAAAGCTATCCAAATATCCACTTGCAGATTCTACAAAAAGAGTGTTTCCAAAATGTTGTATCAAAAGAAAGGTTCAACTCTGTTAGTTGAGGACACACATCGCAAATAAGTTTCTGAGAATGCTTCTGTCTAGTTTTTATTTGAAGATATTTCCTTTCTCACCACAGGCCTGAAAGCGCTTAAAACGTCCGCTTGCAGATACTACAGAAAGAGTATTTCAAACCTGCTCTATGAAAGGGAATGTTCAGTTCTGTGACTTGAATGCAAACATCACAAAGAAGTTCCTGAGAATGCTTCTCTCTAGGTTTTATATGTAATCCCGTTTCCAACAAAATCCTCAAAGCTATCCAAATATCCACTTTCAGAATCCACAAAAAGAGTGTTTCAAAACTGCTCTGTAAAAAGAAAGGTTCATCTCTGTTAGTTGAATACACACATCACAAACAAATTTCTGAGAATGCTTCTGTCTAGTTTTTATGGGAAGATATTTCCTTTTTCAACATAGGCCTCAAAGCGCTCCAAATGTCCACTTCCAGGTAGTGCAGAAAGAGTGTTTCAAACCTGCTCTATAAAAGGGAATATTCAACTCTGTGACTTGAATGCAAACATCACAAAGCACTTTCTGAGAATGCTTCCGTCTAGATTTTATATGAAGATATTCCCGTTTCCAAGGAAATCTTCCTAGCTATCTAAATATCAACTTGCAGATTCTACTAAAGGAATGTTTCCAAAATCCTGTATCCACACAAAGGTTCAACTCTGTTAATTGAGGACATACAGAACAAAGAAGTTTCTGAGAATGCTTCTGTCTAGATTTTATATGACGATATCCCGTGTCCAACGAAATCCTCAAAGGTATCAAAATATCCACTTGCAGATTCTACAAAAAGAGTGCTTCAAAACTGCTCTGTCAAAAGGAAGGTTCAACTCTGTTACTTGAGTACACACATCACAAGGAAGTTTCTGAGAATGCTTCTGTCTGGTTTTTAGGAGAAGATATTTCCTTTTTCAACATAGGCCTCAAAGCGCTGCAAATGTCCACTTCCAAATATTACAAAAAGAGTGTTTCAAACCTGCTGTATGAAGGGAAGTGTTCAACTCTATGAGTTGAATGCAAACATCACAGAGAAGTTTCTGAGAATGCTTCTGTCTTGATTTCATATGAAGATATTCCCGTTTCCAACGAAACCTTCAAAGCTATCCAAATATCCACTTGCAGATTCTACAAAAAGAGTGTTTCCAAAATGTTGTATCAAAAGAAAGGTTCAACTCTGTTAGTTGAGGACACACATCGCAAATAAGTTTCTGAGAATGCTTCTGTCTAGTTTTTATTTGAAGATATTTCCTTTCTCACCATAGGCCTGAAAGCGTTTGAAATGTCCGTTTGCAGATACTACAGAAAGAGTGTTTCAAACATGCTCTATGAAAGGGAATGTTCAGTTCTGTGACTTGAATGCAAGCATCACAAAGAAGTTCCTGAGAATGCTTCTCTCTAGATTTTATATGTAATCCCGTTTCCAACGAAATCCTCAAAGCTATCCAAATATCCACTTTCAGATTCCACAAAAAGAGTGTTTCAAAACTGCTCTGTAAAAAGAAAGGTTCATCTCTGTTAGTTGAATACACACATCACAAACAAGTTTCTGAGAATGCTTCTGTCTAGTTTTTATGGGAAGATATTTCCTTTTTCAACTTAGGCCTCAAAGCGCTCCAAATGTCCACTTCCAGGTAGTGCAGAAAGAGTGTTTCAAACCTGCTCTATAAAAGGGAATATTCAACTCTGTGACTTGAATGCAAACATCACAAAGCACTTTCTGAGAATGCTTCCGTCTAGATTTTATATGAAGATATTCCCGTTTCCAAGGAAATCTTCCTAGCTATCTAAATATCAACTTGCAGATTCTACTAAAGGAATGTTTCCAAAATGCTGTATCCACACAAAGGTTCAACTCTGTTAATTGAGGACATACAGCACAAAGAAGTTTCTGAGAATGCTTCTGTCTAGATTTTATATGAAGATATCCCGTTTCCAAAGAAATCCTCAAAGGTATCCAAATATCTACTTCCAGATTCTACAAAAAGACTGTTTCAAAACGGCTCTGTCAAAAGTAAGGTTCAACTCTGTTACTTGAGTACACACATCACAAGGAAGTTTCTGAGAATGCTTCTGTCTGGTTTTTAGGAGAAGATATTTCCTTTTTCAACATAGGCCTCAAAGCGCTGCAAATGTCCACTTCCAAATATTACAAAAAGAGTGTTTCATACCTGCTCTATGAAGGGAAGTGTTCAACTCTATGAGTTGAATGCAAACATCACAGAGAAGTTTCTGAGAATGCTTCTGTCTTGATTTTATATGAAGATATTCCCGTTTCCAACGAAACCTTCAAAGCTATCCAAATATCCACTTGCAGATTCTACAAAAAGAGTGTTTCCAAAATGTTGTATCAACACAAAGGTTCAACTCTGTTAGTTGAGGACACACATCGCAAATAAGTTTCTGAGAATGCTTCTGTCTAGTTTTTATTTGAAGATATTTCCTTTCTTACCATAGGCCTGAAAGCGCTTGAAATGTCCGTTTGCAGATACTACAGAAAGAGTGTTTCAAACATGCTCTATGAAAGGGAATGTTCAGTTCTGTGACGTGAATGCAAACATCACAAAGAAGTTCCTGAGAATGCTTCTCTCTAGATTTTATATGTAATCCCGTTTCCAACGAAATCCTCAAAGCTATCCAAATATCCACTTTCAGATTCCACAAAAAGAGTGTTTCAAAACTACTCTGTAAAAAGAAAGGTTCATCTCTGTTAGTTGAATACACACATCACAAACAAGTTTCTGAGAATGCTTCTGTCTAGTTTTTATGGGAAGATATTTCCTTTTTCAACATAGGCCTCAAAGCGCTCCAAACGTCCACTTCCAGGTAGTGCAGAAAGAGTGTCTCAAACCTGGTATATAACAGGGAACATTCTACTCTGTGACTTGAATGAAAACATCACAAAGCAGTTTCTGAGAATGCTTCCGTCTAGATTTTATATGAAGATATTCCCGTTTCCAAGGAAATCTTCCTAGCTATCTAAATATCAACTTGCAGATTCTACTAAAGGAATGTTTCCAAAATGCTGTATCCACACAAAGGTTCAACTCTGTTAATTGAGGACATACAGCACAAAGAAGTTTCTGTGAATGCTTCTGTCTAGTTTTTATTTGAAGATATTTCCTTTCTCACCATAGGCCTGAAAGCGTTTGAAATGTCCGTTTGCAGATACTACAGAAAGAGTGTTTCAAACATGCTCTATGAAAGGGAATGTTCAGTTCTGTGACTTGAATGCAAACATCACGAAGAAGTTCCTGAGAATGCTTCTCTCTAGATTTTATATGTAATCCCGTTTCCAACGAAATCCTCAAAGCTATCCAAATATCCACTTTCAGATTCCACAAAAAGAGTGTTTCAAAACTGCTCTGTAAAAAGAAAGGTTCATCTCTGTTAGTTGAATACACACATCACAAACAAGTTTCTGAGAATGCTTCTGTCTAGTTTTTATGGGAAGATATTACCTTTTTCATCATAGGCCTCAAAGCGCTGCAAAAGTCCACTTCCAAATATTACAAAAAGAGTGTTTCAAACCTGCTGTATGAAGGGAAGTGTTCAACTCTATGAGTTGAATGCAAACATCACAGAGAAGTTTCTGAGAATGCTTCTGTCTTGATTTTATATGAAGATATTCCCGTTTCCAACGAAACCTTCAAAGCTATTCAAATATCCACTTGCTGATTCTACAAAAAGAGTGTTTCCAAAATGTTGTATCAAAAGAAAGGTTCAACTCTGTTAGTTGAGGACACACATCGCAAATAAGTTTCTGAGAATGCTTCTGTCTAGTTTTTATTTGAAGATATTTCCTTTCTCACCACAGGCCTGAAAGCGATTAAAACGTCCGCTTGCAGATACTACAGAAAGAGTGTTTCAAACCTGCTCTATGAAAGGGAATGTTCAGTTCTGTGACTTGAATGCAAACATCACAAAGAAGTTTCCTGAGAATGCTTCTCTCTAGATTTTATATGTAATCCCGTTTCCAACGAAATCCTCGAAGCTATCCAAATATCCACTTTGAGATTCCACAAAAAGAGTGTTTCAAAACTGCTCTGTAAAAAGAAAGGTTCATCTCTGTTAGTTGAATACACACATCACAAACAAGTTTCTGAGAATGCTTCTGTCTAGTTTTTATGGGAAGATGTTTCCTTTTTCATCATAGGCCTCAAAGCGCTGCAAATGTCCACTTCCAGGTAGTGCAGAAAGAGTGTCTCAAACCTGGTATATAACAGGGAACATTCTACTCTGTGACTTGAATGAAAACATCACAGAGCATTTTCTGAGAATGCTTCCGTCTAGATTTTATATGAAGATATTCCCGTTTCCAACGAAACCTTCAAAGCTATCCGAATATCCACCTGCAGATTCTACAAAAAGAGTGTTTCCAAAATGCCATATCAAAACAAAGGTTCAACTCTGTTAGTTGAGAACACACATCGCAAATAAGTTTCTGAGAATGCTTCTGTCTAGTTTTTACTTGAAGATATTTCCTTTCTCACCATAGGCCTGAAAGCGCTTGAAACGTCAGCTTGCAGATACTACAGAAAGAGTGTTTCAAACCTGCTCTATGAAAGGGAATGTTCAGTTCTGTGACTTGAATGCAAACATCACAAAGAAGTTCCTGAGAATGCTTCTCCCTAGGTTTTTATATGTAATCCCGTTTCCAACGAAATCCTCAAAGCTATCCAAATATCCACTTTCAGATTCCACAAAAAGAGTGTTTCAAAACTGCTCTGTAAAAAGAAAGGTTCATCTCTGTTAGTTGAATACACACATCACAAACAAGTTTCTGAGAATGCTTCTGTCTAGTTTTTATGGGAAGATATTTCCTTTTTCAACATAGGCCTCAAAGCGCTCCAAACGTCCACTTCCGGGTAGTGCAGAAAGAGTGTCTCAAACCTGGTATATAACAGGGAACATTCTACTCTGTGACTTGAATGAAAACATCACAAAGCAGTTTCTGAGAATGCTTCCGTCTAGATTTTATATGAAGATATTCCCGTTTCCAACGAAACCTTCAAAGCTATCCGAATATCCACCTGCAGATTCTACAAAAAGAGTGTTTCCAAAATGCCGTATCAAAACAAAGGTTCAACTCTGTTAGTTGAGAACACACATGGCAAATAAGTTTCTGAGAATGCTTCTGTCTAGTTTTTACTTGAAGATATTTCCTTTCTTACCATAGGCCTGAAAGCGCATGAAACGTCAGCTTGCAGATACTACAGAAAGAGTGTTTCAAACCTGCTCTATGAAAGGGAATGTTCAGTCCTGTGACTTGAAGGCAAACATCACAAATAAGTTCCTGAGAATGCTTCTCTCTAGATTTTATATGTAATCCCGTTTCCAACGAAATCCCCAAAGCTATCCAAATATCCACTTTCAGATTCAACAAAAAGAGTGTTTCAAAACTGCTCTGTAAAAAGAAAGGTTCATCTCTGTTGGTTGAATACACACATCACAAACAAGTTTCTGAGAATGCTTCTGTCTAGTTTTTATGCGAAGATATTTCCTTTTTCAACATAGGCCTCAAAGCGCTCCAAACGTCCACTTCCAGGTAGTGCAGAAAGAGTGTCTCAAACCTGGTATATAACAGGGAACATTCTACTCTGTGACTTGAATGCAAACATCACAAAGCAGTTTCTGAGAATGCTTTCCGTCTAGAATTTATATGAAGATATTCCCGTTTCCAACGAAACCTTCAAAGCTATCCGAATATCCACCTGCAGATTCTACAAAAAGAGTGTTTCCAAAATGCCATATCAAAACAAAGGTTCAACTCTGTTAGTTGAGAACACACATCTCAAATAAGTTTCTGAGAATGCTTCTGTCTAGTTTTTACTTGAAGATATTTCCTTTCTCACCATAGGCCTGAAAGCGCTTGAAACGTCAGCTTGCAGATACTACAGAAAGAGTGTTTCAAACCTGCTCTATGAAAGGGAATGTTCAGTCCTGTGACTTGAAGGCAAACATCACAAAGAAGTTCCTGAGAATGCTTCTCTCTAGGTTTTATATGTAATCCCGTTTCCAACGAAATCCTCAAAGCTATCCAAATATCCACTTTCAGATTCCACAAAAAGAGTGTTTCAAAACTGCTCTGTAAAAAGAAAGGTTCATCTCTGTTAGTTGAATACACACATCACAAACAAGTTTCTGAGAATGCTTCTGTCTAGTTTTTATGGGAAGATATTTCCTTTTTCATCATAGGCCTCAAAGCGCTGCAAATGTCCACTTCCAAATATTACAAAAAGAGTGTTTCAAACCTGCTGTATGAAGGGAAGTGTTCAACTCTATGAGTTGAATGCAAACATCACAGAGAAGTTTCTGAGAATGCTTCTGTCTTGATTTTATATGAAGATATTCCCGTTTCCAACGAAACCTTCAAAGCTATTCAAATATCCACTTGCAGATTCTACAAAAAGAGTGGTTCCAAAATGTTGTATCAAAAGAAAGGTTCAACTCTGATAGTTGAGGACACACATCGCAAATAAGTTTCTGAGAATGCTTCTGTCTAGTTTTTATTTGAAGATATTTCCTTTCTCACCATAGGCCTGAAAGCGTTTGAAATGTCCGTTTGCAGATACTACAGAAAGAGTGTTTCAAACATGCTCTATGAAAGGGAATGTTCAGTTCTGTGACGTGAATGCAAACATCACAAAGAAGTTCCTGAGAATGCTTCTCTCTAGATTTTATATGTAATCCCGTTTCCAACGAAATCCTCAAAGCTATCCAAATATCCACTTTCAGATTCCACAAAAAGAGTGTTTCAAAACTGCTCTGTAAAAAGAAAGGTTCATCTCTGTTAGTTGAATACACACATCACAAACAAGTTTCTGAGAATGCTTCTGTCTAGTTTTTGTGGGAAGATATTTCCTTTTTCATCATAGGCCTCAAAGCGCTGCAAATGTCCACTTCCAAATATTACAAAAAGAGTGTTTCAAACCTGCTGTATGAAGGGAAGTGTTCAACTCTATGAGTTGAATGCAAACATCACAGAGAAGTTTCTGAGAATGCTTCTGTCTTGATTTTATATGAAGATATTCCCGTTTCCAACGAAACCTTCAAAGCTATTCAAATATCCACTTGCAGATTCTACAAAAAGAGTGTTTCCAAAATGTTGTATCAAAAGAAAGGTTCAACTCTGTTAGTTGAGGACACACATCGCAAATAAGTTTCTGAGAATGCTTCTGTCTAGTTTTTATTTGAAGATATTTCCTTTCTCACCATAGGCCTGAAAGCGTTTGAAATGTCCGTTTGCAGATACTACAGAAAGAGTGTTTCAAACATGCTCTATGAAAGGGAATGTTCAGTTCTGTGACGTGAATGCAAACATCACAAAGAAGTTCCTGAGAATGCTTCTCTCTAGGTTTTATATGTAATCCCGTTTCCAACGAAATCCTCAAAGCTATCCAAATATCCACTTTCAGATTCCACAAAAAGAGTGTTTCAAAACTGCTCTGTAAAAAGAAAGGTTCATCTCTGTTAGTTGAATACACACATCACAAACAAGTTTCTGAGAATGCTTCTGTCTAGTTTTTATGGGAAGATATTTCCTTTTTCAACATAGGCCTCAAAGCGCTCCAAACGTCCACTTCCGGGTAGTGCAGAAAGAGTGTCTCAAACCTGGTATATAACAGGGAACATTCTACTCTGTGACTTGAATGAAAACATCACAAAGCAGTTTCTGAGAATGCTTCCGTCTAGATTTTATATGAAGATATTCCCGTTTCCAACGAAACCTTCAAAGCTATCCGAATATCCACCTGCAGATTCTACAAAAAGAGTGTTTCCAAAATGCCGTATCAAAACAAAGGTTCAACTCTGTTAGTTGAGAACACACATGGCAAATAAGTTTCTGAGAATGCTTCTGTCTAGTTTTTATTTGAAGATATTTCCTTTCTCACCACAGGCCTGAAAGCGCTTGAAACGTCAGCTTGCAGATACTACAGAAAGAGTGTTTCAAACCTGCTCTATGAAAGGGAATGTTCAGTTCTGTGACTTGAATGCAAACATCACAAAGAAGTTCCTGAGAATGCTTCTGTCTAGATTTTATATGAAGATATCCCGTGTCCAACGAAATCCTCAAAGGTATCAAAATATCCACTTGCAGATTCTACAAAAAGAGTGCTTCAAAACTGCTCTGTCAAAAGGAAGGTTCAACTCTGTTACTTGAGTACACACATCACAAGGAAGTTTCTGAGAATGCTTCTGTCTGGTTTTTAGGAGAAGATATTTCCTTTTTCAACATAGGCCTCAAAGCGCTGCAAATGTCCACTTCCAAATATTAGAAAAAGAGTGTTTCAAACCTGCTGTATGAAGGGAAGTGTTCAACTCTATGAGTTGAATGCAAACATCACAGAGAAGTTTCTGAGAATGCTTCTGTCTTGATTTCATATGAAGATATTCCCGTTTCCAACGAAACCTTCAAAGCTATCCAAATATCCACTTGCAGATTCTACAAAAAGAGTGTTTCCAAAATGTTGTATCAAAAGAAAGGTTCAACTCTGTTAGTTGAGGACACACATCGCAAATACGTTTCTGAGAATGCTTCTGTCTAGTTTTTATTTGAAGATATTTCCTTTCTCACCACAGGCCTGAAAGCGCTTAAAACGTCCGCTTGCAGATACTACAGAAAGGGTGTTTCAAACCTGCTCTATGAAAGGGAATGTTCAGTTCTGTGACTTGAATGCAAACATCACAAAGAAGTTCCTGAGAATGCTTCTCCCTAGATTTTATATGTAATCCCGTTTCCAACGAAATCCGCAAAGCTATCCAAATATCCACTTTCAGATTCCACAAAAAGAGTGTTTCAAAACTGCTCTGTAAAAAGAAAGGTTCATCTCTGTTAGTTGAATACACACATCACAAACAAGTTTCTGAGAATGCTTCTGTCTGGTTTTTAGGAGAAGATATTTCCTTTTTCAACATAGGCCTCAAAGCGCTGCAAATGTCCACTTCCAAATATTAGAAAAAGAGTGTTTCAAACCTGCTGTATGAAGGGAAGTGTTCAACTCTATGAGTTGAATGCAAACATCACAGAGAAGTTTCTGAGAATGCTTCTGTCTTGATTTCATATGAAGATATTCCCGTTTCCAACGAAACCTTCAAAGCTATCCAAATATCCACTTGCAGATTCTACAAAAAGAGTGTTTCCAAAATGTTGTATCAAAAGAAAGGTTCAACTCTGTTAGTTGAGGACACACATCGCAAATAAGTTTCTGAGAATGCTTCTGTCTAGTTTTTATTTGAAGATATTTCCTTTCTCACCACAGGCCTGAAAGCGCTTAAAACGTCCGCTTGCAGATACTACAGAAAGAGTGTTTCAAACCTGCTCTATGAAAGGGAATGTTCAGTTCTGTGACTTGAATGCAAACATCACAAAGAAGTTCCTGAGAATGCTTCTCTCTAGATTTTATATGTAATCCCGTTTCCAACGAAATCCTCAAAGCTATCCAAATATCCACTTTCAGATTCCACAAAAAGAGTGTTTCAAAACTGCTCTGTAAAAAGAAAGGTTCATCTCTGTTAGTTGAATACACACATCACAAACAAGTTTCTGAGAATGCTTCTGTCTGGTTTTTAGGAGAAGAATTTCCTTTTTCAACATAGGCCTCAAAGCGCTGCAAATGTCCACTTCCAAATATTACAAAAAGAGTGTTTCAAACCTGCTCTATGAAGGGAAGTGTTCAACTCTATGAGTTGAATGCAAACATCACAGAGAAGTTTCTGAGAATGCTTCTGTCTTGATTTCATATGAAGATATTCCCGTTTCCAACGAAACCTTCAAAGCTATCCAAATATCCACTTGCAGATTCTACAAAAAGAGTGTTTCCAAAATGTTGTATCAAAAGAAAGGTTCAACTCTGTTAGTTGAGGACACACATCGCAAATAAGTTTCTGAGAATGCTTCTGTCTAGTTTTTATTTGAAGATATTTCCTTTCTCACCACAGGCCTGAAAGGGCTTAAAACGTCCGCTTGCAGATACTACAGAAAGAGTGTTTCAAACCTGCTCTATGAAAGGGAATGTTCAGTTCTGTGACTTGAATGCAAACATCACAAAGAAGTTGCCTGAGAATGCTTCTCCCTAGATTTTATATGTAATCCCGTTTCCAACGAAATCCGCAAAGCTATCCAAATATCCACTTTCAGATTCCACAAAAAGAGTGTTTCAAAACTGCTCTGTAAAAAGAAAGGTTCATCTCTGTTAGTTGAATACACACATCACAAACAAGTTTCTGAGAATGCTTCTGTCTAGTTTTTATGGGAAGATATTTCCTTTTTCATCATACGCCTCAAAGCGCTGCAAATGTCCACTTCCAAATATTACAAAAAGAGTGTTTCAAACCTGCTGTATGAAGGGAAGTGTTCAACTCTATGAGTTGAATGCAAACATCACAGAGAAGTTTCTGAGAATGCTTCTGTCTTGATTTTATATGAAGATATTCCCGTTTCCAAAGAAACCTTCAAAGCTATCCAAATATCCACTTGCAGATTCTACAAAAAGAGTGTTTCCAAAATGTTGTATCAAAAGAAAGGTTCAACTCTGTTAGTTGAGGAAACACATCGCAAACAAGTTTCTGAGAATGCTTCTGTCTAGTTTTTATTTGAAGATATTTCCTTTCTCACCATAGGCCTGAAAGCGTTTGAAATGTCCGTTTGCAGATACTACAGAAAGAGTGTTTCAAACATGCTCTATGAAAGGGAATGTTCAGTTCTGTGACGTGAATGCAAACATCACAAAGAAGTTCCTGAGAATGCTTCTCTCTAGGTTTTATATGTAATCCCGTTTCCAACGAAATCCTCAAAGCTATCCAAATATCCACTTTCAGATTCCACAAAAAGAGTGTTTCAAAACTGCTCTGTAAAAAGAAAGGTTCATCTCTGTTAGTTGAATACACACATCACAAACAAGTTTCTGAGAATGCTTCTGTCTAGTTTTTATGGGAAGATATTTCCTTTTTCATCATAGGCCTCAAAGCGCTCCAAATGTCCACTTCCAGGTAGTGCAGAAAGAGTGTCTCAAACCTGGTATATAACAGGGAACATTCTACTCTGTGACTTGAATGAAAACATCACAAAGCAGTTTCTGAGAATGCTTCCGTCTAGATTTTATATGAAGATATTCCCGTTTCCAACGAAACCTTCAAAGCTATCCGAATATCCACCTGCAGATTCTACAAAAAGAGTGTTTCCAAAATGCCGTATCAAAACAAAGGTTCAACTCTGTTAGTTGAGAACACACATGGCAAATAAGTTTCTGAGAATGCTTCTGTCTAGTTTTTACTTGAAGATATTTCCTTTCTCACCATAGGCCTGAAAGCGCTTGAAACGTCCGCTTGCAGATACTACAGAAAGAGTGTTTCAAACCTGCTCTATGAAAGGGAATGTTCAGTTCTGTGACTTGAATGCAAACATCACAAAGAAGTTCCTGAGAATGCTCTTCTCTCTAGAATTTTATATGTAATCCCGTTTCCAACGAAATCCTCAAAGCTATCCAAATATCCACTTTCAGATTCCACAAAAAGAGTGTTTCAAAACTGCTCTGTAAAAAGAAAGGTTCATCTCTGTTAGTTGAATACACACATCACAAACAAGTTTCTGAGAATGCTTCTGTCTAGTTTTTATGGGAAGATATTTCCTTTTTCATCATAGGCCTCAAAGCGCTCCAAATGTCCACTTCCAGATAGTGCAGAAAGAGTGTCTCAAACCTGGTATATAAAAGGGAACATTCTACTCTGTGACTTGAATGAAAACATCACAAAGCAGTTTCTGAGAATGCTTCCGTCTAGATTTTATTTGAAGATATTCCCGTTTCCAACGAAACCTTCAAAGCTATCTAATATCCACTTGCAGATTCTACAAAAAGAGTGTTTCCAAAATGCCGTATCAAAACAAAGGTTCAACTCTGTTAGTTGAGAACACACATGGCAAATAAGTTTCTGAGAATGCTTCTGTCTAGTTTTTATTTGAAGATATTTCCTTTCTCACCATAGGCCTGAAAGCGCTTGAAACGTCCGCTTGCAGATACTACAGAAAGAGTGTTTCAAACATGCTCTATGAAAGGGAATGTTCAGTTCTGTGACGTGAATGCAAACATCACAAAGAAGTTCCTGAGAATGCTTCTCTCTAGATTTTATATGTAATCCCGTTTCCAACGAAATCCTCAAAGCTATCCAAATATCCACTTTCAGATTCCACAAAAAGAGTGTTTCAAAACTGCTCTGTAAAAAGAAAGGTTCATCTCTGTTAGTTGAATACACACATCACAAACAAGTTTCTGAGAATGCTTCTGTCTAGTTTTTATGGGAAGATATTTCCTTTTTCATCATAGGCCACAAAGCGCTCCAAATGTCCACTTCCAGATAGTGCAGAAAGAGTGTCTCAAACCTGATATATAAAAGGGAACATTCTACTCTGTGACTTGAATGAAAACATCACAAAGCAGTTTCTGAGAATGCTTCCGTCTAGATTTTATATGAAGATATTCCCGTTTCCAACGAAACCTTCAAAGCTATCCGAATATCCACCTGCAGATTCTACAAAAAGAGTGTTTCCAAAATGCCGTATCAAAACAAAGGTTCAACTCTGTTAGTTGAGAACACACATGGCAAATAAGTTTCTGAGAATGCTTCTGTCTAGTTTTTACTTGAAGATATTTCCTTTCTCACCATAGGCCTGAAAGCGCTTGAAACGTCCGCTTGCAGATACTACAGAAAGAGTGTTTCAAACATGCTCTATGAAAGGGAATGTTCAGTTCTGTGACTTGAATGCAAACATCACAAAGAAGTTCCTGAGAATGCTTCTGTCTAGATTTTATATGAAGATCATCCCGTTTCCAAAGAAATCCTCAAAGGTGTCCAAATATCTACTTCCAGATTCTACAAAAAGACTGTTTCAAAACGGCTCTGTCAAAAGTAAGGTTCAACTCTGTTACTTGAGTACACACATCACAAGGAAGTTTCTGAGAATGCTTCCTGTCTGGTTTTTAGGAGAAGATATTTCCTTTTTCAACATAGGCCTCAAAGCGCTGCAAATGTCCACTTCCAAATATTACAAAAAGAGTGTTTCAAACCTGCTCTATGAAGGGAAGTGTTCAACTCTATGAGTTGAATGCAAACATCACAGAGAAGTTTCTGAGAATGCTTCTGTCTTGATTTTATATGAAGATATTCCCGTTTCCAACGAAAACTTCAAAGCTATCCAAATATCCACCTGCAGATTCTACAAAAAGAGTGTTTCCAAAATGTTGTATCAAAACAAAGGTTCAACTCTGTTAGTTGAGGACACACATCGCAAATAAGTTTCTGAGAATGCTTCTGTCTAGTTTTTATTTGAAGATATTTCCTTTCTCACCACAGGCCTGAAAGCGATTAAAACGTCCGCTTGCAGATACTACAGAAAGAGTGTTTCAAACCTGCTCTATGAAAGGGAATGTTCAGTTCTGTGACTTGAATGCAAACATCACAAAGAAGTTCCTGAGAATGCTTCTCCCTAGATTTTATATGTAATCCGGTTTCCAACGAAATCCGCAAAGCTATCCAAATATCTACTTTCAGATTCCACAAAAAGAGTGTTTCAAAACTGCTCTGTAAAAAGAAAGGTTCATCTCTGTTAGTTGAATACACACATCACAAACAAGTTTCTGAGAACGCTTCTGTCTAGTTTTTATGGGAAGATATTACCTTTTTCATCATAGGCCTCAAAGCGCTGCAAATGTCCACTTCCAAATATTACAAAAAGAGTGTTTCAAACCTGCTGTATGAAGGGAAGTGTTCAACTCTATGAGTTGAATGCAAACATCACAGAGAAGTTTCTGAGAATGCTTCTGTCTTGATTTTATATGAAGATATTCCCGTTTCCAACGAAACCTTCAAAGCTATTCAAATATCCACTTGCAGATTCTACAAAAAGAGTGTTTCCAAAATGTTGTATCAAAAGAAAGGTTCAACTCTGTTAGTTGAGGACACACATCGCAAATAAGTTTCTGAGAATGCTTCTGTCTAGTTTTTACTTGAAGATATTTCCTTTCTCACCATAGGCCTGAAAGCGTTTGAAATGTCCGTTTGCAGATACTACAGAAAGAGTGTTTCAAACATGCTCTATGAAAGGGAATGTTCAGTTCTGTGACGTGAATGCAAACATCACAAAGAAGTTCCTGAGAATGCTTCTCTCTAGATTTTATATGTAATCCCGTTTCCAACGAAATCCTCAAAGCTATCCAAATATCCACTTTCAGATTCCACAAAAAGAGTGTTTCAAAACTCCTCTGTAAAAAGAAAGGTTCATCTCTGTTAGTTGAATACACACATCACAAACAAGTTTCTGAGAATGCTTCTGTCTAGTTTTTATGGGAAGATATTTCCTTTTTCAACATTGGCCTCAAAGCGCTCCAAACGTCCACTTCCGGGTAGTGCAGAAAGAGTGTCTCAAACCTGGTATATAACAGGGAACATTCAACTCTGTGACTTGAATGAAAACATCACAAAGCAGTTTCTGAGAATGCTTCCGTCTAGATTTTATATGAAGATATTCCCGTTTCCAACGAAACCTTCAAAGCTATCCGAATATCCACCTGCAGATTCTACAAAAAGAGTGTTTCCAAAATGCCGTATCAAAACAAAGGTTCAACTCTGTTAGTTGAGAACACACATGGCAAATAAGTTTCTGAGAATGCTTCTGTCTAGTTTTTACTTGAAGATATTTCCTTTCTCACCATAGGCCTGAAAGCGCATGAAACGTCAGCTTGCAGATACTACAGAAAGAGTGTTTCAAACCTGCTCTATGAAAGGGAATGTTCAGTCCTGTGACTTGAAGGCAAACATCACAAAGAAGTTCCTGAGAATGCTTCTCTCTAGGTTTTATATGTAATCCCGTTTCCAACGAAATCCTCAAAGCTATCCAAATATCCACTTTCAGATTCCACAAAAAGAGTGTTTCAAAACTGCTCTGTAAAAAGAAAGGTTCATCTCTGTTAGTTGAATACACACATCACAAACAAGTTTCTGAGAATGCTTCTGTCTAGTTTTTATGGGAAGATATTTCGTTTTTCAACATAGGCCTCAAAGCGCTCCAAATGTCCACTTCCAGGTAGTGCAGAAAGAGTGTTTCAAACCTGCTCTATAAAAGGGAACATTCAACTCTGTGACTTGAATGAAGACATCACAAAGCACTTTCTGAGAATGCTTCTGTCTTGATTTTATATGAAGATATTCCCGTTTCCAACGAAACCTTCAAAGCTATCCAAATATCCACTTGCAGATTCTACAAAAAGAGTGGTTCCAAAATGTTGTATCAAAAGAAAGGTTCAACTCTGTTAGTTGAGGACACACATCGCAAATAAGTTTCTGAGAATGCTTCTGTCTAGTTTTTATTTGAAGATATTTCCTTTCTCACCATAGGCCTGAAAGCGTTTGAAATGTCCGTTTGCAGATACTACAGAAAGAGTGTTTCAAACATGCTCTATGAAAGGGAATGTTCAGTTCTGTGACGTGAATGCAAACATAACAAAGAAGTTCCTGAGAATGCTTCTCTCTAGATTTTATATGTAATCCCGTTTCCAACGAAATCCTCAAAGCTATCCAAATATCCACTTTCAGATTCCACAAAAAGAGTGTTTCAAAACTGCTCTGTAAAAAGAAAGGTTCATCTCTGTTAGTTGAATACACACATCACAAACAAGTTTCTGAGAATGCTTCTGTCTGGTTTTTAGGAGAAGATATTTCCTTTTTCAACATAGGCCTCAAAGCGCTGCAAATGTCCACTTCCAAATATTAGAAAAAGAGTGTTTCAAACCTGCTGTATGAAGGGAAGTGTTCAACTCTATGAGTTGAATGCAAACATCACAGAGAAGTTTCTGAGAATGCTTCTGTCTTGATTTCATATGAAGATATTCCCGTTTCCAACGAAACCTTCAAAGCTATCCAAATATCCACTTGCAGATTCTACAAAAAGAGTGTTTCCAAAATGTTGTATCAAAAGAAAGGTTCAACTCTGTTAGTTGAGGACACACATCGCAAATAAGTTTCTGAGAATGCTTCTGTCTAGTTTTTATTTGAAGATATTTCCTTTCTCACCACAGGCCTGAAAGCGCTTAAAACGTCCGCTTGCAGATACTACAGAAAGAGTGTTTCAAACCTGCTCTATGAAAGGGAATGTTCAGTTCTGTGACTTGAATGCAAACATCACAAAGAAGTTCCTGAGAATGCTTCTCCCTAGATTTTATATGTAATCCCGTTTCCAACGAAATCTGCAAAGCTATCCAAATATCCACTTTCAGATTCCACAAAAAGAGTGTTTCAAAACTGCTCTGTAAAAAGAAAGGTTCATCTCTGTTAGTTGAATACACACATCACAAACAAGTTTCTGAGAATGCTTCTGTCTGGTTTTTAGGAGAAGATATTTCCTTTTTCAACATAGGCCTCAAAGCGCTGCAAATGTCCACTTCCAAATATTAGAAAAAGAGTGTTTCAAACCTGCTGTATGAAGGGAAGTGTTCAACTCTATGAGTTGAATGCAAACATCACAGAGAAGTTTCTGAGAATGCTTCTGTCTTGATTTCATATGAAGATATTCCCGTTTCCAACGAAACCTTCAAAGCTATCCAAATATCCACTTGCAGATTCTACAAAAAGAGTGTTTCCAAAATGTTGTATCAAAAGAAAGGTTCAACTCTGTTAGTTGAGGACACACATCGCAAATAAGTTTCTGAGAATGCTTCTGTCTAGTTTTTATTTGAAGATATTTCTTTTCTCACCACAGGCCTGAAAGCGCTTAAAACGTCCGCTTGCAGATACTACAGAAAGAGTGTTTCAAACCTGCTCTATGAAAGGGAATGTTCAGTTCTGTGACTTGAATGCAAACATCACAAAGAAGTTCCTGATAATGCTTCTCCCTAGATTTTATATGTAATCCCGTTTCCAACGAAATCCGCAAAGCTATCCAAATATCCACTTTCAGATTCCACAAAAAGAGTGTTTCAAAACTGCTCTGTAAAAAGAAAGGTTCATCTCTGTTAGTTGAATACACACATCACAAACAAGTTTCTGAGAATGCTTCTGTCTAGTTTTTATGGGAAGATATTTCCTTTTTCATCATAGGCCTCAAAGCGCTGCAAATGTCCACTTCCAGGTAGTGCAGAAAGAGTGTCTCAAACCTGGTATATAACAGGGAAACATTCTACTCTGTGACTTGAATGAAAACATCACAAAGCAGTTTCTGAGAATGCTTCCGTCTAGATTTTATATGAAGATATTCCCGTTTCCAACGAAACCTTCAAAGCTATCCGAATATCCACCTGCAGATTCTACAAAAAGAGTGTTTCCAAAATGCCGTATCAAAACAAAGGTTCAACTCTGTTAGTTGAGAACACACATGGCAAATAAGTTTCTGAGAATGCTTCTGTCTAGTTTTTACTTGAAGATATTTCCTTTCTCACCATAGGCCTGAAAGCGCTTGAAACGTCAGCTTGCAGATACTACAGAAAGAGTGTTTCAAACCTGCTCTATGAAAGGGAATGTTCAGTTCTGTGACTTGAATGCAAACATCACAAAGAAGTTCCTGAGAATGCTTCTCTCTAGGTTTTATATGTAATCCCGTTTCCAACGAAATCCTCAAAGCTATCCAAATATCCACTTTCAGATTCCACAAAAAGAGTGTTTCAAAACTGCTCTGTAAAAAGAAAGGTTCATCTCTGTTAGTTGAATACACACATCACAAACAAGTTTCTGAGAATGCTTCTGTCTAGTTTTTATGGGAAGATATTTCCTTTTTCAACATAGGCCTCAAAGCGCTCCAAACGTCCACTTCCAGGTAGTGCAGAAAGAGTGTCTCAAACCTGGTATATAACAGGGAACATTCTACTCTGTGACTTGAATGAAAACATCACAAAGCAGTTTCTGAGAATGCTTCCGTCTAGATTTTATATGAAGATATTCCCGTTTCCAACGAAACCTTCAAAGCTATCCGAATATCCACCTGCAGATTCTACAAAAAGAGTGTTTCCAAAATGCCGTATCAAAACAAAGGTTCAACTCTGTTAGTTGAGAACACACATGGCAAATAAGTTTCTGAGAATGCTTCTGTCTAGTTTTTACTTGAAGATATTTCCTTTCTCACCATAGGCCTGAAAGCGCTTGAAACGTCAGCTTGCAGATACTACAGAAAGACTGTTTCAAACCTGCTCTATGAAAGGGAATGTTCAGTTCTGTGACTTGAATGCAAACATCACAAAGAAGTTCCTGAGAATGCTTCTCTCTAGGTTTTATATGTAATCCCGTTTCCAACGAAATCCTCAAAGCTATCCAAATATCCACTTTCAGATTCCACAAAAAGAGTGTTTCAAAACTGCTCTGTAAAAAGAAAGGTTCATCTCTGTTAGTTGAATACACACATCACAAACAAGTTTCTGAGAATGCTTCTGTCTGGTTTTTAGGAGAAGATATTTCCTTTTTCAACATAGGCCTCAAAGCGCTGCAAATGTCCACTTCCAAATATTAGAAAAAGAGTGTTTCAAACCTGCTGTATGAAGGGAAGTGTTCAACTCTATGAGTTGAATGCAAACATCACAGAGAAGTTTCTGAGAATGCATCTGTCTTGATTTCATATGAAGATATTCCCGTTTCCAACGAAACCTTCAAAGCTATCCAAATATCCACTTGCAGATTCTACAAAAAGAGTGTTTCCAAAATGTTGTATCAAAAGAAAGGTTCAACTCTGTTAGTTGAGGACACACATCGCAAATAAGTTTCTGAGAATGCTTCTGTCTAGTTTTTATTTGAAGATATTTCCTTTCTCACCATAGGCCTGAAAGCGTTTGAAATGTCCGTTTGCAGATACTACAGAAAGAGTGTTTCAAACATGCTCTATGAAAGGGAATGTTCAGTTCTGTGACGTGAATGCAAACATCACAAAGAAGTTCCTGAGAATGCTTCTCTCTAGGTTTTATATGTAATCCCGTTTCCAACGAAATCCTCAAAGCTATCCAAATATCCACTTTCAGATTCCACAAAAAGAGTGTTTCAAAACTGCTCTGTAAAAAGAAAGGTTCATCTCTGTTAGTTGAATACACACATCACAAACAAGTTTCTGAGAATGCTTCTGTCTAGTTTTTATGGGAAGATATTTCCTTTTTCATCATAGGCCTCAAAGCGCTGCAAATGTCCACTTCCAGGTAGTGCAGAAAGAGTGTCTCAAACCTGGTATATAACAGGGAACATTCTACTCTGTGACTTGAATGAAAACATCACAAAGCAGTTTCTGAGAATGCTTCCGTCTACATTTTATATGAAGATATTCCCGTTTCCAACGAAACCTTCAAAGCTATCCGAATATCCACCTGCAGATTCTACAAAAAGAGTGTTTCCACAATGCCATATCAAAACAAAGGTTCAACTCTGTTAGTTGAGAACACACATCGCAAATAAGTTTCTGAGAATGCTTCTGTCTAGTTTTTATTTGAAGATATTTCCTTTCTCACCATAGGCCTGAAAGCGCTTGAAACGTCAGCTTGCAGATACTACAGAAAGAGTGTTTCAAACCTGCTCTATGAAAGGGAATGTTCAGTCCTGTGACTTGAATGCAAACATCACAAAGAAGTTCCTGAGAATGCTTCTCTCTAGGTTTTATATGTAATCCCGTTTCCAACGAAATCCTCAAAGCTATCCAAATATCCACTTTCAGATTCCACAAAAAGAGTGTTTCAAAACTGCTCTGTAAAAAGAAAGGTTCATCTCTGTTAGTTGAATACACACATCACAAACAAGTTTCTGAGAATGCTTCTGTCCAGTTTTTATGGGAACATATTTCCTTTTTCAACATAGGCCTCAAAGCGCTCCAAATGTCCACTTCCAGGTAGTGCAGAAAGAGTGTTTCAAACCTGCTCTATAAAAGGGAATATTCAACTTCTGTGACTTGAATGCAAACATCACAAAGCACTTTCTGAGAATGCTTCCGTCTAGATTTTATATGAAGATATTCCCGTTTCCATCGAAACCTTCAAAGCTATCTGAATATCCACCTGCAGATTCTACAAAAAGAGTGTTTCCAAAATGCCGTATCAATACAAAGGTTCAACTCTGTTAGTTGAGAACACACATGGCAAATAAGTTTCTGAGAATGCTTCTGTCTAGTTTTTACTTGAAGATATTTCCTTTCTCACCATAGGCCTGAAAGCGCTAGAAACGTCAGCTTGCAGATACTACAGAAAGAGTGTTTCAAACCTGCTCTATGAAAGGGAATGTTCAGTTCTGTGACTTGAATGCAAACATCACAAAGAAGTTCCTGAGAATGCTTCTCTCTAGGTTTTATATGTAATCCCGTTTCCAACGAAATCCTCAAAGCTATCCAAATATCCACTTTCAGATTCCACAAAAAGAGTGTTTCAAAACTGCTCTGTAAAAAGAAAGGTTCATTTCTGTTAGTTGAATACACACATCACAAACAAGTTTCTGAGAATGCTTCTGTCTAGTTTTTATGGGAAGATATTTCCTTTTTCAACATAGGCCTCAAAGCGCTCCAAATGTCCACTTCCAGGTAGTGCAGAAAGAGTGTTTCAAACCTGCTCTATAAAAGGGAATATTCAACTCTGTGACTTGAATGCAAACATCACAAAGCACTTTCTGAGAATGCTTCCGTCTAGATTTTATATGAAGATATTCCCGTTTCCAAGGAAATCTTCCTAGCTATCTAAATATCAACTTGCATATCCTACTAAAGGAGTGTTTCCAAAATGCTGTATCCACACAAAGGTTCAACTCTGTTAATTGAGGACATACAGCACAAAGAAGTTTCTGAGAATGCTTCTGTCTAGTTTTTATTTGAAGATATTTCCTTTCTCACCACAGGCCTGAAAGCGTTTGAAATGTCCGTTTGTAGATACTACAGAAAGAGTGTTTCAAACATGCTCTATGAAAGGGAATGTTCAGTTCTGTGACGTGAATGCAAACATCACAAAGAAGTTCCTGAGAATGCTTCTCTCTAGATTTTATATGTAATCCCGTTTCCAACGAAATCCTCAAAGCTATCCAAATATCCACTTTCAGATTCCACAAAAAGAGTGTTTCAAAACTGCTCTGTAAAAAGAAAGGTTCATCTCTGTTAGTTGAATACACACATCACAAACAAGTTTCTGAGAATGCTTCTGTCTAGTTTTTATGGGAAGATATTACCTTTTTCATCATAGGCCTCAAAGCGCTGCAAATGTCCACTTCCAAATATTACAAAAAGAGTGTTTCAAACCTGCTGTATGAAGGGAGGTGTTCAACTCTATGAGTTGAATGCAAACATCACAGAGAAGTTTCTGAGAATGCTTCTGTCTTGATTTTATATGAAGATATTCCCGTTTCCAACGAAATCTTCAAAGCTATCCAAATATCCACTTGCAGATTCCACAAAAAGAGTGTTTCCAAAATGTTGTATCAAATGAAAGGTTCAACTCTGTTAGTTGAGGACACACATCGCAAATAAGTTTCTGAGAATGCTTCTGTCTAGTTTTTATTTGAAGATATTTCCTTTCTCACCATAGGCCTGAAAGCGTTTGAAATGTCCGTTTGCAGATACTACAGAAAGAGTGTTTCAAACATGCTCTATGAAAGGGAATGTTCAGTTCTGTGACGTGAATGCAAACATCACAAAGAAGTTCCTGAGAATGCTTCTCTCTAGATTTTATATGTAATCCCGTTTCCAACGAAATCCTCAAAGCTATCCAAATATCCACTTTCAGATTCCACAAAAAGAGTGTTTCAAAACTGCTCTGTAAAAAGAAAGGTTCATCTCTGTTAGTTGAATACACACATCACAAACAAGTTTCTGAGAATGCTTCTGTCTAGTTTTTATGGGAAGATATTTCCTTTTTCATCATAGGCCTCAAAGCGCTGCAAATGTCCACTTCCAGGTAGTGCAGAAAGAGTGTCTGAAACCTGGTATATAACAGGGAAGATTCTACTCTGTGACTTGAATGAAAACATCACAAAGCAGTTTCTGAGAATGCTTCCGTCTAGATTTTATATGAAGATATTCCCGTTTCCAACGAAACCTTCAAAGCTATCCGAATATCCACCTGCAGATTCTACAAAAAGAGTGTTTCCAAAATGCCGTATCAAAACAAAGGTTCAACTCTGTTAGTTGAGAACACACATGGCAAATAAGTTTCTGAGAATGCTTCTGTCTAGTTTTTATTTGAAGATATTTCCTTTCTCACCATAGGCCTGAAAGCGCTTGAAACGTCAGCTTGCAGATACTACAGAAAGAGTGTTTCAAACCTGCTCTATGAAAGGGAATGTTCAGTCCTGTGACTTGAATGCAAACATCACAAAGAAGTTCCTGAGAATGCTTCTCTCTAGGTTTTATATGTAATCCCGTTTCCAACGAAATCCTCAAAGCTATCCAAATATCCACTTTCAGATTCCACAAAAAGAGTGTTTCAAAACTGCTCTGTAAAAAGAAAGGTTCATCTCTGTTAGTTGAATACACACATCACAAACAAGTTTCTGAGAATGCTTCTGTCTAGTTTTTATGGGAAGATATTACCTTTTTCATCATAGGCCTCAAAGCGCTGCAAATGTCCACTTCCAAATATTACAAAAAGAGTGTTTCAAACCTGCTGTATGAAGGGAAGTGTTCAACTCTATGAGTTGAATGCAAACATCACAGAGAAGTTTCTGAGAATGCTTCCGTCTAGATTTTATATGAACATATTCCCGTTTCCAACGAAACCTTCAAAGCTATCCGAATATCCACCTGCAGATTCTACAAAAAGAGTGTTTCCAAAATGCCATATCAAAACAAAGGTTCAACTCTGTTAGTTGAGAACACACATCGCAAAGAAGTTTCTGAGAATGCTTCTGTCTAGTTTTTACTTGAAGATATTTCCTTTCTCACCATAGGCCTGAAAGCGCTTGAAACGTCAGCTTGCAGATACTACAGAAAGAGTGTTTCAAACCTGCTCTATGAAAGGGAATGTTCAGTTCTGTGACTTGAATGAAAACATCACAAAGAAGTTCCTGAGAATGCTTCTCTCTAGGTTTTATATGTAATCCCGTTTCCAACGAAATCCTCAAAGCTATCCAAATATCCACTTTCAGATTCCACAAAAAGAGTGTTTCAAAACTGCTCTGTAAAAAGAAAGGTTCATCTCTGTTAGTTGAATACACACATCACAAACAAGTTTCTGAGAATGCTTCTGTCTAGTTTCTATGGGAAGATATTCCCTTTTTCAACATAGGCCTCAAAGCGCTCCAAATGTCCACTTCCAGGTAGTGCAGAAAGAGTGTTTCAAACCTGCTCTATAAAAGGGAATATTCAACTCTGTGACTTGAATGCAAACATCACAAAGCACTTTCTGAGAATGCTTCCGTCTAGATTTTATATGAAGATATTCCCGTTTCCGAGGAAATCTTCCTAGCTATCTAAATATCAACTTGCAGATTCTACTAAAGGAATGTTTCCAAAATGCTGTATCCACACAAAGGTTCAACTCTGTTAATTGAGGACATACAGCACAAAGAAGTTTCTGAGAATGCTTCTGTCTAGTTTTCACTTGAAGATATTTCCTTTCTCACCGTAGGCCTGAAAGCGCTTGAAACGTCAGCTTGCAGATACTACAGAAAGAGTGTTTCAAACATGCTCTATGAAAGGGAATGTTCAGTCCTGTGACTAGAAGGCAAACATCACAAAGAAGTTCCTGAGAATGCTTCTCTCTAGGTTTTATATGTAATCCCGTTTCCAACGAAATCCTCAAAGCTATCCAAATATCCACTTTCAGATTCCACAAAAAGAGTGTTTCAAAACTGCTCTGTAAAAAGAAAGGTTCATCTCTGTTAGTTGAATACACACATCACAAACAAGTTTCTGAGAATGCTTCTGTCTGGTTTTTAGGAGAAGATATTTCCGTTTTCAACATAGGCCTCAAAGCGCTGCAAATGTCCACTTCCAAATATTAGAAAAAGAGTGTTTCAAACCTGCTGTATGAAGGGAAGTGTTCAACTCTATGAGTTGAATGCAAACATCACAGAGAAGTTTCTGAGAATGCTTCTGTCTTGATTTCATATGAAGATATTCCCGTTTCCAACGAAACCTTCAAAGCTATCCAAATATCCACTTGCAGATTCTACAAAAAGAGTGTTTCCAAAATGTTGTATCAAAAGAAAGGTTCAACTCTGTTAGTTGAGGACACACATCGCAAATAAGTTTCTGAGAATGCTTCTGTCTAGTTTTTATTTGAAGATATTTCCTTTCTCACCACAGGCCTGAAAGCGCTTAAAACGTCCGCTTGCAGATACTACAGAAAGAGTGTTTCAAACCTGCTCTATGAAAGGGAATGTTCAGTTCTGTGACTTGAATGCAAACATCACAAAGAAGTTCCTGAGAATGCTTCTCTCTAGGTTTTATATGTAATCCCGTTTCCAACGAAATCCTCAAAGCAATCCAAATATCCACTTTCAGATTCCACAAAAAGAGTGTTTCAAAACTGCTCTGTAAAAAGAAAGGTTCATCTCTGTTAGTTGAATACACACATCACAAACAAGTTTCTGAGAATGCTTCTGTCTAGTTTTTATGGGAAGATATTTCCTTTTTCAACATAGGCCTCAAAGCGCTCCAAACGTCCACTTCCAGGTAGTGCAGAAAGAGTGTCTCAAACCTGGTATATAACAGGGAACATTCTACTCTGTGACTTGAATGCAAACATCACAAAGCAGTTTCTGAGAATGCTTCCGTCTAGATTTTATATGAAGATATTCCCGTTTCCAACGAAACCTTCAAAGCTATCCGAATATCCACCTGCAGATTCTACAAAAAGAGTGTTTCCAAAATGCCGTATCAAAACAAAGGTTCAACTCTGTTAGTTGAGAACACACATGGCAAATAAGTTTCTGAGAATGCTTCTGTCTAGTTTTTATTTGAAGATATTTCCTTTCTCACCATAGGCCTGAAAGCGTTTGAAATGTCCGTTTGCAGATACTACAGAAAGAGTGTTTCAAACATGCTCTATTAAAGGGAATGTTCAGTTCTGTGACTTGAATGCAAATATCACAAAGAAGTTCCTGAGAATTCTTCTCTCTTGATTTTATATGTAATCCCGTTTCCAACGAAATCCTCAAAGCTATCCAAATATCCACTTCCAGATTCCACAAAAAGAGTGTTTCAAAACTGCTCTGTAAAAAGAAAGGTTCATCTCTGTTAGTTGAATACACACATCACAAACAAGTTTCTGAGAATGCTTCTGTCTAGTTTTTATGGGAAGATATTTCCATTTTCATCATAGGCCTCAAAGCGCTGCAAATGTCCACTTCCAAATATTACAAAAAGAGTGTTTCAAACCTGCTGTATGAAGGGAAGTGTTCAACTCTATGAGTTGAATGCAAACATCACAGAGAAGTTTCTGAGAATGCTTCTGTCTTGATTTTATATGAAGATATTCCCCTTTCCAACGAAACCTTCAAAGCTATTCAAATATCCACTTGCAGATTCTACAAAAAGAGTGGTTCCAAAATGTTGAATCAAAAGAAAGGTTCAACTCTGATAGTTGAGGACACACATCGCAAATAAGTTTCTGAGAATGCTTCTGTCTAGTTTTTATTTGAAGATATTTCCTTTCTCACCATAGGCCTGAAAGCGTTTGAAATGTCCGTTTGCAGATACTACAGAAAGAGTGTTTCAAACATGCTCTATGAAAGGGAATGTTCAGTTCTGTGACGTGAATGCAAACATCACAAAGAAGTTCCTGAGAATGCTTCTCTCTAGATTTTATATGTAATCCCGTTTCCAACGAAATCCTCAAAGCTATCCAAATATCCACTTTCAGATTCCACAAAAAGAGTGTTTCAAAACTGCTCTGTAAAAAGAAAGGTTCATCTCTGTTAGTTGAATACACACATCACAAACAAGTTTCTGAGAATGCTTCTGTCTAGTTTTTATGGGAAGATATTTCCTTTTTCATCATAGGCCTCAAAGCGCTGCAAATGTCCACTTCCAGGTAGTGCAGAAAGAGTGTCTGAAACCTGGTATATAACAGGGAAGATTCTACTCTGTGACTTGAATGAAAACATCACAAAGCAGTTTCTGAGAATGCTTCCGTCTAGATTTTATATGAAGATATTCCCGTTTCCAACGAAACCTTCAAAGCTATCCGAATATCCACCTGCAGATTCTACAAAAAGAGTGTTTCCAAAATGCCGTATCAAAACAAAGGTTCAACTCTGTTAGTTGAGAACACACATGGCAAATAAGTTTCTGAGAATGCTTCTGTCTAGTTTTTACTTGAAGATATTTCCTTTCTCACCATAGGCCTGAAAGCGCTTGAAACGTCAGCTTGCAGATACTACAGAAAGAGTGTTTCAAACCTGCTCTATGAAAGGGAATGTTCAGTCCTGTGACTTGAAGGCAAACATCACAAAGAAGTTCCTGAGAATGCTTCTCTCTAGGTTTTATATGTAATCCCGTTTCCAACGAAATCCTCAAAGCTATCCAAATATCCACTTTCAGATTCCACAAAAAGAGTGTTTCAAAACTGCTCTGTAAAAAGAAAGGTTCATCTCTGTTAGTTGAATACACACATCACAAACAAGTTTCTGAGAATGCTTCTGTCTAGTTTTTATGGGAAGATATTACCTTTTTCATCATAGGCCTCAAAGCGCTGCAAATGTCCACTTCCAAATATTACAAAAAGAGTGTTTCAAACCTGCTGTATGAAGGGAAGTGTTCAACTCTATGAGTTGAAGGCAAACATCACAGAGAAGTTTCTGAGAATGCTTCTGTCTTGATTTTATATGAAGATATTCCCGTTTCCAACGAAACCTTCAAAGCTATTCAAATATCCACTTGCAGATTCTACAAAAAGAGTGTTTCCAAAATGTTGTATCAAAAGAAAGGTTCAACTCTGTTAGTTGAGGACACACATCGCAAATAAGTTTCTGAGAATGCTTCTGTCTAGTTTTTATTTGAAGATATTTCCTTTCTCACCATAGGCCTGAAAGCGTTTGAAATGTCCGTTTGCAGATACTACAGAAAGAGTGTTTCAAACATGCTCTATGAAAGGGAATGTTCAGTTCTGTGACGTGAATGCAAACATCACAAAGAAGTTCCTGAGAATGCTTCTCTCTAGATTTTATATGTAATCCCGTTTCCAACGAAATCCTCAAAGCTATCCAAATATCCACTTTCAGATTCCACAAAAAGAGTGTTTCAAAACTGCTCTGTAAAAAGAAAGGTTCATCTCTGTTAGTTGAATACACACATCAAAAACAAGTTTCTGAGAATGCTTCTGTCTAGTTTTTATGGGAAGATATTTCCTTTTTCATCATAGGCCTCAAAGCGCTGCAAATGTCCACTTCCAGGTAGTGCAGAAAGAGTGTCTCAAACCTGGTATATAACAGGGAACATTCTACTGTGTGACTTGAATGAAAACATCACAAAGCAGTTTCTGAGAATGCTTCCGTCTAGATTTTATATGAAGATATTCCCGTTTCCAACAAAACCTTCAAAGCTATCTGAATATCCACCTGCAGATTCTACAAAAAGAGTGTTTCCAAAATGCCATATCAAAACAAAGGTTCAACTCTGTTAGTTGAGAACACACATCGCAAATAAGTTTCTGAGAATGCTTCTGTCTAGTTTTTATTTGAAGATATTTCCTTTCTTACCATAGGCCTGAAAGTGCTTGAAATGTCCGTTTGCAGATACTACAGAAAGAGTGTTTCAAACATGCTCTATGAAAGGGAATGTTCAGTTCTGTGACGTGAATGCAAACATCACAAAGAAGTTCCTGAGAATGCTTCTCTCTAGATTTTATATGTAATCCCGTTTCCAACGAAATCCTCAAAGCTATCCAAATATCCACTTTCAGATTCCACAAAAAGAGTGTTTCAAAACTGCTCTGTAAAAAGAAAGGTTCATCTCTGTTAGTTGAATACACACATCACAAACAAGTTTCTGAGAATGCTTCTGTCTAGTTTTTATGGGAAGATATTTCCTTTTTCAACATAGGCCTCAAAGCGCTCCAAATGTCCACTTCCAGGTAGTGCAGAAAGAGTGTTTCAAACCTGCTCTATAAAAGGGAATATTCAACTCTGTGACTTGAATGCAAACACCACAAAGCACTTTCTGAGAATGCTTCCGTCTAGATTTTATATGAAGATATTCCCGTTTCCAACGAAACCTTCAAAGCTATCCGAATATCCACCTGCAGATTCTACAAAAAGAGTGTTTCCAAAATGCCATATCAAAACAAAGGTTCAACTCTGTTAGTTGAGAACACACATGGCAAATAAGTTTCTGAGAATGCTTCTGTCTAGTTTTTACTTGAAGATATTTCCTTTCTCACCATAGGCCTGAAAGCGCTTGAAACGTCAGCTTGCAGATACTACAGAAAGAGTGTTTCAAACCTGCTCTATGAAAGGGAATGTTCAGTCCTGTGACTTGAAGGCAAACATCAAAAAGAAGTTCCTGAGAATGCTTCTCTCTAGGTTTTATATGTAATCCCGTTTCCAACGAAATCCTCAAAGCTATCCAAATATCCACTTTCAGATTCCACAAAAAGAGTGTTTCAAAACTGCTCTGTAAAAAGAAAGGTTCATCTCTGTTAGTTGAATACACACATCACAAACAAGTTTCTGAGAATGCTTCTGTCTAGATTTTATGGGAAGATATTACCTTTTTCATCATAGGCCTCAAAGCGCTGCAAATGTCCACTTCCAAATATTACAAAAAGAGTGTTTCAAACCTGCTGTATGAAGGGAAGTGTTCAACTCTATGAGTTGAATGCAAACATCGCAGAGAAGTTTCTGAGAATGCTTCTGTCTTGATTTCATATGAAGATATTCCCGTTTCCAACGAAACCTTCAAAGCTTTCCAAATATCCACTTGCAGATTCTACAAAAAGAGTGTTTCCAAAATGTTGTATCAAAAGAAAGGTTCAACTCTGTTAGTTGAGGACACACATCGCAAATAAGTTTCTGAGAATGCTTCTGTCTAGTTTTTACTTGAAGATATTTCCTTTCTCACCATAGGGCTGAAAGCGCTTGAGACGTCCGCTTGCAGATACTACAGAAAGAGTGTTTCAAACCTGCTCTATGAAAGGGAATGTTCAGTTCTGTGACTTGAATGCAAACATCACAAAGAAGTTCCTGAGAATGCTTTCTGTCTAGATTTTATATGAAGATATCCCGTGTCCAACGAAATCCTCAAAGGTATCAAAATATCCACTTGCAGATTCTACAAAAAGAGTGCTTCAAAACTGCTCCGTCAAAAGGAAGGTTCAACTCTGTTACTTGAGTACACACATCACAAGGAAGTTTCTGAGAATGCTTCTGTCTGGTTTTTAGGAGAAGATATTTCCTTTTTCAACAAAGGCCTCAAAGCGCTGCAAATGTCCACTTCCAAATATTAGAAAAAGAGTGTTTCAAACCTGCTGTATGAAGGGAAGTGTTCAACTCTATGAGTTGAATGCAAACATCACAGAGAAGTTTCTGAGAATGCTTCTGTCTTGATTTCATATGAAGATATTCCCGTTTCCAACGAAACCTTCAAAGCTATCCAAATATCCACTTGCAGATTCTACAAAAAGAGTGTTTCCAAAATGTTGTATCAAAAGAAAGGTTCAACTCTGTTAGTTGAGGACACACATCGCAAATACGTTTCTGAGAATGCTTCTGTCTAGTTTTTATTTGAAGATATTTCCTTTCTCACCACAGGCCTGAAAGCGCTTAAAACGTCCGCTTGCAGATACTACAGAAAGAGTGTTTCAAACCTGCTCTATGAAAGGGAATGTTCAGTTCTGTGACTTGAATGCAAACATCACAAAGAAGTTCCTGAGAATGCTTCTCCCTAGATTTTATATGTAATCCCGTTTCCAACGAAATCCGCAAAGCTATCCAAATATCCACTTTCAGATTCCACAAAAAGAGTGTTTCAAAACTGCTCTGTAAAAAGAAAGGTTCATCTCTGTTAGTTGAATACACACATCACAAACAAGTTTCTGAGAATGCTTCTGTCTAGTTTTTATGGGAAGATATTTCCTTTTTCATCATAGGCCTCAAAGCGCTGCAAATGTCCACTTCCAAATATTACAAAAAGAGTGTTTCAAACCTGCTGTATGAAGGGAAGTGTTCAACTCTATGAGTTGAATGCAAACATCACAGAGAAGTTTCTGAGAATGCTTCCGTCTAGATTTTATATGAAGATATTCCCGTTTCCAACGAAACCTTCAAAGCTATCCGAATATCCACCTGCAGATTCTTCAAAAAGAGTGTTTCCAAAATGCCATATCAAAACAAAGGTTCAACTCTGTTAGTTGAGAACACACATCGCAAATAAGTTTACTGAGAATGCTTCTGTCTAGTTTTTATTTGAAGATATTTCCTTTCTCACCACAGGCCTGAAAGCGCTTAAAACGTCCGCTTGCAGATACTACAGAAAGAGTGTTTCAAACCTGCTCTATGAAAGGGAATGTTCAGTTCTGTGACTTGAATGCAAACATCACAAAGAAGTTCCCGAGAATGCTTCTCTCTAGGTTTTATATGTAATCCCGTTTCCAACGAAATCCTCAAAGCTATCCAAATATCCACTTTCAGATTCCACAAAAAGAGTGTTTCAAAACTGCTCTGTAAAAAGAAAGGTTCATCTCTGTTAGTTGAATACACACATCACAAACAAGTTTCTGAGAATGCTTCTGTCTAGTTTTTATGGGAAGATATTTCCTTTTTCATCATAGGCCTCAAAGCGCTCCAAATGTCCACTTCCAGATAGTGCAGAAAGAGTGTCTCAAACCTGGTATATAAAAGGGAACATTCTACTCTGTGACTTGAATGAAAACATCACAAAGCAGTTTCTGAGAATGTTTCCGTCTAGATTTTATATGAAGATATTCCCGTTTCCAACGAAACCTTCAAAGCTATCCGAATATCCACCTGCAGATACTACAAAAAGAGTGTTTCCAAAATGCCGTATCAAAACAAAGGTTCAACTCTGTTAGCTGAGAACACACATGGCAAATATGTTTCTGAGAATGCTTCTGTCTAGTTTTTATTTGAAGATATTTCCTTTCTCACCAAAGTCCTGAAAGCCCTTAAAACGTCCGCTTGCAGATACTACAGAAAGAGTGTTTCAAACCTGCTCTATGAAAGGGAATGTTCAGTTCTGTGACTTGAATGCAAACATCACAAAGAAGTTCCTGAGAATGCTTCTCCCTAGATTTTATATGTAATCCCGTTTCCAACGAAATCCGCAAAGCTATCCAAATATCCACTTTCAGATTCCACAAAAAGAGTGTTTCAAAACTGCTCTGTAAAAAGAAAGGTTCATCTCTGTTAGTTGAATACACACATCACAAACAAGTTTCTGAGAATGCTTCTGTCTGGTTTTTAGGAGAAGATATTTCCTTTTTCAACATAGGCCTCAAAGCGCTGCAAATGTCCACTTCCAAATATTAGAAAAAGAGTGTTTCAAACCTGCTGTATGAAGGGAAGTGTTCAACTCTATGAGTTGAATGCAAACATCACAGAGAAGTTTCTGAGAATGCTTCTGTCTTGATTTCATATGAAGATATTCCCGTTTCCAACGAAACCTTCAAAGCTATCCAAATATCCACTTGCAGATTCTACAAAAAGAGTGTTTCCAAAATGTTGTATCAAAAGAAAGGTTCAACTCTGTTAGTTGAGGACACACATCGCAAATAAGTTTCTGAGAATGCTTCTGTCTAGTTTTTATTTGAAGATATTTCCTTTCTCACCACAGGCCTGAAAGCGCTTAAAACGTCCGCTTGCAGATACTACAGAAAGAGTGTTTCAAACCTGCTCTATGAAAGGGAATGTTCAGTTCTGTGACTTGAATGCAAACATCACAAAGAAGTTCCTGAGAATGCTTCTCCCTAGATTTTATATGTAATCCCGTTTCCAACGAAATCCGCAAAGCTATCCAAATATCCACTTTCAGATTCCACAAAAAGAGTGTTTCAAAACTGCTCTGTAAAAAGAAAGGTTCATCTCTGTTAGTTGAATACACACATCACAAACAAGTTTCTGAGAATGCTTCTGTCTAGTTTTTATGGGAAGATATTACCTTTTTCATCATAGGCCTCAAAGCGCTGCAAATGTCCACTTCCAAATATTACAAAAAGAGTGTTTCAAACCTGCTGTATGAAGGGAAGTGTTCAACTCTATGAGTTGAATGCAAACATCACAGAGAAGTTTCTGAGAATGCTTCTGTCTTGATTTTATATGAAGATATTCCCGTTTCCAACGAAACCTTCAAAGCTATTCAAATATCCACTTGCAGATTCTACAAAAAGAGTGTTTCCAAAATGTTGTATCAAAAGAAAGGTTCAACTCTGTTAGTTGAGGACACACATCGCAAATAAGTTTCTGAGAATGCTTCTGTCTAGTTTTTATTTGAAGATATTTCCTTTCTCACCATAGGCCTGAAAGCGTTTGAAATGTCCGTTTGCAGATACTACAGAAAGAGTGTTTCAAACCTGCTCTATGAAAGGGAATGTTCAGTTCTGTGACGTGAATGCAAACATCACAAAGAAGTTCCTGAGAATGCTTCTCTCTAGATTTTATATGTAATCCCGTTTCCAACGAAATCCTCAAAGCTATCCAAATATCCACTTTCAGATTCCACAAAAAGAGTGTTTCAAAACTGCTCTGTAAAAAGAAAGGTTCATCTCTGTTAGTTGAATACACACATCACAAACAAGTTTCTGAGAATGCTTCTGTCTAGTTTTTATGGGAAGATATTTCCTTTTTCAACATAGGCCTCAAAGCGCTCCAAACGTCCACTTCCAGGTAGTGCAGAAAGAGTGTCTCAAACCTGGTATATAACAGGGAACATTCTACTCCTGTGACTTGAATGAAAACATCCCAAAGCAGTTTCTGAGAATGCTTCCGTCTAGTATTTTATATGAAGATATTCCCGTTTCCAACGAAACCTTCAAAGCTATCCGAATATCCACCTGCAGATTCTACAAAAAGAGTGTTTCCAAAATGCCGTATCAAAACAAAGGTTCAACTCTGTTAGTTGAGAACACACATCGCAAATAAGTTTCTGAGAATGCTTCTGTCTAGTTTTTACTTGAAGATATTTCCTTTCTCACCATAGGCCTGAAAGCGCTTGAAACGTCAGCTTGCAGATACTACAGAAAGAGTGTTTCAAACCTGCTCTATGAAACGGAATGTTCAGTTCTGTGACTTGAATGCAAACATCACAAAGAAGTTCCTGAGAATGCTTCTCTCTAGATTTTATATGTAATCCCGTTTCCAACGAAATCCTCAAAGCTATCCAAATATCCACTTTCAGATTCCACAAAAAGAGTGTTTCAAAACTGCTCTGTAAAAAGAAAGGTTCATCTCTGTTAGTTGAATACACACATCACAAACAAGTTTCTGAGAATGCTTCCTGTCTAGTTTTTATGGGAAGATATTTCCTTTTTCATCATAGGCCTCAAAGCGCTGCAAATGTCCACTTCCAAATATTACAAAAAGAGTGTTTCAAACCTGCTGTATGAAGGGAAGTGTTCAACTCTATGAGTTGAATGCAAACATCACAGAGAAGTTTCTGAGAATGCTTCTGTCTTGATTTCATATGAAGATATTCCCGTTTCCAACGAAACCTTCAAAGCTATCCAAATATCCACTTGCAGATTCTACAAAAAGAGTGTTTCCAAAATGTTGTATCAAAAGAAAGGTTCAACTCTGTTAGTTGAGGACACACATCGCAAATAAGTTTCTGAGAATGCTTCTGTCTAGTTTTTATTTGAAGATATTTCCTTTCTCACCACAGGCCTGAAAGCGCTTAAAACGTCCGCTTGCAGATACTACAGAAAGAGTGTTTCAAACATGCTCTATGAAAGGGAATGTTCAGTTCTGTGACTTGAATGCAAACATCACAAAGAAGTTCCTGAGAATGCTTCTCCCTAGATTTTATATGTAATCCCGTTTCCAACGAAATCCGCAAAGCTATCCAAATATCCACTTTCAGATTCCACAAAAAGAGTGTTTCAAAACTGCTGTATGAAGGGAAGTGTTCAACTCTATGAGTTGAATGCAAACATCACAGAGAAGTTTCTGAGAATGCTTCTGTCTTGATTTTATATGAAGATATTCCCGTTTCCAACGAAATCTTCAAAGCTATCCAAATATCCACTTGCAGATTCCACAAAAAGAGTGTTTCCAAAATGTTGTATCAAAAGAAAGGTTCAACTCTGTTAGTTGAGGACACACATCGCAAATAAGTTTCTGAGAATGCTTCTGTCTAGTTTTTATTTGAAGATATTTCCTTTCTCACCACAGGCCTGAAAGCGCTTAAAACGTCCGCTTGCAGATACTACAGAAAGAGTGTTTCAAACCTGCTCTATGAAAGGGAATGTTCAGTTCTGTGACTTGAATGCAAACATCACAAAGAAGTTCCTGAGAATGCTTCTCCCTAGATTTTATATGTAATCCCGTTTCCAACGAAATCCGCAAAGCTATCCAAATATCCACTTTCAGATTCCACAAAAAGAGTGTTTCAAAACTGCTCTGTAAAAAGAAAGGTTCATCTCTGTTAGTTGAATACACACATCACAAACAAGTTTCTGAGAATGCTTCTGTCTAGTTTTTATGGGAAGATATTTCCTTTTTCATCATAGGCCTCAAAGCGCTGCAAATGTCCACTTCCAAATATTACAAAAAGAGTGTTTCAAACCTGCTGTATGAAGGGAAGTGTTCAACTCTATGAGTTGAATGCAAACATCACAGAGAAGTTTCTGAGAATGCTTCTGTCTTGATTTTATATGAAGATATTCCCGTTTCCAACGAAACCTTCAAAGCTATCCAAATATCCACTTGCAGATTCTACAAAAAGAGTGGTTCCAAAATGTTGTATCAAAAGAAAGGTTCAACTCTGTTAGTTGAGGACACACATCGCAAATAAGTTTCTGAGAATGCTTCTGTCTAGTTTTTATTTGAAGATATTTCCTTTCTCACCATAGGCCTGAAAGCGTTTGAAATGTCCGTTTGCAGATACTACAGAAAGAGTGTTTCAAACATGCTCTATGAAAGGGAATGTTCAGTTCTGTGACGTGAATGCAAAAATCACAAAGAAGTTCCTGAGAATGCTTCTCTCTAGATTTTATATGTAATCCCGTTTCCAACGAAATCCTCAAAGCTATCCAAATATCCACTTTCAGATTCCACAAAAAGAGTGTTTCAAAACTGCTCTGTAAAAAGAAAGGTTCATCTCTGTTAGTTGAATACACACATCACAAACAAGTTTCTGAGAATGCTTCTGTCTGGTTTTTAGGAGAAGATATTTCCTTTTTCAACATAGGCCTCAAAGCGCTGCAAATGTCCACTTCCAAATATTACAAAAAGAGTGTTTCAAACCTGCTCTATGAAGGGAAGTGTTCAACTCTATGAGTTGAATGCAAACATCACAGAGAAGTTTCTGAGAATGCTTCTGTCTTGATTTTATATGAAGATATTCCCGTTTCCAACGAAAACTTCAAAGCTATCCAAATATCCACCTGCAGATTCTACAAAAAGAGTGTTTCCAAAATGTTGTATCCAAACAAAGGTTCAACTATGTTAGTTGAGGACACACATCGCAAATAAGTTTCTGAGAATGCTTCTGTCTAGTTTTTATTTGAAGTTATTTCCTTTCTTACCATAGGCCTGAAAGCGCTTGAAATGTCCGTTTGCAGATACTACAGAAAGAGTGTTTCAAACATGCTCTATGAAAGGGAATGTTCAGTTCTGTGACGTGAATGCAAACATCACAAAGAAGTTCCTGAGAATGCTTCTCTCTAGGTTTTATATGTAATCCCGTTTCCAACGAAATCCTCAAAGCTATCCAAATATCCACTTTCAGATTCCACAAAAAGAGTGTTTCAAAACTGCTCTGTAAAAAGAAAGGTTCATCTCTGTTAGTTGAATACACACATCACAAACAAGTTTCTGAGAATGCTTCTGTCTAGTTTTTATGGGAAGATATTTCCTTTTTCAACATAGGCCTCAAAGCGCTCCAAACGTCCACTTCCGGGTAGTGCAGAAAGAGTGTCTCAAACCTGGTATATAACAGGGAACATTCTACTGCTGTGACTTGAATGAAAACATCACAAAGCAGTTTCTGAGAATGCTTCCGTCTAGATTTTATATGAAGATATTCCCGTTTCCAACGAAACCTTCAAAGCTATCCGAATATCCACCTGCAGATACTACAAAAAGAGTGTTTCCAAAATGCCGTATCAAAACAAAGGTTCAACTCTGTTAGTTGAGGACACACATCGCAAATAAGTTTCTGAGAATGCTTCTGTCTAGTTTTTACTTGAAGATATTTCCTTTCTCACCATAGGCCTGAAAGCGCTTGAAACGTCAGCTTGCAGATACTACAGAAAGAGTGTTTCAAACCTGCTCTATGAAAGGGAATGTTCAGTCCTGTGACTTGAAGGCAAACATCACAAAGAAGTTCCTGAGAATGCTTCTGTCTAGATTTTATATGAAGATATCCCGTGTCCAACGAAATCCTCAAAGGTATCAAAATATCCACTTGCAGATTCTACAAAAAGAGTGCTTCAAAACTGCTCTGTCAAAAGGAAGGTTCAACTCTGTTACTTGAGTACACACATCACAAGGAAGTTTCTGAGAATGCTTCTGTCTGGTTTTTAGGAGAAGATATTTCCCTTTTCAACATAGGCCTCAAAGCGCTGCAAATGTCCACTTCCAAATATTAGAAAAAGAGTGTTTCAAACCTGCTGTATGAAGGGAAGTGTTCAACTCTATGAGTTGAATGCAAACATCACAGAGAAGTTTCTGAGAATGCTTCTGTCTTGATTTCATATGAAGATATTCCCGTTTCCAACGAAACCTTCAAAGCTATCCAAATATCCACTTGCAGATTCTACAAAAAGAGTGTTTCCAAAATGTTGTATCAAAAGAAAGGTTCAACTCTGTTAGTTGAGGACACACATCGCAAATAAGTTTCTGAGAATGCTTCTGTCTAGTTTTTATTTGAAGATATTTCCTTTCTCACCACAGGCCTGAAAGCGCTTAAAACGTCCGCTTCCAGATACTACAGAAAGAGTGTTTCAAACCTGCTCTATGAAAGGGAATGTTCAGTTCTGTGACTTGAATGCAAACATCACAAAGAAGTTCCTGAGAATGCTTCTCCCTAGATTTTATATGTAATCCCGTTTCCAACGAAATCCGCAAAGCTATCCAAATATCCACTTTCAGATTCCACAAAAAGAGTGTTTCAAAACTGCTCTGTAAAAAGAAAGGTTCATCTCTGTTAGTTGAATACACACATCACAAACAAGTTTCTGAGAATGCTTCTGTCTAGTTTTTATGGGAAGATATTTCCTTTTTCATCATAGGCCTCAAAGCGCTGCAAATGTCCACTTCCAAATATTACAAAAAGAGTGTTTCAAACCTGCTGTATGAAGGGAAGTGTTCAACTCTATGAGTTGAATGCAAACATCACAGAGAAGTTTCTGAGAATGCTTCTGTCTTGATTTTATATGAAGATATTCCCGTTTCCAACGAAACCTTCAAAGCTATTCAAATATCCACTTGCAGATTCTACAAAAAGAGTGTTTCCAAAATGTTGTATCAAAAGAAAGGTTCAACTCTGTTAGTTGAGGACACACATCGCAAATAAGTTTCTGAGAATGCTTCTGTCTAGTTTTTATTTGAAGATATTTCCTTTTTCACCACAGGCCTGAAAGCGCTTCAAACGTCCGCTTGCAGATACTACAGAAAGAGTGTTTCAAACCTGCTCTATGAAAGGGAATGTTCAGTTCTGTGACTTGAATGCAAACATCACAAAGAAGTTCCTGAGAATGCTTCTCCCTAGATTTTATATGTAATCCCGTTTCCAACGAAATCCGCAAAGCTATCCAAATATCCACTTTCAGATTCCACAAAAAGAGTGTTTCAAAACTGCTCTGTAAAAAGAAAGGTTCATCTCTGTTAGTTGAATACACACATCACAAACAAGTTTCTGAGAATGCTTCTGTCTAGTTTTTATGGGAAGATATTACCTTTTTCATCATAGGCCTCAAAGCGCTGCAACTGTCCACTTCCAAATATTACAAAAAGAGTGTTTCAAACCTGCTGTATGAAGGGAAGTGTTCAACTCTATGAGTTGAATGCAAACATCACAGAGAAGTTTCTGAGAATGCTTCTGTCTTGATTTTATATGAAGATATTCCCGTTTCCAACGAAATCTTCAAAGCTATCCAAATATCCACTTGCAGATTCCACAAAAAGAGTGTTTCCAAAATGTTGTATCAAAAGAAAGGTTCAACTCTGTTAGTTGAGGACACACATCGCAAATAAGTTTCTGAGAATGCTTCTGTCTAGTTTTTATTTGAAGATATTTCCTTTCTCACCATAGGCCTGAAAGCGTTTGAAATGTCCGTTTGCAGATACTACAGAAAGAGTGTTTCAAACATGCTCTATGAAAGGGAATGTTCAGTTCTGTGACGTGAATGCAAACATCACAAAGAAGTTCCTGAGAATGCTTCTCTCTAGGTTTTATATGTAATCCCGTTTCCAACGAAATCCTCAAAGCTATCCAAATATCCACTTTCAGATTCCACAAAAAGAGTGTTTCAAAACTGCTCTGTAAAAAGAAAGGTTCATCTCTGTTAGTTGAATACACACATCACAAACAAGTTTCTGAGAATGCTTCTGTCTAGTTTTTATGGGAAGATATTTCCTTTTTCATCATAGGCCTCAAAGCGCTCCAAATGTCCACTTCCAGGTAGTGCAGAAAGAGTGTCTCAAACCTGGTATATAACAGGGAACATTCTACTCTGTGACTTGAATGAAAACATCACAAAGCAGTTTCTGAGAATGCTTCCGTCTAGATTTTATATGAAGATATTCCCGTTTCCAACGAAACCTTCAAAGCTATCCGAATATCCACCTGCAGATTCTACAAAAAGAGTGTTTCCAAAATGCCATATCAAAACAAAGGTTCAACTCTGTTAGTTGAGAACACACATCGCAAATAAGTTTCTGAGAATGCTTCTGTCTAGTTTTTACTTGAAGATATTTCCTTTCTCACCATAGGCCTGAAAGCGCTTGAAACGTCAGCTTGCAGATACTACAGAAAGAGTGTTTCAAACCTGCTCTATGAAAGGGAATGTTCAGTTCTGTGACTTGAATGCAAACATCACAAAGAAGTTCCTGAGAATGCTTCTCTCTAGGTTTTATATGTAATCCCGTTTCCAACGAAATCCTCAAAGCTATCCAAATATCCACTTTCAGATTCCACAAAAAGAGTGTTTCAAAACTGCTCTGTAAAAAGAAAGGTTCATCTCTGTTAGTTGAATACACACATCACAAACAAGTTTCTGAGAATGCTTCTGTCTAGTTTTTATGGGAAGATATTTCCTTTTTCAACATAGGCCTCAAAGCGCTCCAAACGTCCACTTCCAGGTAGTGCAGAAAGAGTGTCTCAAACCTGGTATATAACAGGGAACATTCTACTCTGTGACTTGAATGAAAACATCACAAAGCAGTTTCTGAGAATGCTTCTGTCTTGATTTTATATGAAGATATTCCCGTTTCCAACGAAACCTTCAAAGCTATCCAAATATCCACTTGCAGATTCTACAAAAAGAGTGGTTCCAAAATGTTGTATCAAAAGAAAGGTTCAACTCTGTTAGTTGAGGACACACATCGCAAATAAGTTTCTGAGAATGCTTCTGTCTAGTTTTTATTTGAAGATATTTCCTTTTTCACCACAGGCCTGAAAGCGCTTCAAACGTCCGCTTGCAGATACTACAGAAAGAGTGTTTCAAACATGCTCTATGAAAGGGAATGTTCAGTTCTGTGACTTGAATGCAAACATCACAAAGAAGTTCCTGAGAATGCTTCTCCCTAGATTTTATATGTAATCCCGTTTCCAACGAAATCCTCAAAGCTATCCAAATATCCACTTTCGGATTCCACAAAAAGAGTGTTTCAAAACTACTCTGTAAAAAGAAAGGTTCATCTCTGTTAGTTGAATACACACATCACAAACAAGTTTCTGAGAATGCTTCTGTCTAGTTTTTATGGGAAGATATTTCCTTTTTCATCATAGGCCTCAAAGCGCTGCAAATGTCCACTTCCAAATATTACAAAAAGAGTGTTTCAAACCTGCTGTATGAAGGGAAGTGTTCAACTCTATGAGTTGAATGCAAACATCACAGAGAAGTTTCTGAGAATGCTTCTGTCTTGATTTTATATGAGGATATTCCCGTTTCCAACGAAACCATCAAAGCTATCCAAATATCCACCTGCAGATCCTACAAAAAGAGTGTTTCCAAAATGCTGTATCAAAACAAAGGTTCAACTCTGTTAGTTGAGAACACACATCGCAAATAAGTTTCTGAGAATGATTCTGTCTAGTTTTTATTTGAAGATATTTCCTTTCTCACCATAGGCCTGAAAGCGCTTGAAACGTCCGCTTGCAGATACTACAGAAAGAGTGTTTCAAACCTGCTCTATGAAAGGGAATTTTCAGTTCTGTGACTTGAATGCAAACATCAAATAGAAGTTCCTGAGAATGCTTCTCCCTAGATTTTATATGTAATCCCGTTTCCAACGAAATCCTCAAAGCTATCCAAATATCCACTTTCAGATTCCACAAAAAGAGTGTTTCAAAACTGCTCTGTAAAAAGAAAGGTTCATCTCAGTTGAATACACACATCACAAACAAGTTTCTGAGAATGCTTCTGTCTAGTTTTTATGGGAAGATATTTCCTTTTTCAACATAGGCGTCAAAGCGCTCCAAATGTCCACTTCCAGGTAGTGCAGAAAGAGTGTTTCAAACCTGCTCTATAAAAGGGAATATTCAACTCTGTGACTTGAATGCAAACATCACAAAGCACTTTCTGAGAATGCTTCTGTCTTGATTTCATATGATGATATTCCCGTTTCCAACGAAACCTTCAAAGCTATCCAAATATCCACTTGCAGATTCTACAAAAAGAGTGTTTCCAAAATGTTGTATCAAAAGAAAGGTTCAACTCTGTTAGTTGAGGACACACATCGCAAATAAGTTTCTGAGAATGCTTCTGTCTAGTTTTTATTTGAAGATATTTCCTTTCTCACCATAGGCCTGAAAGCGTTTGAAATGTCCGTTTGTAGATACTACAGAAAGAGTGTTTCAAACATGCTCTATGAAAGGGAATGTTCAGTTCTGTGACGTGAATGCAAACATCACAAAGAAGTTCCTGAGAATGCTTCTCTCTAGATTTTATATGTAATCCCGTTTCCAACGAAATCCTCAAAGCTATCCAAATATCCACTTTCAGATTCCACAAAAAGAGTGTTTCAAAACTGCTCTGTAAAAAGAAAGGTTCATCTCTGTTAGTTGAATACACACATCACAAACAAGTTTCTGAGAATGCTTCTGTCTAGTTTTTATGGGAAGATATTTCCTTTTTCAACATAGGCCTCAAAGCGCTCCAAACGTCCACTTCCGGGTAGTGCAGAAAGAGTGTCTCAAACCTGGTATATAACAGGGAACATTCTACTGCTGTGACTTGAATGAAAACATCACAAAGCAGTTTCTGAGAATGCTTCCGTCTAGATTTTATATGAAGATATTCCCGTTTCCAAGGAAATCTTCCTAGCTATCTAAATATCAAATTGCAGATTCTACTAAAGGAATGTTTCCAAAATGCTGTATCCACACAAAGGTTCAACTCTGTTAATTGAGGACATACAGCACAAAGAAGTTTCTGAGAATGCTTCTGTCTAGTTTTTATTTGAAGATATTTCCTTTCTCACCACAGGCCTGAAAGCGCTTAAAACGTCCGCTTGCAGATACTACAGAAAGAGTGTTTCAAACCTGCTCTATGAAAGGGAATGTTCAGTTCTGTGACGTGAATGCAAACATCACAAAGAAGTTCCTGAGAATGCTTCTCTCTAGATTTTATATGTAATCCCGTTTCCAACGAAATCCTCAAAGCTATCCAAATATCCACTTTCAGATTCCACAAAAAGAGTGTTTCAAAACTGCTCTGTAAAAAGAAAGGTTCATCTCTGTTAGTTGAATACACACATCACAAACAAGTTTCTGAGAATGCTTCTGTCTAGTTTTTATGGGAAGATATTTCCTTTTTCAACATAGGCCTCAAAGCGCTCCAAACGTCCACTTCAAGGTAGTGCAGAAAGAGTGTCTCAAACCTGGTATATAACAGGGAACATTCTACTCTGTGACTTGAATGAAAACATCACAAAGCAGTTTCTGAGAATGCTTCCGTCTAGATTTTATATGAAGATATTCCCGTTTCCAACGAAACCTTCAAAGCTATCCGAATATCCACCTGCAGATTCTACAAAAAGAGTGTTTCCAAAATGCCGTATCAAAACAAAGGTTCAACTCTGTTAGTTGAGAACACACATGGCAAATAAGTTTCTGAGAATGCTTCTGTCTAGTTTTTACTTGAAGATATTTCCTTTCTCACCATAGGCCTGAAAGCGCATGAAACGTCAGCTTGCAGATACTACAGAAAGAGTGTTTCAAACCTGCTCTATGAAAGGGAATGTTCAGTCCTGTGACTTGAAGGCAAACATCACAAAGAAGTTCCTGAGAATGCTTCTCTCTAGGTTTTATATGTAATCCCGTTTCCAACGAAATCCTCAAAGCTATCCAAATATCCACTTTCAGATTCCACAAAAAGAGTGTTTCAAAACTGCTCTGTAAAAAGAAAGGTTCATCTCTGTTAGTTGAATACACACATCACAAACAAGTTTCTGAGAATGCTTCTGTCTGGTTTTTAGGAGAAGATATTTCCTTTTTCAACATAGGCCTCAAAGCGCTGCAAATGTCCACTTCCAAATATTAGAAAAAGAGTGTTTCAAACCTGCTGTATGAAGGGAAGTGTTCAACTCTATGAGTTGAATGCAAACATCACAGAGAAGTTTCTGAGAATGCTTCTGTCTTGATTTCATATGAAGATATTCCCGTTTCCAACGAAACCTTCAAAGCTATCCAAATATCCACTTGCAGATTCTACAAAAAGAGTGTTTCCAAAATGTTGTATCAAAAGAAAGGTTCAACTCTGTTAGTTGAGGACACACATCGCAAATAAGTTTCTGAGAATGCTTCTGTCTAGTTTTTATTTGAAGATATTTCCTTTTTCACCACAGGCCTGAAAGCGCTTGGAATTTCCGCTTGCAGATACTACAGAAAGAGTGTTTCAAACCTGCTCTATGAAAGGGAATGTTCAGTTCTGTGACTTGAATGCAAAGATCACGAAGAACTTCCTGAGAATGCTTCTCCCTAGATTTTATATGTAATCCCGTTTCCAACGAAATCCTCAAAGCTATCCAAATATCCACTTTCAGATTCCACAAAAAGAGTGTTTCAAAACTGCTCTGTAAAAAGAAAGGTTCATCTCTGTTAGTTGAATACACACATCACAAACAAGTTTCTGAGAATGCTTCTGTCTAGTTTCTATGGGAAGATATTTCCTTTTTCAACATAGGCCTCAAAGCGCTCCAAATGTCCACTTCCAGGTAGTGCACAGAGTGTTTCAAACCTGCTCTATAAAAGGGAACATTCTACTCTGTGACTTGAATCAAGACATCACAAAGCAGTTTCTGAGAATCCTTCCGTCTGGATTTTATATGAAGATATTCCCGTTTCCAAGGAAATCTTCCTAGCTATCTAAATATCAACTTGCAGATTCTACTAAAGGAGTGTTTCCAAAATGCTGTATCCACACAAAGGTTCAACTCTGTTAATTGAGGACATACAGCACAAAGAAGTTTCTGAGAATGCTTCTGTCTAGTTTTTACTTGAAGATATTTCCTTTCTCACCATAGGCCTGAAAGCGCTTGAAACGTCAGCTTGCAGATACTACAGAAAGAGTGTTTCAAACCTGCTCTATGAAAGGGAATGTTCAGTCCTGTGACTTGAAGGCAAACATCACAAAGAACTTCCTGAGAATGCTTCTCTCTAGGTTTTATATGTAATCCCGTTTCCAACGAAATCCTCAAAGCTATCCAAATATCCACTTTCAGATTCCACAAAAAGAGTGTTTCAAAACTGCTCTGTAAAAAGAAAGGTTCATCTCTGTTAGTTGAATACACACATCACAAACAAGTTTCTGAGAATGCTTCTGTCTAGTTTCTATGGGAAGATATTTCCTTTTTCAACATAGGCCTCAAAGCGCTCCAAATGTCCACTTCCAGGTAGTGCACAGAGTGTTTCAAACCTGCTCTATAAAAGGGAACATTCTACTCTGTGACTTGAATGAAGACATCACAAAGCATTTTCTCAGAATGCTTCCGTCTAGATTTTATATGAAGATATTCCCGTTTCCAAGGAAATCTTCCTAGCTATCTAAATATCAACATGCAGATTCTACTAAAGGAATGTTTCCAAAATGCTGTATCCACACAAAGGTTCAACTCTGTTAATTGAGGACATACAGCACAAAGAAGTTTCTGAGAATGCTTCTGTCTAGATTTTGTATGAAGATATCCCGTTTCCAAAGAAATCCTCAAAGGTATCCAAATATCTACTTCCAGATTCTACAAAAAGACTGTTTCAAAACGGCTCTGTCAAAAGTAAGGTTCAACTCTGTTACTTGAGTACACACATCACAAGGAAGTTTCTGAGAATGCTTCTGTCTGGTTTTTAGGAGAAGATATTTCCTTTTTCAACATAGGCCTCAAAGCGCTGCAAATGTCCACTTCCAAATATTACAAAAAGAGTGTTTCAAACCTGCTGTATGAAGGGAAGTGTTCAACTCTATGAGTTGAATGCAAACATCACAGAGAAGTTTCTGAGAATGCTTCTGTCTTGATTTCATATGAAGATATTCCCGTTTCCAACGAAACCTTCAAAGTTATCCAAATATCCACTTGCAGATTCTACAAAAAGAGTGTTTCCAAAATGTTGTATCAAAAGAAAGGTTCAACTCTGTTAGTTGAGGACACACATCGCAAATAAGTTTCTGAGAATGCTTCTGTCTAGTTTTTATTTGAAGATATTTCCTTTCTCACCACAGGCCTGAAAGCGCTTAAAACGTCCGCTTGCAGATACTACAGAAAGAGTGTTTCAAACCTGCTCTATGAAAGGGAATGTTCAGTTCTGTGACTTGAATGCAAACATCACAAAGAAGTTCCTGAGAATGCTTCTCCCTAGATTTTATATGTAATCCCGTTTCCAACGAAATCCGCAAAGCTATCCAAATATCCACTTTCAGATTCCACAAAAAGAGTGTTTCAAAACTGCTCTGTAAAAAGAAAGGTTCATCTCTGTTAGTTGAATACACACATCACAAACAAGTTTCTGAGAATGCTTCTGTCTAGTTTTTATGGGAAGATATTACCTTTTTCATCATAGGCCTCAAAGCGCTGCAAAAGTCCACTTCCAAATATTACAAAAAGAGTGTTTCAAACCTGCTGTATGAAGGGAAGTGTTCAACTCTATGAGTTGAATGCAAACATCACAGAGAAGTTTCTGAGAATGCTTCTGTCTTGATTTTATATGAAGATATTCCCGTTTCCAACGAAACCTTCAAAGCTATCCAAATATCCACTTGCAGATTCTACAAAAAGAGTGTTTCCAAAATGTTGTATCAAAAGAAAGGTTCAACTCTGTTAGTTGAGGACACACATCGCAAATAAGTTGCTGAGAATGCTTCTGTCTAGTTTTTATTTGAAGATATTTCCTTTCTCACCATAGGCCTGAAAGCGTTTGAAATGTCCGTTTGCAGATACTACAGAAAGAGTGTTTCAAACATGCTCTATGAAAGGGAATGTTCAGTTCTGTGACGTGAATGCAAACATCACAAAGAAGTTCCTGAGAATGCTTCTCTCTAGATTTTATATGTAATCCCGTTTCCAACGAAATCCTCAAAGCTATCCAAATATCCACTTTCAGATTCCACAAAAAGAGTGTTTCAAAACTGCTCTGTAAAAAGAAAGGTTCATCTCTGTTAGTTGAGTACACACATCACAAACAAGTTTCTGAGAAAGCTTCTGTCTAGTTTTTATGGGAAGATATTTCCTTTTTCAACATAGGCCTCAAAGCGCTCCAAATGTCCACTTCCAGGTAGTGCAGAAAGAGTGTTTCAAACCTGCTCTATAAAAGGGAATATTCAACTCTGTGACTTGAATGCAAACATCACAAAGCACTTTCTGAGAATGCTTCTGTCTTGATTTTAAATGAAGATATTCCCGTTTCCAACGAAACCTTCAAAGCTATCCAAATATCCACTTGCAGATTCTACAAAAAGAGTGTTTCCAAAATGTTGTATCAAAAGAAAGGTTCAACTCTGTTAGTTGAGGAGACACATCGCAAATAAGTTTCTGAGAATGCTTCTGTCTAGTTTTTATTTGAAGATATTTCCTTTCTCACCATAGGCCTGAAAGCGTTTGAAATGTCCGTTTGCAGATACTACAGAAAGAGTGTTTCAAACATGCTCTATGAAAGGGAATGTTCAGTTCTGTGACGTGAATGCAAACATCACAAAGAAGTTCCTGAGAATGCTTCTGTCTAGATTTTATATGAAGATATCCCGTTTCCAAAGAAATCCTCAAAGGTATCCAAATATCTACTTCCAGATTCTACAAAAAGACTGTTTCAAAACGGCTCTGTCAAAAGTAAGGTTCAACTCTGTTACTTGAGTACACACATCACAAGGAAGTTTCTGAGAATGCTTCTGTCTGGTTTTTAGGAGAAGATATTTCCTTTTTCAACATAGGCCTCAAAGCGCTGCAAATGTCCACTTCCAAATATTACAAAAAGAGTGTTTCAAACCTGCTGTATGAAGGGAAGTGTTCAACTCTATGAGTTGAATGCAAACATCACAGAGAAGTTTCTGAGAATGCTTCTGTCTTGATTTCATATGAAGATATTCCCGTTTCCAACGAAACCTTCAAAGCTATCCAAATATCCACTTGCAGATTCTACAAAAAGAGTGTTTCCAAAATGTTGTATCAAAAGAAAGGTTCAACTCTGTTAGTTGAGGACACACATCGCAAATAAGTTTCTGAGAATGCTTCTGTCTAGTTTTTATTTGAAGATATTTCCTTTTTCAACACAGGCCTGAAAGCGCTTGAAACGTCCGCTTGCAGATACTACAGAAAGAGTGTTTCAATCCTGCTCTATGAAAGGGAATGTTCAGTTCTGTGACTTGAATGCAAACATCACAAAGAAGTTCCTGAGAATGCTTCTCCCTAGATTTTATATGTAATCCCGTTTCCAACGAAATCCTCAAAGCTATCCAAATATCCACTTTCAGATTCCACAAAAAGAGTGTTTCAAAACTGCTCTGTAAAAAGAAAGGTTCATCTCTGTTAGTTGAATACACACATCACAAACAAGTTTCTGAGAATGCTTCTGTCTAGTTTTTACAGGAAGATATTTCCTTTTTCAACATAGGCCTCAAAGCGCTCCAAACCTCCACTTCCAGGTAGTGCAGAAAGAGTGTCTCAAACCTGGTATATAACAGGGAACATTCTACTCTGTGACTTGAATGAAAACATCACAAAGCAGTTTCTGAGAATGCTTCAGTCTTGATTTCATATGAAGATATTCCCGTTTCCAACGAAACCTTCAAAGCTATCCAAATATCCACTTGCAGATTCTACAAAAAGAGTGTTTCCAAAATGTTGTATCAAAAGAAAGGTTCAACTCTGTTAGTTGAGGACACACATCGCAAATAAGTTTCTGAGAATGCTTCTGTCTAGTTTTTATTTGAAGATATTTCCTTTCTCACCACAGGCCTGAAAGCGCTTAAAACGTCCGCTTGCAGATACTACAGAAAGAGTGTTTCAAACATGCTCTATGAAAGGGAATGTTCAGTTCTGTGACTTGAATGCAAACATCACAAAGAAGTTCCTGAGAATGCTTCTCTCTAGGTTTTATATGTAATCCCGTTTCCAACGAAATCCTCAAAGCTATCCAAATATCCACTTTCAGATTCCACAAAAAGAGTGTTTCAAAACTGCTCTGTAATAAGAAAGGTTCATCCCTGTTAGTTGAATACACACATCACAAACAAGTTTCTGAGAATGCTTCTGTCTAGTTTTTATGGGAAGATATTTCCTTTTTCAACATAGGCCTCAAAGCGCTCCAAACGTCCACTTCCAGGTAGTGCAGAAAGAGTGTCTCAAACCTGGTATATAACAGGGAACATTCTACTCTGTGACTTGAATGAAAACATCACAAAGCAGTTTCTGAGAATGCTTCTGTCTTGATTTTATATGAAGATATTCCCGTTTCCAACGAAACCTTCAAAGCTATCCAAATATCCACTTGCAGATTCTACAAAAAGAGTGTTTCCAAAATGTTGTATCAAAAGAAAGGTTCAACTCTGTTAGTTGAGGACACACATCGCAAATAAGTTTCTGAGAATGCTTCTGTCTAGTTTTTATTTGAAGATATTTCCTTTCTCACCATAGGCCTGAAAGCGTTTGAAATGTCCGTTTGCAGATACTACAGAAAGAGTGTTTCAAACATGCTCTATGAAAGGGAATGTTCAGTTCTGTGACTTGAATGCAAACATCACAAAGAAGTTCCTGAGAATGCTTCTCTCTAGATTTTATATGTAATCCCGTTTCCAACGAAATCCTCAAAGCTATCCAAATATCCACTTTCAGATTCCACAAAAAGAGTGTTTCAAAACTGCTCTGTAAAAAGAAAGGTTCATCTCTGTTAGTTGAATACACACATCACAAACAAGTTTCTGAGAATGCTTCTGTCTAGTTTTTATGGGAAGATATTTCCTTTTTCAACATAGGCCTCAAAGCGCTCCAAACGTCCACTTCCAGGTAGTGCAGAAAGAGTGTCTCAAACCTGATATATAACACCGAACATTCTACTCTGTGACTTGAATGAAAACATCACAAAGCAGTTTCTGAGAATGCTTCTGTCTTGATTTTATATGAAGATATTCCCGTTTCCAACGAAACCTTCAAAGCTATCCAAATATCCACTTGCAGATTCTACAAAAAGAGTGTTTCCAAAATGTTGTATCAAAACAAAGGTTCAACTCTGTTAGTTGAGGACACACATCGCAAAAAGTTTCTGAGAAGGCTTCTGTCTAGTTTTTACTTGAAGATATTTCCTTTCTCACCATAGGCCTGAAAGCGCTTGAAACGTCAGCTTGCAGATACTACAGAAAGAGTGTTTCAAACCTGCTCTATGAAAGGGAATGTTCAGTCCTGTGACTTGAAGGCCAACATCACAAAGAAGTTCCTGAGAATGCTTCTCTCTAGGTTTTATATGTAATCCCGTTTCCAACGAAATCCTCAGAGGTATCAAAATATCCACTTGCAGATTCTACAAAAAGAGTGCTTCAAAACTGCTCTGTCAAAAGGAAGGTTCAACTCTGTTACTTGAGTACACACATCACAAGGAAGTTTCTGAGAATGCTTCCTGTCTGGTTTTTAGGAGAAGATATTTCCTTTTTCAACATAGGCCTCAAAGCGCTGCAAATGTCCACTTCCAAATATTAGAAAAAGAGTGTTTCAAACCTGCTGTATGAAGGGAAGTGTTCAACTCTATGAGTTGAATGCAAACATCACAGAGAAGTTTCTGAGAATGCTTCTGTCTTGATTTCATATGAAGATATTCCCGTTTCCAACGAAACCTTCAAAGCTATCCAAATATCCACTTGCAGATTCTACAAAAAGAGTGTTTCCAAAATGTTGTATCAAAAGAAAGGTTCAACTCTGTTAGTTGAGGACACACATCGCAAATACGTTTCTGAGAATGCTTCTGTCTAGTTTTTATTTGAAGATATTTCCTTTCTCACCACAGGCCTGAAAGCGCTTAAAACGTCCGCTTGCAGATACTACAGAAAGAGTGTTTCAAACCTGCTCTATGAAAGGGAATGTTCAGTTCTGTGACTTGAATGCAAACATCACAAAGAAGTTCCTGAGAATGCTTCTGTCTAGATTTTATATGAAGATATCCCGTGTCCAACGAAATCCTCAAAGGTATCAAAATATCCACTTGCAGATTCTACAAAAAGAGTGCTTCAAAACTGCTCTGTCAAAAGGAAGGTTCAACTCTGTTACTTGAGTACACACATCACAAGGAAGTTTCTGAGAATGCTTCTGTCTGGTTTTTAGGAGAAGATATTTCCTTTTTCAACATAGGCCTCAAAGCGCTGCAAATGTCCACTTCCAAATATTACAAAAAGAGTGTTTCAAACCTGCTGTATGAAGGGAAGTGTTCAACTCTATGAGTTGAATGCAAACATCACAGAGAAGTTTCTGAGAATGCTTCTGTCTTGATTTTATATGAAGATATTCCCGTTTCCAACGAAACCTTCAAAGCTATGCAAATATCCACTTGCAGATTCTACAAAAAGAGTGTTTCCAAAATGTTGTATCAAAAGAAAGGTTCAACTCTGTTAGTTGAGGACACACATCGCAAATAAGTTTCTGAGAATGCTTCTGTCTAGTTTTTATTTGAAGATATTTCCTTTCTCACCATAGGCCTGAAAGCGTTTGAAATGTCCGTTTGCAGATACTACAGAAAGAGTGTTTCAAACATGCCCTATGAAAGGGAATGTTCAGTTCTGTGACGTGAATGCAAACATCACAAAGAAGTTCCTGAGAATGCTTCTCTCTAGATTTTATATGTAATCCCGTTTCCAACGAAATCCTCAAAGCTATCCAAATATCCACTTTCAGATTCCACAAAAAGAGTGTTTCAAAACTGCTCTGTAAAAAGAAAGGTTCATCTCTGTTAGTTGAATACACACATCACAAACAAGTTTCTGAGAATGCTTCTGTCTAGTTTTTATGGGAAGATATTTCCTTTTTCAACATAGGCCTCAAAGCGCTCCAAATGTCCACTTCCAGGTAGTGCAGAAAGAGTGTTTCAAACCTGCTCTATAAAAGGGAATATTCAACTCTGTGACTTGAATGCAAACATCACAAAGCACTTTCTGAGAATGCTTCCGTCTAGATTTTATATGAAGATATTCCCGTTTCCAACGAAACCTTCAAAGCTATCCGAATATCCACCTGCAGATTCTACAAAAAGAGTGTTTCCAAAATGCCATATCAAAACAAAGGTTCAACTCTGTTAGTTGAGAACACACATCGCAAATAAGTTTCTGAGAATGCTTCTGTCTAGTTTTTATTTGAAGATATTTCCTTTCTCACCATAGGCCTGAAAGCGTTTGAAATGTCCGCTTGCAGATACTACAGAAAGAGTGTTTCAAACATGCTCTATGAAAGGGAATGTTCAGTTCTGTGACGTGAATGCAAACATCACAAAGAAGTTCCTGAGAATGCTTCTCCCTAGATTTTATATGTAATCCCGCTTCCAACGAAATCCGCAAAGCTATCCAAATATCCACTTTCAGATTCCACAAAAAGAGTGTTTCAAAACTGCTCTGTAAAAAGAAAGGTTCATCTCTGTTAGTTGAATACACACATCACAAACAAGTTTCTGAGAATGCTTCTGTCTAGTTTTTATGGGAAGATATTACCTTTTTCATCATAGGCCTCAAAGCGCTGCAAATGTCCACTTCCAAATATTACAAAAAGAGTGTTTCAAACCTGCTGTATGAAGGGAAGCGTTCAACTCTATGAGTTGAATGCAAACATCACAGAGAAGTTTCTGAGAATGCTTCTGTCTTGATTTTATATGAAGATATTCCCGTTTCCAACGAAACCTTCAAAGCTATCCAAATATCCACTTGCAGATTCTTCAAAAAGAGTGTTTCCAAAATGTTGTATCAAAAGAAAGGTTCAACTCTGTTAGTTGAGGACACACATCGCAAATAAGTTTCTGAGAATGCTTCTGTCTAGTTTTTATTTGAAGATATTTCCTTTCTCACCATAGGCCTGGAAGCGTTTGAAATGTCCGTTTGTAGATACTACAGAAAGAGTGTTTCAAACATGCTCTATGAAAGGGAATGTTCAGTTCTGTGACGTGAATGCAAACATCACAAAGAAGTTCCTGAGAATGCTTCTCTCTAGGTTTTATATGTAATCCCGTTTCCAACGAAATCCTCAAAGCTATCCAAATATCCACTTTCAGATTCCACAAAAAGAGTGTTTCAAAACTGCTCTGTAAAAAGAAAGGTTCATCTCTGTTAGTTGAATACACACATCACAAACAAGTTTCTGAGAATGCTTCTGTCTAGTTCTTATGGGAAGATATTTCCTTTTTCATCATAGGCCTCAAAGCGCTGCAAATGTCCACTTCCAGGTAGTGCAGAAAGAGTGTCTCAAACCTGGTATATAACAGGGAACATTCTACTCTGTGACTTGAATGAAAACATCACAAAGCAGTTTCTGAGAATGCTTCTGTCTTGATTTTATATGAAGATATTCCCGTTTCCAACGAAACCTTCAAAGCTATCCAAATATCCACTTGCAGATTCTACAAAAAGAGTGCTTCCAAAATGTTGTATCAAAACAAAGGTTCAACTCTGTTAGTTGAGGACACACATCGCAAATAAGTTTCTGAGAATGCTTCTGTCTAGTTTTTATTTGAAGATATTTCGTTTCTCACCATAGGCCTGAAAGCGTTTGAAATGTCCGTTTGCAGACACTACAGAAAGAGTGTTTCAAACATGCTCTATGAAAGGGAATGATCAGTTCTGTGACGTGAATGCAAACATCACGAAGAAGTTCTTGAGAATGCTTCTCCCTAGATTTTATATGTAATCCCGTTTCCAACGAAATCCTCAAAGCTATCCAAATATCCACTTTCAGATTCCACAAAAAGAGTGTTTCAAAACTGCTCTGTAAAAAGAAAGGTTCATCTCTGTTAGTTGAATACACACATCACAAACAAGTTTCTGAGAATGCTTCTGTCTAGTTTTTATGGGAAGATAATTCCTTTTTCATCATAGGCCTCAAAGCGCTCCAAATGTCCACTTCCAGGTAGTGTAGAAAGAGTGTCTCAAACCTGGTATATAACAGGGAACATTCTACTCTGTGACTTGAATGAAAACATCACAAAGCAGTTTCTGAGAATGCTTCCGTCTAGATTTTATATGAAGATATTCCCGTTTCCAACGAAACCTTCAAAGCTATCCGAATATCCACCTGCAGATTCTACAAAAAGAGTGTTTCCAAAATGCCGTATTAAAACAAAGGTTCAACTCTGCTAGTTGAGAACACACATGGCAAATAAGATTCTGAGAATGCTTCTGTCTAGTTTTTACTTGAAGATATTTCCTTTCTCACCATAGGCCTGAAAGCGCTTGAAACGTCAGCTTGCAGATACTACAGAAAGAGTGTTTCAAACCTGCTCTATGAAAGGGAATGTTCAGTTCTGTGACTTGAATGCAAACATCACAAAGAAGTTCCTGAGAATGCTTCTCTCTAGGTTTTATATGTAATCCCGTTTCCAACGAAATCCTCAAAGCTATCCAAATATCCACTTTCAGATTCCACAAAAAGAGTGTTTCAAAACTGCTCTGTAAAAAGAAAGGTTCATCTCTGTTAGTTGAATACACACATCACAAACAAGTTTCTGAGAATGCTCTGTCTGGTTTTTAGGAGAAGATATTTCCTTTTTCATCATAGGCCTCAAAGCGCTGCAAATGTCCACTTCCAGGTAGTGCAGAAAGAGTGTCTCAAACCTGGTATATAACAGGGAACATTCTACTCTGTGACTTGAATGAAAACATCACAAAGCAGTTTCTGAGAATGCTTTCCGTCTAGATTTTATATGAAGATATTCCCGTTTCCAACGAAACCTTCAAAGCTATCCGAATATCCACCTGCAGATTCTACAAAAAGAGTGTGTCCAAAATGCCGTATCAAAACAAAGGTTCAACTCTGTTAGTTGAGAACACACATGGCAAATAAGTTTCTGAGAATGCTTCTGTCTAGTTTTTACTTGAAGATATTTCCTTTCTCACCATAGGCCTGAAAGCGCTTGAAACGTCAGCTTGCAGATACTACAGAAAGAGTGTTTCAAACCTGCTCTATGAAAGGGAATGTTCAGTTCTGTGACTTGAATGCAAACATCACAAAGAAGTTCCTGAGAATGCTTCTCTCTAGGTTTTATATGTAATCCCGTTTCCAACGAAATCCTCAAAGCTATCCAAATATCCACTTTCAGATTCCACAAAAAGAGTGTTTCAAAACTGCTCTGTAAAAAGAAAGGTTCATCTCTGTTAGTTGAATACACACATCACAAACAAGTTTCTGAGAATGCTTCTGTCTAGTTTTTATGGGAAGATATTTCCTTTTTCAACATAGGCCTCAAAGCGCTCCAAACGTCCACTTCCAGGTAGTGCAGAAAGAGTGTCTCAAACCTGGTATATAACAGGGAACATTCTACTCTGTGACTTGAATGAAAACATCACAAAGCAGTTTCTGAGAATGCTTCCGTCTAGATTTTATATGAAGATATTCCCGTTTCCAACGAAACCTTCAAAGCTATCCGAATATCCACCTGCAGATTCTACAAAAAGAGTGTTTCCAAAATGCCGTATCAAAACAAAGGTTCAACTCTGTTAGTTGAGAACACACATGGCAAATAAGTTTCTGACAATGCTTCTGTCTAGTTTTTACTTGAAGATATTTCCTTTCTCACCATAGGCCTGAAAGCGCATGAAACGTCAGCTTGCAGATACTACAGAAAGAGTGTTTCAAACCTGCTCTATGAAAGGGAATGTTCAGTCCTGTGACTTGAAGGCAAACATCACAAAGAAGTTCCTGAGAATGCTTCTCTCTAGGTTTTATATGTAATCCCGTTTCCAACGAAATCCTCAAAGCTATCCAAATATCCACTTTCAGATTCCACAAAAAGAGTGTTTCAAAACTGCTCTGTAAAAAGGAAGGTTCATCTCTGTTAGTTGAATACACACATCACAAACAAGTTTCTGAGAATGCTTTCTGTCTAGTTTTTATGGGAAGATATTACCTTTTTCATCATAGGCCTCAAAGCGCTGCAAATGTCCACTTCCAAATATTACAAAAAGAGTGTTTCAAACCTGCTGTATGAAGGGAAGTGTTCAACTCTATGAGTTGAATGCAAACATCACAGAGAAGTTTCTGAGAATGCTTCCGTCTAGATTTTATATGAAGATATTCCCGTTTCCAACGAAACCTTCAAAGCTATCCGAATATCCACCTGCAGATTCTACAAAAAGAGTGTTTCCAAAATGCCGTATCCAAACAAAGGTTAAACTCTGTTAGTTGAGAACACACATGGCAAATAAGTTTGCTGAGAATGCTTCTGTCTAGTTTTTATTTGAAGATATTTCCTTTCTCACCATAGGCCTGAAAGCGTTTGAAATGTCCCTTTGCAGATACTACAGAAATTGTGTTTCAAACATGCTCTATGAAAGGGAATGTTCAGTTCTGTGACGTGAATGAAAACATCACAAAGAAGTTCCTGAGAATGCTTCTGTCTAGATTTTATATGAAGATATCCCGTGTCCAACGAAATCCTCAAAGGTATCAAAATATCCACTTGCAGATTCTACAAAAAGAGTGCTTCAAAACTGCTCTGTCAAAAGGAAGGTTCAACTCTGTTACTTGAGTACACACATCACAAGGAAGTTTCTGAGAATGCTTCTGTCTGGTTTTTAGGAGAAGATATATCCTTTTTCAACATAGGCCTCAAAGCGCTGAAAATGTCCACTTCCAAATATTAGAAAAAGAGTGTTTCAAACCTGCTGTATGAAGGGAAGTGTTCAACTCTATGAGTTGAATGCAAACATCACAGAGAAGTTTCTGAGAATGCTTCTGTCTTGATTTCATATGAAGATATTCCCGTTTCCAACGAAACCTTCAAAGCTATCCAAATATCCACTTGCAGATTCTACAAAAAGAGTGTTTCCAAAATGTTGTATCAAAAGAAAGGTTCAACTCTGTTAGTTGAGGACACACATCGCAAATAAGTTTCTGAGAATGCTTCTGTCTGGTTTTTAGGAGAAGATATTTCGTTTTTCAACATAGGCCTCAAAGCGCTGCAAATGTCCACTTCCAAATATTACAAAAAGAGTGTTTCAAACCTGCTCTATGAAGGGAAGTGTTCACCTCTATGAGTTGAATGCAAACATCACAGAGAAGTTTCTGAGAATGCTTCTGTCTTGATTTTATATGAAGATATTCCCGTTTCCAACGAAACCTTCAAAGCTATCCAAATATCCACTTGCAGATTCTACTAAAAGAGTGTTTCCAAAATGTTGTATCAAAACAAAGGTTCAACTCTGTTAGTTGAGGACACACATCGCAAATAAGTTTCTGAGAATGCTTCTGTCTAGTTTTTATTTGAAGAAATTTCCTTTCTTACCATAGGCCTGAAAGCGCTTGAAATGTCCGTTTGCAGATACTACAGAAAGAGTGTTTCAAACATGCTCTATGAAAGGGAATGTTCAGTTCTGTGACGTGAATGCAAACATCACAAAGAAGTTCCTGAGAATGCTTCTCTCTAGATTTTATATGTAATCCCGTTTCCAAAGAAATCCGCAAAGCTATCCAAATATCCACTTTCAGATTCCACAAAAAGAGTGTTTCAAAACTGCTCTGTAAAAAGAAAGGTTCATCTCTGTTAGTTGAATACACACATCACAAACAAGTTTCTGAGAATGCTTCTGTCTAGTTTTTATGGGAAGATATTTCCTTTTACAACATAGGCCTCAAAGCGCTCCAAATGTCCACTTCCAGATAGTGCAGAAAGAGTGTTTCAAACCTGCTCTATAAAAGGGAATATTCAACTCTGTGACTTGAATGCAAACATCACAAAGCACTTTCTGAGAATGCTTCTGTGTTGATTTTATATGAAGATATTCCCGTTTCCAACGAAACCTTCAAAGCTATCCAAATATCCACCTGCAGATCCAACAAAAAGAGTGTTTCCAAAATGCTGTATCAAAACAAAGGTTCAACTCCGTTAGTTGAGAACACACATCGCAAATAAGTTTCTGAGAATGCTTCTGTCTAGTTTTTATTTGAAGATATTTCCTTTTTCACCACAGGCCTGAAAGCGCTTGAAACGTCCGCTTGCAGATACTACAGAAAGAGTGTTTCAAACCTGCTCTATGAAAGGGAATTTTCAGTTCTGTGACTTGAATGCAAACATCAAATAGAAGTTCCTGAGAATGCTTCTCCCTAGATTTTATATGTAATCCCGTTTCCAACGAAATCCTCAAAGCTATCCAAATATCCACTTTCAGATTCCACAAAAAGAGTGTTTCAAAACTGCTCTGTAAAAAGAAAGGTTCATCTCTGTTAGTTGAATACACACATCACAAACAAGTTTCTGAGAATGCTTCTGTCTAGTTTTTATGGGAAGATATTTCCTTTTTCAACATAGGCCTCAAAGCGCTGTAAATGTCCACTTCCAAATATTACAAAAAGAGTGTTTCAAACCTGCTCTATGAAGGGAAGTGTTCAACTCTATGAGTTGAATGCAAACATCACTGAGAAGTTTCTGAGAATGCTTCTGTCTTGATTTTATATGAAGATATTCCCGTTTCCAACGAAACCTTAAAAGCTATCCAAATATCCACCTGCAGATCCTACAAAAAGAGTGTTTCCAAAATGCTGTATCAAAACAAAGGTTCAACTCTGTTAGTTGAGGACACACATCGCAAATAAGTTTCTGAGAATGCTTCTGTCTAGTTTTTATTTGAAGATATTTCCTTTTTCACCACAGGCCTGAAAGCGCTTGAAACGTCAGCTTGCAGATACTACAGAAAGAGTGTTTCAAACCTGCACTATGAAAGGGAATGTTCAGTTCTGTGACTTGAATGCAAACATCACAAAGAAGTTCCTGAGAATGCTTCTGTCTAGATTTTATATGAAGATATCCCGCGTCCAACGAAATCCTCAAAGGTATCAAAATATCCACTTGCAGATTCTACAAAAAGAGTGCTTCAAAACTGCTCTGTCAAAAGGAAGGTTCAACTCTGTTACTTGAGTACACACATCACAAGGAAGTTTCTGAGAATGCTTCTGTCTGGTTTTTAGGAGAAGATATTTCCTTTTTCAACATAGGCCTCAAAGCGCTGCAAATGTCCACTTCCAAATATTACAAAAAGAGTGTTTCAAACCTGCTGTATGAAGGGAAGTGTTCAACTCTATGAGTTGAATGCAAACATCACAGAGAAGTTTCTGAGAATGCTTCTGTCTTGATTTCATATGAAGATATTCCCGTTTCCAACGAAACCTTCAAAGCTATCCAAATATCCACTTACAGATTCTACAAAAAGAGTGTTTCCAAAATGTTGTATCAAAAGAAAGGTTCAACTCTGTTAGTTGAGGACACACATCGCAAATAAGTTTCTGAGAATGCTTCTGTCTAGTTTTTATTTGAAGATATTCCCGTTTCCAACGAAACCTTCAAAGCTATTCAAATATCCACTTGCAGATTCTACAAAAAGAGTGTTTCCAAAATGTTGTATCAAAAGAAAGGTTCAACTCTGTTAGTTGAGGACACACATCGCAAATAACTTTCTGAGAATGCTTCTCCCTAGATTTTATATGTAATCCCGTTTCCAACGAAATCCGCAAAGCTATCCAAATATCCACTTTCAGATTCCACAAAAAGAGTGTTTCAAAACTGCTCTGTAATAAGAAAAGTTCATCCCTGTTAGTTGAATACACACATCACAAACAAGTTTCTGAGAATGCTTCTGTCTAGTTTTTATGGGAAGATATTTCCTTTTTCAACATAGGCCTCAAAGCGCTCCAAACGTCCACTTCCAGGTAGTGCAGAAAGAGTGTCTCAAACCTGGTATATAACAGGGAACATTCTACTCTGTGACTTGAATGAAAACATCACAAAGCAGTTTCTGAGAATGCTTCTGTCTTGATTTTATATGAAGATATTCCCGTTTCCAACGAAACCTTCAAAGCTATCCGAATATCCACCTGCAGATTCTACAAAAAGAGTGTTTCCAAAATGCCATATCAAAACAAAGGTTCAACTCTGTTAGTTGAGAACACACATCTCAAATAAGTTTCTGAGAATGCTTCTGTCTAGTTTTTACTTGAAGATATTTCCTTTCTCACCATAGGCCTGAAAGCGCTTGAAACGTCAGCTTGCAGATACTACAGAAAGAGTGTTTCAAACCTGCTCTATGAAAGGGAATGTTCAGTCCTGTGACTTGAATGCAAACATCACAAAGAAGTTCCTGAGAATGCTTCTCTCTAGGTTTTATATGTAATCCCGTTTCCAACGAAATCCTCAAAGCTATCCAAATATCCACTTTCAGATTCCACAAAAAGAGTGTTTCAAAACTGCTCTGTAAAAAGAAAGGTTCATCTCTGTTAGTTGAATACACACATCACAAACAAGTTTCTGAGAATGCTTCTGTCTAGCTTTTATGGGAAGATATTTCCTTTTTCAACATAGGCCTCAAAGCGCTCCAAACGTCCACTTCCGGGTAGTGCAGAAAGAGTGTCTCAAACCTGGTATATAACAGGGAACATTCTACTCTGTGACTTGAATGAAAACATCACAAAGCAGTTTCTGAGAATGCTTCCGTCTAGATTTTATATGAAGATATTCCCGTTTCCAACGAAACCTTCAAAGCTATCCGAATATCCACCTGCAGATTCTACAAAAAGAGTGTTTCCAAAATGCCGTATCAAAACAAAGGTTCAACTCTGTTAGTTGAGAACACACATGGCAAATAAGTTTCTGAGAATGCTTCTGTCTAGTTTTTACTTGAAGATATTTCCTTTCTCACCATAGGCCTGAAAGCGCTTGAAACGTCAGCTTGCAGATACTACAGAAAGAGTGTTTCAAACCTGCTCTATGAAAGGGAATGTTCAGTCCTGTGACTTGAAGGCAAACATCACAAAGAAGTTCCTGAGAATGCTTCTCTCTAGGTTTTATATGTAATCCCGTTTCCACCGAAATCCTCAAAGCTATCCAAATATCCACTTTCAGATTCCACAAGAAGAGTGTTTCAAAACTGCTCTGTAAAAAGAAAGGTTCATCTCTGTTAGTTGAATACACACATCATGAACAAGTTTCTGAGAATGCTTCTGTCCAGTTTTTATGGGAAGATATTTCCTTTTTCAACATAGGCCTCAAAGCGCTCCAAATGTCCACTTCCAGGTAGTGCAGAAAGAGTGTTTCAAACCTGCTCTATAAAAGGGAATATTCAACTCTGTGACTTGAATGCAAACATCACAAAGCACTTTCTGAGAATGCTTCCGTCTAGATTTTATATGAAGATATTCCCGTTTCCAACGAAACCTTCAAAGCTATCCGAATATCCACCTGCAGATTCTACAAAAAGAGTTTTTCCAAAATGCCGTATCAAAACAAAGGTTCAACTCTGTTAGTTGAGAACACACATGGCAAATAAGTTTCTGAGAATGCTTCTGTCTAGTTTTTACTTGAAGATATTTCCTTTCTCACCATAGGCCTGAAAGCGTTTGAAATGTCCGTTTGCAGATACTATAGAAAGAGTGTTTCAAACATGCTCTATGAAAGGGAATGTTCAGTTCTGTGACGTGAATGCAAACATCACAAAGAAATTCCTGAGAATGCTTCTCTCTAGGTTTTATATGTAATCCCGTTTCCAACGAAATCCGCAAAGCTATCCAAATATCCACTTTCAGATTCCACAAAAAGAGTGTTTCAAAACTGCTCTGTAAAAAGAAAGGTTCATCTCTGTTAGTTGAATACACACATCACAAACAAGTTTCTGAGAATGCTTCTGTCTAGTTTTTATGGGAAGATATTACCTTTTTCATCATAGGCCTCAAAGCGCTGCAAATGTCCACTTCCAAATATTACAAAAAGAGTGTTTCAAACCTGCTGTATGAAGGGAAGTGTTCAACTCTATGAGTTGAATGCAAACATCACAGAGAAGTTTCTGAGAATGCTTCTGTCTTGATTTTATATGAAGATATTCCCGTTTCCAACGAAACCTTCAAAGCTATTCAAATATCCACTTGCAGATTCTACAAAAAGAGTGTTTCCAAAATGTTGTATCAAAAGAAAGGTTCAACTCTGTTAGTTGAGGACACACATCGCAAATAAGTTTCTGAGAATGCTTCTGTCTAGTTTTTATGTGAAGATATTTCCTTTCTCACCATAGGCCTGAAAGCGTTTGAAATGTCCGTTTGCAGATACTACAGAAAGAGTGTTTCAAACATGCTCTATGAAAGGGAATGTTCAGTTCTGTGACGTGAATGCAAACATCACAAAGAAGTTCCTGAGAATGCTTCTCTCTAGATTTTATATGTAATCCCGTTTCCAACGAAATCCTCAAAGCTATCCAAATATCCACTTTCAGATTCCACAAAAAGAGTGTTTCAAAACTGCTCTGTAAAAAGAAAGGTTCATCTCTGTTAGTTGAATACACACATCACAAACAAGTTTCTGAGAATGCTTCTGTCTAGTTTTTATGGGAAGATATTTCCTTTTTCATCATAGGCCTCAAAGCGCTCCAAATGTCCACTTCCAGATAGTGCAGAAAGAGTGTCTCAAACCTGGTATATAAAAGGGAACATTCTACTCTGTGACTTGAATGAAAACATCACAAAGCAGTTTCTGAGAATGCTTCCGTCTAGATTTTCTATGAAGATATTCCCGTTTCCAACGAAACCTTCAAAGCTATCCGAATATCCACCTGCAGATTCTACAAAAAGAGTGTTTCCAAAATGCCGTATCAAAACAAAGGTTCAACTCTGTTAGTTGAGGACACACATGGCAAATAAGTTTCTGAGAATGCTTCTGTCTAGTTTTTACTTGAAGATATTTCCTTTCTCACCATAGTCCTGAAAGCGCTTGAAACGTCCGCTTGCAGATACTACAGAAAGAGTGTTTCAAACATGCTCTATGTAAGGGAATGTTCAGTTCTGTGACTTGAATGCAAACATCACAAAGAAGTTCCTGAGAATGCTTCTCTCTAGATTTTATATGTAATCCCGTTTCCAACGAAATCCTCAAAGCTATCCAAATATCCACTTTCAGATTCCACAAAAAGAGTGTTTCAAAACTGCTCTGTAAAAAGAAAGGTTCATCTCTGTTAGTTGAATACACACATCACAAACAAGTTTCTGAGAATGCTTCTGTCTAGTTTTTATGGGAAGATATTTCCTTTTTCAACATAGGCCTCAAAGCGCTCCAAATGTCCACTTCCAGATAGTGCAGAAAGAGTGTCTCAAACCTGGTATATAAAAGGGAACATTCTACTCTGTGACTTGAATGCAAACATCACAAAGCACTTTCTGAGAATGCTTCCGTCTAGATTTTATATGAAGATATTCCCGTTTCCAACGAAACCTTCAAAGCTATCCGAATATCCACCTGCAGATTCTACAAAAAGAGTGTTTCCAAAATGCCGTATCAAAACAAAGGTTCAACTCTGTTAGTTGAGAACACACATGGCAAATAAGTTTCTGATAATGCTTCTGTCTAGTTTTTACTTGAAGATATTTCCTTTCTCACCATAGGCCTGAAAGCGCTTGAAACGTCAGCTTGCAGATACTACAGAAAGAGTGTTTCAAACCTGCTCTATGAAAGGGAATGTTCAGTTCTGTGACTTGAATGCAAACATCACAAAGAAGTTCCTGAGAATGCTTCTCTCTAGGTTTTATATGTAATCCCGTTTCCAACGAAATCCTCAAAGCTATCCAAATATCCACTTTCAGATTCCACAAAAAGAGTGTTTCAAAACTACTCTGTAAAAAGAAAGGTTCATCTCTGTTAGTTGAATACACACATCACAAACAAGTTTCTGAGAATGCTTCTGTCTAGTTTTTATGGGAAGATATTTCCTTTTTCAAAATAGGCCTCAAAGCGCTCCAAACGTCCACTTCCAGGTAGTGCAGAAAGAGTGTCTCAAACCTGGTATATAACAGGGAACTTTCTACACTGTGACTTGAATGAAAACATCACAAAGCAGTTTCTGAGAATGCTTCTGTCTTGATTTCATATGAAGATATTCCCGTTTCCAACGAAACCTTCAAAGCTATCCAAATATCCACTTGCAGATTCTACAAAAAGAGTGTTTCCAAAATGTTGTATCAAAAGAAAGGTTCAACTCTGTTAGTTGAGGACACACATCGCAAATAAGTTTCTGAGAATGCTTCTGTCTAGTTTTTATTTGAAGATATTTCCTTTCTCACCACAGGCCTGAAAGCGCTTAAAACGTCCGCTTGCAGATACTACAGAAAGAGTGTTTCAAACCTGCTCTATGAAAGGGAATGTTCAGTTCTGTGACTTGAATGCAAACATCACAAAGAAGTTCCTGAGAATGCTTCTCCCTAGATTTTATATGTAATCCCGTTTCCAACGAAATCCGCAAAGCTATCCAAATATCCACTTTCAGATTCCACAAAAAGAGTGTTTCAAAACTGCTCTGTAAAAAGAAAGGTTCATCTCTGTTAGTTGAATACACACATCACAAACAAGTTTCTGAGAATGCTTCTGTCTAGTTTTTATGGGAAGATATTTCCTTTTTCATCATAGGCCTCAAAGCGCTGCAAATGTCCACTTCCAAATATTACAAAAAGAGTGTTTCAAACCTGCTGTATGAAGGGAAGTGTTCAACTCTATGAGTTGAATGCAAACATCACAGAGAAGTTTCTGAGAATGCTTCTGTCTTGTTTTTATATGAAGATATTCCCGTTTCCCACGAAACCTTCAAAGCTATCCAAATATCCACTTGCAGATTCTACAAAAAGAGCGGTTCCAAAATGTTGTATCAAAAGAAAGGTTCAACTCTGTTAGTTGAGGACACACATCGCAAATAAGTTTCTGAGAATTCTTCTGTCTAGTTTTTATTTGAAGATATTTCCTTTCTCACAATAGGCCTGAAAGCGTTTGAAATGTCCGTTTGCAGATACTACAGAAAGAGTGTTTCACACATGCTCTATGAAAGGGAATGTTCAGTTCTGTGACTTGAATGCAAACATCACAAAGAAGTTCCTGAGAATTATTCTCTCTAGGTTTTATATGTAATCCCGTTTCCAACGAAATCCTCAAAGCTATCCAAATAACCACTTTCAGATTCCACAAAAAAAGTGTTTAAAAACTGCTCTGTAAAAAGAAAGATTCATCTCTGTTAGTTGAATACACACATCACAAACAAGTTTCTGAGAATGCTTCTGTCTAGTTTTTATGGGAAGATATTTCCTTTTTCAACATAGGCCTCAAAGCGCTCCAAATGTCCACTTCCAGGTAGTGCAGAAAGAGTGTTTCAAACCTGCTCTATAAAAGGGAATATTCAACTCTGTGACTTGAATGCAAACATCACAAAGCACTTTCTGAGAATGCTTCCGGCTAGATTTTATGTGAAGATATTCCCGTTTCCAAGGAAATCTTCCTAGCTATCTAAATATCAACTTGCAGATTCTACTAAAGGAATGTTTCCAAAATGCTGTATCCACACAAAGGTTCAACTCTGTTAATTGAGGACATACAGCACAAAGAAGTTTCTGAGAATGCTTCTGTCTAGGTTTTATATGAAGATATCCCGTTTCCAAAGAAATTCTCAAATGTATCCAAATATCTACTTCCAGATTCTACAAAAACACTGTTTCAAAACGGCTCTGTCAAAAGTAAGGTTCAACTCTGTTACTTGAGTACACACATCACACGGAAGCTTCTGAGAATGCTTCTGTCTGGTTTTTAGGAGAAGATATTTCCTTTTTCAACATAGGCCTCAAAGCGCTGCAAATGTCCACTTCCAAATATTACAAAAAGAGTGTTTCAAACCTGCTGTATGAAGGGAAGTGTTCAACTCTATGAGTTGAATGCAAACATCACAGAGAAGTTTCTGAGAATGCTTCTGTCTTGATTTCATATGAAGATATTCCCGTTTCCAACGAAACCTTCAAAGCTATCCAAATATCCACTTGCAGATTCTACAAAAAGAGTGTTTCCAAAATGTTGTATCAAAAGAAAGGTTCAACTCTGTTAGTTGAGGACACACATCGCAAATAAGTTTCTGAGAATGCTTCTGTCTAGTTTTTACATGAAGATATTTCCTTTCTCACCATAGGCCTGAAAGCGTTTGAAATGTCCGTTTGCAGATACTACAGAAAGAGTGTTTCAAACATGCTCTATGAAAGGGAATGTTCAGTTCTGTGACGTGAATGCAAACATCACAAAGAAGTTCCTGAGAATGCTTCTCTCTAGATTTTATATGTAATCCCGTTTCCAACGAAATCCTCAAAGCTATCCAAATATCCACTTTCAGATTCCACAAAAAGAGTGTTTCAAAACTGCTCTGTAAAAAGAAAGGTTCATCTCTGTTAGTTGAAAACACACATCACAAACAAGTTTCTGAGAATGCTTCTGTCTAGTTTTTATGGGAAGATATTTCCTTTTTCAACATAGGCCTCAAAGCGCTCCAAACGTCCACTTCCAGGTAGTGCAGAAAGAGTGTCTCAAACCTGGTATATAACAGGGAACATTCTACTCTGTGACTTGAATGAAAACATCACAAAGCAGTTTCTGAGAATGCTTCCGTCTAGATTTTATATGAAGATATTCCCGTTTCCAACGAAACCTTCAAAGCTATCCGAATATCCACCTGCAGATTCTACAAAAAGATTGTTTCCAAAATGCCGTATCAAAACAAAGGTTCAACTCTGTTAGTTGAGAACACACATGGCAAATAAGTTTCTGAGAATGCTTCTGTCTAGTTTTTACTTGAAGATATTTCCTTTCTCACCATAGGCCTGAAAGCGCTTGAAACGTCAGCTTGCAGATACTACAGAAAGAGTGTTTCAAACCTGCTCTATGAAAGGGAATGTTCAGTCCTGTGACTTGAAGGCAAACATCACAAAGAAGTTCCTGAGAATGCTTCTCTCTAGGTTTTATATGTAATCCCGTTTCCAACGAAATCCTCAAAGCAATCCAAATATCCACTTTCAGATTCCACAAAAAGAGTGTTTCAAAACTGCTCTGTAAAAAGAAAGGTTCATCTCTGTTAGTTGAATACACACATCACAAACAAGTTTCTGAGAATGCTTCTGTCTAGTTTTTATGCGAAGATATTTCCTTTTTCAACATAGGCCTCAAAGCGCTCCAAACGTCCACTTCCAGGTAGTGCAGAAAGAGTGTCTCAAACCTGGTATATAACAGGGAACATTCTACTCTGTGACTTGAATGCAAACATCACAAAGCAGTTTCTGAGAATGCTTCCGTCTAGATTTTATATGAAGATATTCCCGTTTCCAACGAAACCTTCAAAGCTATCCGAATATCCACCTGCAGATTCTACAAAAAGAGTGTTTCCAAAATGCCGTATCAAAACAAAGGTTCAACTCTGTTAGTTGAGAACACACATGGCAAATAAGTTTCTGAGAATGCTTCTGTCTAGTTTTTACTTGAAGATATTTCCTTTCTCACCATAGGCCTGAAAGCGCTTGAAACGTCAGCTTGCAGATACTACAGAAAGAGTGTTTCAAACCTGCTCTATGAAAGGGAATGTTCAGTCCTGTGACTTGAAGGCAAACATCAAAAAGAAGTTCCTGAGAATACTTCTCTCTAGGTTTTATATGTAATCCCGTTTCCAACGAAATCCTCAAATCTATCCAAATATCCACTTTCAGATTCCACAAAAAGAGTGTTTCAAAACTGCTCTGTAAAAAGAAAGGTTCATCTCTGTTAGTTGAATACACACATCACAAACAAGTTTCTGAGAATGCTTCTGTCTAGTTTTTATGGGAAGATATTTCCTTTTTCAACATAGGCCTCAAAGAGCTCCAAATGTCCACTTCCAGGTAGTGCAGAAAGAGTGTTTCAAACCTGCTCTATAAAAGGGAATATTCAACTCTGTGACTTGAATGCAAACATCACAAAGCAGTTTCTGAGAATGCTTCCGTCTAGATTTTATATGAAGATATTCCCGTTTCCAACGAAACCTTCAAAGCTATCCGAATATCCACCTGCAGATTCTACAAAAAGAGTGTTTCCAAAATGCCATATCAAAACAAAGGTTCAACTCTGTTAGTTGAGAACACACATCTCAAATATGTTTCTGAGAATGCTTCTGTCTAGTTTTTACTTGAAGATATTTCCTTTCTCACCATAGGCCTGAAAGCGCTTGAAACGTCAGCTTGCAGATACTACAGAAAGAGTGTTTCAAACCTGCTCTATGAAAGGGAATGTTCAGTCCTGTGACTTGAAGGCAAACATCACAAAGAAGTTCCTGAGAATGCTTCTCCCTAGATTTTATATGTAATCCCGTTTCCAACGAAATCCTCAAAGCTATCCAAATATCCACTTTCAGATTCCACAAAAAGAGTGTTTCAAAACTGCTCTGTAAAAAGAAAGGTTCATATCTGTTAGTTGAATACACACATCACAAACAAGTTTCTGAGAATGCTTCTGTCTAGTTTTTATGGGAAGATATTTCCTTTTTCAACATAGGCCTCAAAGCGCTCGAAATGTCCACTTCCAGGTAGTGCACAGAGTGTTTCAAACCGGCTCTATGAAAGGAAGTCTTCAACTCTATGAGTTGAATGCAAACATCACAGAGAAGTTTCTGAGAATGCTTCTGTCTTGATTTTATATGAAGATATTCCCGTTTCCAACGAAACCTTAAAAGCTATCCAAATATCCACCTGTAGATCCTACAAAAAGAGTGTTTCCAAAATGCTGTATCAAAACAAAGGTTCAACTCTGTTAGTTGAGAACACACATGGCAAATAAGTTTCTGAGAATGCTTCTGTCTAGTTTTTACTTGAAGATATTTCCTTTCTCACCATAGGCCTGAAAGCGCTTGAAACGTCAGCTTGCAGATACTACAGAAAGAGTGTTTCAAACCGGCTCTATGAAAGGGAATGTTCAGTTCTGTTACTTGAATGCAAACATCACAAAGAAGTTCCTGAGAATGCTTCTCTCTAGATTTTATATGTAATCCCGTTTCCAACGAAATCCTCAAAGCTATCCAAATATCCACTTTCAGATTCCACAAAAAGAGTGTTTCAAAACTGCTCTGTAAAAAGAAAGGTTCATCTCTGTTAGTTGAATACACACATCACAAAGAAGTTTCTGAGAATGCTTCTGTCTAGTTTTTATGGGAAGATATTTCCTTTTTCATCATAGGCCTCAAAGCGCTGCAAATGTCCACTTCCAGGTAGTGCAGAAAGAGTGTCTCAAACCTGGTATATAACAGGGAACATTCTACTCTGTGACTTGAATGCAAACATCACAAAGCAGTTTCTGAGAATGCTTCCGTCTAGATTTTATATGAAGATATTCCCGTTTCCAACGAAACCTTCAAAGCTATCCGAATATCCACCTGCAGATTCTACAAAAAGAGTGTTTCCAAAATGCCGTATCAAAACAAAGGTTCAACTCTGTTAGTTGAGAACACACATGGCAAATAAGTTTCTGAGAATGCTTCTGTCTAGTTTTTACTTGAAGATATTTCCTTTCTCACCATAGGCCTGAAAGCGCTTGAAACGTCAGCTTGCAGATACTACAGAAAGAGTGTTTCAAACCTGCTCTATGAAAGGGAATGTTCAGTCCTGTGACTTGAATGCAAACATCACAAAGAAGTTCCTGAGAATGCTTCTCTCTAGGTTTTATATGTAATCCAGTTTCCAACGAAATCCTCAATGCTATCCAAATATCCACTTTCAGATTCCACAAAAAGAGTGTTTCAAAACTGCTCTGTAAAAAGAAAGGTTCATCTCTGTTAGTTGAATACACACATCACAAACAAGTTTCTGAGAATGCTTCTGTCTAGTTTTTATGGGAAGATATTACCTTTTTCATCATAGGCGTCAAAGCGCTGCAAATGACCACTTCCAAATATTACAAAAAGAGTGTTTCAAACCTGCTGTATGAAGGGAAGTGTTCAACTCTATGAGTTGAATGCAAACATCACAGAGAAGTTTCTGAGAATGCTTCTGTCTTGATTTTATATGAAGATATTCCCGTTTCCAACGAAACCTTCAAAGCTATTCAAATATCCACTTGCTGATTCTACAAAAAGAGTGTTTCCAAAATGTTGTATCAAAAGAAAGGTTCAACTCTGTTAGTTGAGGACACACATCGCAAATAAGTTTCTGAGAATGCTTCTGTCTAATTTTTACTTGAAGATATTTCCTTTCTCACCATAGGCCTGAAAGCGTTTGAAATGTCCGTTTGCAGATACTACAGAAAGAGTGTTTCAAACATGCTCTATGAAAGGGAATGTTCAGTTCTGTGACGTGAATGCAAACATCACAAAGAAGTTCCTGAGAATGCTTCTCTCTAGATTTTATATGTAATCCCGTTTCCAACGAAATCCTCAAAGCTATCCAAATATCCACTTTCAGATTCCACAAAAAGAGTGTTTCAAAACTGCTCTGTAAAAAGAAAGGTTCATCTCTGTTAGTTGAATACACACATCACAAACAAGTTTCTGAGAATGCTTCTGTCTAGTTTTTATGGGAAGATATTTCCTTTTTCATCATAGGCCTCAAAGCGCTGCAAATGTCCACTTCCAGGTAGTGCAGAAAGAGTGTCTCAAACCTGGTATATAACAGGGAACATTCTACTCTGTGACTTGAATGAAAACATCACAGAGCAGTTTCTGAGAATGCTTCCGTCTAGATTTTATATGAAGATATTCCCGTTTCCAACGAAACCTTCAAAGCTATCCGAATATCCACCTGCAGATTCTACAAAAAGAGTGTTTCCAAAATGCCATATCAAAACAAAGGTTCAACTCTGTTAGTTGAGAACACACATCGCAAATAAGTTTCTGAGAATGCTTCTGTCTAGTTTTTATGGGAAGATATTACCTTTTTCATCATAGGCCTCAAAGCGCTGCAACTGTCCACTTCCAAATATTACAAAAAGAGTGTTTCAAACCTGCTGTATGAAGGGAAGTGTTCAACTCTATGAGTTGAATGCAAACATCACAGAGAAGTTTCTGAGAATGCTTCTGTCTTGATTTTATATGAAGATATTCCCGTTTCCAACGAAACCTTCAAAGCTATTCAAATATCCACTTGCAGATTCTACAAAAAGAGTGTTTCCAAAATGTTGTATCAAAAGAAAGGTTCAACTCTGTTAGTTGAGGACACACATCGCAAATAAGTTTCTGAGAATGCTTCTGTTTAGTTTTTATTTGAAGATATTTCCTTTCTCACCATAGGCCTGAAAGCGTTTGAAATGTCCGTTTGCAGATACTACAGAAAGAGTGTTTCAAACATGCTCTATGAAAGGGAATGTTCAGCTCTGTGACGTGAATGCAAACATCACAAAGAAGTTCCTGAGAATGCTTCTCTCTAGATTTTATATGTAATCCCGTTTCCAACGAAATCCTCAAAGCTATCCAAATATCCACTTTCAGATTCCCCAAAAAGAGTGTTTCAAAACTGCTCTGTAAAAAGAAAGGTTCATCTCTGTTAGTTGAATACACACATCACAAACAAGTTTCTGAGAATGCTTCTGTCTAGTTTTTATGGGAAGATATTTCCTTTTTCATCATAGGCCTCAAAGCGCTGCAAATGTCCACTTCCAGGTAGTGCAGAAAGAGTGTCTGAAACCTGGTATATAACAGGGAAGATTCTACTCTGTGACTTGAATGAAAACATCACAAAGCAGTTTCTGAGAATGCTTCCGTCTAGATTTTATATGAAGATATTCCCGTTTTCCAACGAAACCTTCAAAGCTATCCGAATATCCACCTGCAGATTCTACAAAAAGAGTGTTTCCAAAATGCCGTATCAAAACAAAGGTTCAACTCTGTTAGTTGAGAACACACATGGCAAATAAGTTTCTGAGAATGCTTCTGTCTAGTTTTTACTTGAAGATATTTCCTTTCTCACCATAGGCCTGAAAGCGCTTGAAACGCCAGCTTGCAGATACTACAGAAAGAGTGTTTCAAACCTGCTCTATGAAAGGGAATGTTCAGTTCTGTGACTTGAATGCAAACATCACAAAGAAGTTCCTGAGAATGCTTCTCTCTAGGTTTTATATGTAATCCCGTTTCCAACGAAATCCTCAAAGCTATCCAAATATCCACTTTCAGATTCCACAAAAAGAGTGTTTCAAAACTGCTCTGTAAAAAGAAAGGTTCATCTCTGTTAGTTGAATACACACATCACAAACAAGTTTCTGAGAATGCTTCTGTCTAGTTTTTATGGGAAGATATTTCCTTTTTCATCATAGGCCTCAAAGCGCTCCAAATGTCCACTTCCAGATAGTGCAGAAAGAGTGTCTCAAACCTGGTATATAAAAGGGAACATTCTACTCTGTGACTTCAATGAAAACATCACAAAGCAGTTTCTGAGAATGCTTCCGTCTAGATTTTATATGAAGATATTCCCGTTTCCAACGAAACCTTCAAAGCTATCCGAATATCCACCTGCAGATTCTACAAAAAGAGTGTTTCCAAAATGCCATATCAAAACAAAGGTTCAACTCTGTTAGTTGAGAACACACATCGCAAATAAGTTTCTGAGAATGCTTCTGTCTAGTTTTTACTTGAAGATATTTCCTTTCTCACCATAGGCCTGAAAGCGCTTGAAACGTCAGCTTGCAGATACTACAGAAAGAGTGTTTCAAACCTGCTCTATGAAAGGGAATGTTCAGTTCTGTGACTTGAATGCAAACATCACAAAGAAGTTCCTGAGAATGCTTCTCTCTAGGTTTTATATGTAATCCCGTTTCCAACGAAATCCTCAAAGCTATCCAAATATCCACTTTCAGATTCCACAAAAAGAGTGTTTCAAAACTGCTCTGTAAAAAGAAAGGTTCATCTCTGTTAGTTGAATACACACATCACAAACAAGTTTCTGAGAATGCTTCTGTCTAGTTTTTATGGGAAGATATTTCCTTTTTCAACATAGGCCTCAAAGCGCTCCAAACGTCCACTTCCAGGTAGTGCAGAAAGAGTGTCTCAAACCTGGTATATAACAGGGAACATTCTACTCTGTGACTTGAATGAAAACATCCCAAAGCAGTTTCTGAGAATGCTTCCGTCTAGATTTTATATGAAGATATTCCCGTTTCCAACGAAACCTTCAAAGCTATCCGAATATCCACCTGCAGATTCTACAAAAAGAGTGTTTCCAAAATGCCGTATCAAAACAAAGGTTCAACTCTGTTAGTTGAGAACACACATGGCAAATAAGTTTCTGAGAATGCTTCTGTCTAGTTTTTACTTGAAGATATTTCCTTTCTCACCATAGGCCTGAAAGCGCTTGAAACGTCAGCTTGCAGATACTACAGAAAGAGTGTTTCAAACCTGCTCTATGAAAGGGAATGTTCAGTCCTGTGACTTGAAGGCAAACATCACAAAGAAGTTCCTGAGAATGCTTCTCTCTAGATTTTATATGTAATCCCGTTTCCAACGAAATCCTCAAAGCTATCGAAATATCCACTTTCAGATTCCACAAAAAGAGTGTTTCAAAACTGCTCTGTAAAAAGAAAGGTTCATCTCTGTTAGTTGAATACACACATCACAAACAAGTTTCTGAGAATGCTTCTGTCTAGTTTTTATGGGAAGATATTTCCCTTTTCATCATAGGCCTCAAAGCGCTGCAAATGTCCACTTCCAGGTAGTGCAGAAAGAGTGTCTCTAACCTGGTATATAACAGGGAAGATTCTACTCTGTGACTTGAATGAAAACATCACAAAGCAGTTTCTGAGAATGCTTCCGTCTAGATTTTATATGAAGATATTCCCGTTTCCAACGAAACCTTCAAAGCTATCCGAATATCCACCTGCAGATTCTACAAAAAGAGTGTTTCCAAAATGCCGTATCAAAACAAAGGTTCAACTCTGTTAGTTGAGAACACACATGGCAAATAAGTTTCTGAGAATGCTTCTGTCTAGTTTTTACTTGAAGATATTTCCTTTCTCACCATAGGCCTGAAAGCGCTTGAAACGTCAGCTTGCAGATACTACAGAAAGAGTGTTTCAAACCTGCTCTATGAAAGGGAATGTTCAGTTCTGTGACTTGAATGCAAACATCACAAAGAAGTTCCTGAGAATGCTTCTCTCTAGGTTTTATATGTAATCCCGTTTCCAACGAAATCCTCAAAGCTATCCAAATATCCACTTTCAGATTCCACAAAAAGAGTGTTTCAAAACTGCTCTGTAAAAAGAAAGGTTCATCTCTGTTAGTTGAATACACACATCACAAACAAGTTTCTGAGAATGCTTCTGTCTAGTTTTTATGGGAAGATATTTCCTTTTTCATCATAGGCCTCAAAGCGCTCCAAATGTCCACTTCCAGGTAGTGCAGAAAGAGTGTCTCAAACCTGGTATATAACAGGGAACATTCTACTCTGTGACTTGAATGAAAACATCACAAAGCAGTTTCCTGAGAATGCTTCTGTCTTGATTTTATATGAAGATATTCCCGTTTCCAACGAAACCTTCAAAGCTATTCAAATATCCACTTGCAGATTCTACAAAAAGAGTGTTTCCAAAATGTTGTATTAAAAGAAAGGTTCAACTCTGTTAGTTGAGGACACACATCGCAAATAAGTTTCTGAGAATGCTTCTGTCTAGTTTTTATTTGAAGATATTTCCTTTCTCACCACAGGCCTGAAAGCGCTTAAAACGTCCGCTTGCAGATACTACAGAAAGAGTGTTTCAAACCTGCTCTATGAAAGGGAATGTTCAGTTCTGTGACTTGAATGCAAACATCACAAAGAAGTTCCTGAGAGTGCTTCTCCCTAGATTTTATATGTAATCCCGTTTCCAACGAAATCCGCAAAGCTATCCAAATATCCACTTTCAGATTCCACAAAAAGAGTGTTTCAAAACTGCTCTGTAAAAAGAAAGGTTCATCTCTGTTAGTTGAATACACACATCACAAACAAGTTTCTGAGAATGCTTCTGTCTAGTTTTTATGGGAAGATATTACCTTTTTCATCATAGGCCTCAAAGCGCTGCAAATGTCCACTTCCAAATATTACAAAAAGAGTGTTTCAAACCTGCTGTATGAAGGGAAGTGTTCAACTCTATGAGTTGAATGCAAACATCACAAAGAAGTTTCTGAGAATGCTTCTGTCTTGATTTTATATGAAGATATTCCCGTTTCCAACGAAACCTTCAAAGCTATTCAAATATCCACTTGCTGATTCTACAAAAAGAGTGTTTCCAAAATGTTGTATCAAAAGAAAGGTTCAACTCTGTTAGTTGAGGACACACATCGCAAATAAGTTTCTGAGAATGCTTCTGTCTATTTTTTACTTGAAGATATTTCCTTTCTCACCATAGGCCTGAAAGCGTTTGAAATGTCCGTTTGCAGATACTACAGAAAGAGTGTTTCAAACATGCTCTATGAAAGGGAATGTTCAGTTCTGTGACGTGAATGCAAACATCACAAAGAAGTTCCTGAGAATGCTTCTCTCTAGATTTTATATGTAATCCCGTTTCCAACGAAATCCTCAAAGCTATCCAAATATCCACTTTCAGATTCCACAAAAAGAGTGTTTCAAAACTGCTCTGTAAAAAGAAAGGTTCATCTCTGTTAGTTGAATACACACATCACAAACAAGTTTCTGAGAATGCTTCTGTCTAGTTTTTATGGGAAGATATTTCCTTTTTCATCATAGGCCTCAAAGCGCTCCAAATGTCCACTTCCAGATAGTGCAGAAAGAGTGTCTCAAACCTGGTATATAAAAGGGAACATTCTACTCTGTGACTTGAATGAAAACATCACAAAGCAGTTTCTGAGAATGCTTCCGTCTAGATTTTATATGAAGTTATTCCCGTTTCCAACGAAACCTTCAAAGCTATCCGAATATCCACCTGCAGATTCTACAAAAAGAGTGTTTCCAAAATGCCGTATCAAAACAAAGGTTCAACTCTGTTAGTTGAGAACACACATGGCAAATAAGTTTCTGAGAATGCTTCTGTCTAGTTTTTACTTGAAGATATTTCCTTTCTCACCATAGGCCTGAAAGCGCTTGAAACGTCCGCTTGCAGATACTACAGAAAGAGTGTTTCAAACATGCTCTATGAAAGGGAATGTTCAGTTCTGTGACTTGAATGCAAACATCACAAAGAAGTTCCTGAGAATGCTTCTCTCTAGATTTTATATGTAATCCCGTTTCCAACGAAATCCTCAAAGCTATCCAAATATCCACTTTCAGATTCCACAAAAAGAGTGTTTCAAAACTGCTCTGTAAAAAGAAAGGTTCATCTCTGTTAGTTGAATACACACATCACAAACAAGTTTCTTAGAATGCTTCTGTCTAGTTTTTATGGGAAGATATTTCCTTTTTCAACATAGGCCTCAAAGCGCTCCACATGTCCACTTCCAGGTAGTGCAGAAAGAGTGTTTCAAACCTGCTCTATAAAAGGGAATATTCAACTCTGTGACTTGAATGCAAACATCACAAAGCACTTTCTGAGAATGCTTCTGTCTTGATTTTATATGAAGATATTCCCGTTTCCAACGAAACCTTCAAAGCTATCCAAATATCCACTTGCAGATTCTACAAAAAGAGTGGTTCCAAAATGTTGTATCAAAACAAAGGTTCAACTCTGTTAGTTGAGGACACACATGGCAAATAAGTTTCTGAGAATGCTTCTGTCTAGTTTTTACTTGAAGATATTTCCTTTCTCACCATAGGCCTGAAAGCGCTTGAAACGTCAGCTTGCAGATACTACAGAAAGAGTGTTTCAAACATGCTCTATGAAAGGGAATGTCCAGTTCTGTGACTTGAATGCAAACATCACAAAGAAGTTCCTGAGAATGCTTCTCTCTAGGTTTTATATGTAATCCCGTTTCCAACGAAATCCTCAAAGCTATCCAAATATCCACTTTCAGATTCCACAAAAAGAGTGTTTCAAAACTGCTCTGTAAAAAGAAAGGTTCATCTCTGTTAGTTGAATACACACATCACAAACAAGTTTCTGAGAATGCTTCTGTCTGGTTTTTAGGAGAAGATATTTCCTTTTTCAACATAGGCCTCAAAGCGCTGCAAATGTCCACTTCCAAATATTACAAAAAGAGTGTTTCAAACCTGCTCTATGAAGGGAAGTGTTCAACTCTATGAGTTGAATGCAAACATCACAGAGAAGTTTCTGAGAATGCTTCTGTCTTGATTTTATATGAAGATATTCCCGTTTCCAACGAAACCTTCAAAGCTATCCAAATATCCACTTGCAGATTCTACAAAAAGAGTGTTTCCAAAATGTTGTATCAAAACAAAGGTTCAACTCTGTTAGTTGAGGACACACATCGCAAATAAGTTTCTGAGAATGCTTCTGTCTAGTTTTTATTTGAAGTTATTTCCTTTCTTACCATAGGCCTGAAAGCGCTTGAAATGTCCGTTTGCAGATACTACAGAAAGAGTGTTTCAAACATGCTCTATGAAAGGGAATGTTCAGTTCTGTGACGTGAATGCAAACATCACAAAGAAGTTCCTGAGAATGTTTCTCTCTAGGTTTTATATGTAATCCCGTTTCCAACGAAATCCTCAAAGCTATCCAAATATCCACTTTCAGATTCCACAAAAAGAGTGTTTCAAAACTGCTCTGTAAAAAGAAAGGTTCATCTCTGTTACTTGAATAAACACATCACAAACAAGTTTCTGAGAATGCTTCTGTCTAGTTTTTATGGGAAGATATTTCCTTTTTCAACATAGGCCTCAAAGCGCTCCAAACGTCCACTTCCGGGTAGTGCAGAAAGAGTGTCTCAAACCTGGTATATAACAGGGAACATTCTACTCTGTGACTTGAATGAAAACATCACAAAGCAGTTTCTGAGAATGCTTCCGTCTAGATTTTATATGAAGATATTCCCGTTTCCAACGAAACCTTCAAAGCTATCCGAATATCCACCTGCAGATTCTACAAAAAGAGTGTTTCCAAAATGCCGTATCAAAACAAAGGTTCAACTCTGTTAGTTGAGAACACACATGGCAAATAAGTTTCTGAGAATGCTTCTGTCTAGTTTTTACTTGAAGATATTTCCTTTCTCACCATAGGCCTGAAAGCGCTTGAAACGTCAGCTTGCAGATACTACAGAAAGAGTGTTTCAAACCTGCTCTATGAAAGGGAATGTTCAGTCCTGTGACTTGAAGGCAAACATCACAAAGAAGTTCCTGAGAATGCTTCTCCCTAGGTTTTATATGTAATCCCGTTTCCAACGAAATCCTCAAAGCTATCCAAATATCCACTTTCAGATTCCACAAAAAGAGTGTTTCAAAACTGCTCTGTAAAAAGAAAGGTTCATCTCTGTTAGTTGAATACACACATCACAAACAAGTTTCTGAGAATGCTTCTGTCTGGTTTTTAGAAGATATTTCCTTTTTCAACATAGGCCTCAAAGCGCTGCAAATGTCCACTTCCAAATATTAGAAAAAGAGTGTTTCAAACCTGCTGTATGAAGGGAAGTGTTCAACTCTATGAGTTGAATGCAAACATCACAGAGAAGTTTCTGAGAATGCTTCTGTCTTGATTTCATATGAAGATATTCCCGTTTCCAACGAAACCTTCAAAGCTATCCAAATATCCACTTGCAGATTCTACAAAAAGAGTGTTTCCAAAATGTTGTATCAAAAGAAAGGTTCAACTCTGTTAGTTGAGGACACACATCGCAAATAAGTTTCTGAGAATGCTTCTGTCTAGTTTTTATTTGAAGATATTTCCTTTCTCACCATAGGCCTGAAAGCGTTTGAAATGTCCGTTTGCAGATACTACAGAAAGAGTGTTTCAAACATGCTCTATGAAAGGGAATGTTCAGTTCTGTGACGTGAATGCAAACATCACAAAGACGTTCCTGAGAATGCTTCTCTCTAGATTTTATATGTAATCCCGTTTCCAACGAAATCCTCAAAGCTATCCAAATATCCACTTTCAGATTCCACAAAAAGAGTGTTTCAAAACTGCTCTGTAAAAAGAAAGGTTCATCTCTGTTAGTTGAATACACACATCACAAACAAGTTTCTGAGAATGCTTCTGTCTAGTTTTTATGGGAAGATATTTCTTTTTTCAACATAGGCCTCAAAGCGCTCCAAACGTCCACTTCAAGGTAGTGCAGAAATAGTGTCTCAAACCTGGTATATAACAGGGAACATTCTACTCTGTGACTTGAATGAAAACATCACCAAGCAGTTTCTGAGAATGCTTCCGTCTAGATTTTATATGAAGATATTCCCGTTTCCAACGAAACCTTCAAAGCTATCCGAATATCCACCTGCAGATTCTACAAAAAGAGTGTTTCCAAAATGCCGTATCAAAACAAAGGTTCAACTCTGTTAGTTGAGAACACACATGGCAAATAAGTTTCTGAGAATGCTTCTGTCTAGTTTTTACTTGAAGATATTTCCTTTCTCACCATAGGCCTGAAAGCGCTTGAAACGTCAGCTTGCAGATACTACAGAAAGAGTGTTTCAAACCTGCTCTATGAAAGGGAATGTTCAGTTCTGTGACTTGAATGCAAACATCACAAAGAAGTTCCTGAGAATGCTTCTCTCTAGGTTTTATATGTAATCCCGTTTCCAACGAAATCCTCAAAGCTATCCAAATATCCACTTTCAGATTCCACAAAAAGAGTGTTTCAAAACTGCTCTGTAAAAAGAAAGGTTCATCTCTGTTAGTTGAATACACACATCACAAACAAGTTTCTGAGAATGCTTCTGTCTAGTTTTTATGGGAAGATATTTCGTTTTTCAACATAGGCCTCAAAGCGCTCCAAATGTCCACTTCCAGGTAGTACAGAAAGAGTGTTTCAAACCTGCTCTATAAAAGGGAATATTCAACTCTGTGACTTGAATGCAAACATCACAAAGCACTTTCTGAGAATGCTTCCGTCTAGATTTTATATGAAGATATTCCCGTTTCCAAGGAACTCTTCCTAGCTATCTAAATATCAACTTGCAGATTCTACTAAAGGAATGTTTCCAAAATGCTGTATCCACACAAAGGTTCAACTCTGTTAATTGAGGACATACAGCACAAAGAAGTTTGCTGAGAATGCTTCTGTCTAGTTTTTATTTGAAGTATATTTCCTTTCTCACCACAGGCCTGAAAGCGCTTAAAACGTCCGCTTGCAGATACTACAGAAAGAGTGTTTCAAACCTGCTCTATGAAAGGGAATGTTCAGTTCTGTGACTTGAATGCAAACATCACAAAGAAGTTCCTGAGAATGCTTCTCCCTAGATTTTATATGTAATCCCGTTTCCAACGAAATCCGCAAAGCTATCCAAATATCCACTTTCAGATTCCACAAAAAGAGTGTTTCAAAACTGCTCTGTAAAAAGAAAGGTTCATCTCTGTTAGTTGAATACACACATCACAAACAAGTTTCTGAGAATGCTTCTGTCTAGTTTTTATGGGAAGATATTACCTTTTTCATCATAGGCCTCAAAGCGCTGCAAATGTCCACTTCCAAATATTACAAAAAGAGTGTTTCAAACCTGCTGTATGAAGGGAAGTGTTCAACTCTATGAGTTGAATGCAAACATCACAGAGAAGTTTCTGAGAATGCTTCTGTCTTGATTTCATATGAAGATATTCCCGTTTCCAACGAAACCTTCAAAGCTATCCAAATATCCACTTGCAGATTCTACAAAAAGAGTGTTTCCAAAATGTTGTATCAAAAGAAAGGTTCAACTCTGTTAGTTGAGGACACACATCGCAAATAAGTTTCTGAGAATGCTTCTGTCTAGTTTTTATTTGAAGATATTTCCTTTCTCACCACAGGCCTGAAAGCGCTTAAAACGTCCGCTTGCAGATACTACAGAAAGAGTGTTTCAAACCTGCTCTATGAAAGGGAATGTTCAGTTCTGTGACGTGAATGCAAACATCACAAAGAAGTTCCTGAGAATGCTTCTCCCTAGATTTTATATGTAATCCCGTTTCCAACGAAATCCGCAAAGCTATCCAAATATCCACTTTCAGATTCCACAAAAAGAGTGTTTCAAAACTGCTCTGTAAAAAGAAAGGTTCATCTCTGTTAGTTGAATACACACATCACAAACAAGTTTCTGAGAATGCTTCTGTCTAGTTTTTATGGGAAGATATTACCTTTTTCATCATAGGCCTCAAAGCGCTGCAAATGTCCACTTCCAAATATTACAAAAAGAGTGTTTCAAGCCTGCTGTATGAAGGGAAGTGTTCAACTCTATGAGTTGAATGCAAACATCACAGAGAAGTTTCTGAGAATGCTTCTGTCTTGATTTTATATGAAGATATTCCCGTTTCCAACGAAACCTTCAAAGCTATTCAAATATCCACTTGCAGATTCTACAAAAAGAGTGTTTCCAAAATGTTGTATCAAAAGAAAGGTTCAACTCTGTTAGTTGAGGACACACATCGCAAATAAGTTTCTGAGAATGCTTCTGTCTAGTTTTTACTTGAAGATATTTCCTTTCTCACCATAGGCCTGAAAGCGTTTGAAATGTCCGTTTGCAGATACTACAGAAAGAGCGTTTCAAACATGCTCTATGAAAGGGAATGTTCAGTTCTGTGACGTGAATGCAAACATCACAAAGAAGTTCCTGAGAATGCTTCTCTCTAGATTTTATATGTAATCCCGTTTCCAACGAAATCCTCAAAGCTATCCAAATATCCACTTTCAGATTCCACAAAAAGAGTGTTTCAAAACTGCTCTGTAAAAAGAAAGGTTCATCTCTGTTAGTTGAATACACACATCACAAACAAGTTTCTGAGAATGCTTCTGTCTAGTTTTTATGGGAAGATATTTCCTTTTTCAACATAGGCCTCAAAGCGCTAAAAACGTCCACTTCCGGGTAGTGCAGAAAGAGTGTCTCAAACCTGGTATATAACAGGGAACATTCTACTCTGTGACTTGAATGAAAACATCACAAAGCAGTTTCTGAGAATGCTTCCGTCTAGATTTTATATGAAGATATTCCCGTTTCCAACGAAACCTTCAAAGCTATCCGAATATCCACCTGCAGATTCTACAAAAAGAGTGTTTCCAAAATGCCGTATCAAAACAAAGGTTCAACTCTGTTAGTTGAGAACACACATGGCAAATAAGTTTCTGAGAATGCTTCTGTCTAGTTTTTACTTGAAGATATTTCCTTTCTCACCATAGGCCTGAAAGCGCTTGAAACGTCAGCTTGCAGATACTACAGAAAGAGTGTTTCAAACCTGCTCTATGAAAGGGAATGTTCAGTCCTGTGACTTGAAGGCAAACATCACAAAGAAGTTCCTGAGAATGCTTCTCTCTAGGTTTTATATGTAATCCCGTTTCCAACGAAATCCTCAAAGCTATCCAAATATCCACTTTCAGATTCCACAAAAAGAGTGTTTCAAAACTGCTCTGTAAAAAGAAAGGTTCATCTCTGTTAGTTGAATACACACATCACAAACAAGTTTCTGAGAATGCTTCTGTCTAGTTTTTATGGGAAGATATTTCCTTTTTCAACATAGGCCTCAAAGCGTTCCAAATGTCCACTTCCAGGTAGTGCAGAAAGAGTGTTTCAGACCTGCTCTATAAAAGGGAATATTCAACTCTGTGACTTGAATGCAAACATCACAAAGCACTTTCTGAGAATGCTTCCGTCTAGATTTTATATGAAGATATTCCCGTTTCCAACGAAACCTTCAAAGCTATCCGAATATCCACCTGCAGATTCTACAAAAAGAGTGTTTCCAAAATGCCGTATCAAAACAAAGGTTCAATTCTGTTAGTTGAGAACACACATGGCAAATAAGTTTCTGAGAATGCTTCTGTCTAGTTTTTACTTGAAGATATTTCCTTTCTCACCATAGGCCTGAAAGCGCTTGAAACGTCCGCTTGCAGATACTACAGAAAGAGTGTTTCAAACATGCTCTATGAAAGGGAATGTTCAGTTCTGTGACTTGAATGCAAACATCACAAAGAAGTTCCTGAGAATGCTTCTCTCTAGATTTTATATGTAATCCCGTTTCCAACGAAATCCTCAAAGCTATCCAAATATCCACTTTCAGATTCCACAAAAAGAGTGTTTCAAAACTGCTCTGTAAAAAGAAAGGTTCATCTCTGTTAGTTGAATACACACATCACAAACAAGTTTCTGAGAATGCTTCTGTCTAGTTTTTATGGGAAGATATTTCCTTTTTCAACATAGGCCTCAAAGCGCTCCAAACGTCCACTTCCAGGTAGTGCAGAAAGAGTGTCTCAAACCTGGTGTATAACAGGGAACATTCTACTCTGTGACTTGAATGAAAACATCACAAAGCAGTTTCTGAGAATGCTTCCGTCTAGATTTTATATGAAGATATTCCCGTTTCCAACGAAACCTTCAAAGCTATCCGAATATCCACCTGCAGATTCTACAAAAAGAGTGTTTCCAAAATGCCGTATCAAAACAAAGGTTCAACTCTGTTAGTTGAGAACACACATGGCAAATAAGTTTCTGAGAATGCTTCTGTCTAGTTTTTACTTGAAGATATTTCCTTTCTCACCATAGGCCTGAAAGCGCTTGAAACGTCAGCTTGCAGATACTACAGAAAGAGTGTTTCAAACCTGCTCTATGAAAGGGAATGTTCAGTCCTGTGACTTGAAGGCAAACATCACAAAGAAGTTCCTGAGAATGCTTCTCTCCAGATTTTCTATGTAATCCCGTTTCCAACGAAATCCTCAAAGCTCTCCAAATATCCACTTTCAGATTCCACAAAAAGAGTGTTTCAAAACTGCTCTGTAAAAAGAAAGGTTCATCTCTGTTAGTTGAATACACACATCACAAACAAGTTTCTGAGAATGCATCTGTCTAGTTTTTATGGGAAGATATTTCCTTTTTCATCATAGGCCTCAAAGCGCTACAAATGTCCACTTCCAGGTAGTGCAGAAAGAGTGTCTCAAACCTGCTCTATAAAAGGGAACATTCTACTCTGTGACTTGAATGAAAACATCACAAAGCAGTTTCTGAGAATGCTTCCGTCTAGCATTTTATATGAAGATATTCCCGTTTCCAACGAAACCTTCAAAGCTATCCGAATATCCACCTGCAGATTCTACAAAAAGAGTGTTTCCAAAATGCCGTATCAAAACAAAGGTTCAACTCTGTTAGTTGAGAACACACATGGCAAATAAGTTTCTGAGAATGCTTCTGTCTAGTTTTTACTTGAAGATATTTCCTTTCTCACCATAGGCCTGAAAGCGCTTGAAACGTCAGCTTGCAGATACTACAGAAAGAGTGTTTCAAACCTGCTCTATGAAAGGGAATGTTCAGTCCTGTGACTAGAAGGCAAACATCACAAAGAAGTTCCTGAGAATGCTTCTCTCTAGGTTTTATATGTAATCCCGTTTCCAACGAAATCCTCAAAGCTATCCAAATATCCACTTTCAGATTCCACAAAAAGAGTGTTTCAAAACTGCTCTGTAAAAAGAAAGGTTCATCTCTGTTAGTTGAATACACACATCACAAACAAGTTTCTGAGAATGCTTCTGTCTAGTTTTTATGGGAAGATATTTCCTTTTTCAACATAGGCCTCAAAGCGCTCCAAATGTCCACTTCCAGGTAGTGCAGAAAGAGTGTTTCAAACCTGCTCTATAAAAGGGAATACTCAACTCTGTGACTTGAATGCAAACATCACAAAGCACTTTCTGAGAATGCTTCCGTCTAGATTTTATATGAAGATATTCCCGTTTCCAACGAAACCTTCAAAGCTATCCGAATATCCACCTGCAGATTCTACAAAAAGAGTGTTTCCAAAATGCCGTATCCAAACAAAGGTTCAACTCTGTTAGTTGAGAACACACATGGCAAATAAGTTTCTGAGAATGCTTCTGTCTAGTTTTTACTTGAAGATATTTCCTTTCTCACCATAGGCCTGAAAGTGCTTGAAACGTCCGCTTGCAGATACTACAGAAAGAGTGTTTCAAACCTGCTCTATGAAAGGGAATGTTCAGTTCTGTGACTTGAATGCAAACATCACAAAGAAGTTCCTGAGAATGCTTCTCCCTAGATTTTATATGTAATCCCGTTTCCAACGAAATCCCCAAAGCTATCCAAATATCCACTTTCAGATTCCACAAAAAGAGTGTTTCAAAACTGCTCTGTAAAAAGAAAGGTTCATCTCTGTTAGTTGAATACACACATCTCAAACAAGTTTCTGAGAATGCTTCTGTCTGGTTTTTAGGAGAAGATATTTCCTTTTTCAACATAGGCCTCAAAGCGCTGCAAATGTCCACTTCCAAATATTAGAAAAAGAGTGTTTCAAACCTGCTGTATGAAGGGAAGTGTTCAACTCTATGAGTTGAATGCAAACATCGCAGAGAAGTTTCTGAGAATGCTTCTGTCTTGATTTCATATGAAGATATTCCCGTTTCCAACGAAACCTTCAAAGCTATCCAAATATCCACTTGCAGATTCTACAAAAAGAGTGTTTCCAAAATGTTGTATCAAAAGAAAGGTTCAACTCTGTTAGTTCAGGACACACATCGCAAATAAGTTTCTGAGAATGCTTCTGTCTAGTTTTTATTTGAAGATATTTCCTTTCTCACCACAGGCCTGAAAGCGCTTAAAACGTCCGCTTGCAGATACTACAGAAAGAGTGTTTCAAACCTGATCTATGAAAGGGAATGTTCAGTTCTGTGACTTGAATGCAAACATCACAAAGAAGTTCCTGAGAATGCTTCTCCCTAGATTTTATATGTAATCCCGTTTCCAACGAAATCCGCAAAGCTATCCAAATATCCACTTTCAGATTCCACAAAAAGAGTGTTTCAAAACTGCTCTGTAAAAAGAAAGGTTCATCTCTGTTAGTTGAATACACACATCTCAAACAAGTTTCTGAGAATGCTTCTGTCTAGTTTTTATGGGAAGATATTACCTTTTTCATCATAGGCCTCAAAGCGCTGCAAATGTCCACTTCCAAATATTACAAAAAGAGTGTTTCAAACCTGCTGTATGAAGGGAAGTGTTCAACTCTATGAGTTGAATGCAAACATCACCGAGAAGTTTCTGAGAATGCTTCCGTCTAGATTTTATATGAAGATATTCCCGTTTCCAAGGAAACTCTTCCTAGCTATCTAAATATCAACTTGCAGATTCTACTAAAGGAATGTTTCCAAAATGCTGTATCCACACAAAGGTTCAACTCTGTTAATTGAGGACATACAGCACAAAGAAGTTTCTGAGAATGCTTCTGTCTAGATTTTATATGAAGATATCCCGTGTCCAACGAAATCCTCAAAGGTATCAAAATATCCACTTGCAGATTCTACAAAAAGAGTGCTTCAAAACTGTTCTGTCAAAAGGAAGGTTCAACTCTGTTACTTGAGTACACACATCACAAGGAAGTTTCTGAGAATGCTTCCTGTCTGGTTTTTAGGAGAAGATATTTCCTTTTTCAACATAGGCCTCAAAGCGCTGCAAATGTCCACTTCCAAATATTAGAAAAAGAGTGTTTCAAACCTGCTGTATGAAGGGAAGTGTTCAACTCTATGAGTTGAATGCAAACATCACAGAGAAGTTTCTGAGAATGCTTCTGTCTTGATTTTATATGAAGATATTCCCGTTTCCAACGAAACCTTCAAAGCTATCCAAATATCCACTTACAGATTCTACAAAAAGAGTGTTTCCGAAATGTTGTATCCAAACAAAGGTTCAACTCTTTTAGTTGAGAACACACATCGCAAATAAGTTTCTGAGAATGCTTCTGTCTAGTTTTTATTTGAAGATATTTCCTTTTTCACCACAGGCCTGAAAGCGCTTCAAACGTCCGCTTGCAAATACTACAGAAAGAGTGTTTCAAACCTGCTCTATGAAAGGGAATGTTCAGTTCTGTGACTTTAATGCAAACATCACAAAGAAGTTCCTGAGAATGCTTCTGTCTAGATTTTATATGAAGATATCCCGTGTCCAACGAAATCCTCAAAGGTATCAAAATATCCACTTGCAGATTCTACAAAAAGAGTGCTTCAAAACTGCTCTGTCAAAAGGAAGGTTCAACTCTGTTACTTGAGTACACACATCACAAGGAAGTTTCTGAGAATGCTTCTGTCTGGTTTTTAGGAGAAGATATTTCCTTTTTCAACATCGGCCTCAAAGCGCTGCAAATGTCCACTTCCAAATATTAGAAAAAGAGTGTTTCAAACCTGCTGTATGAAGGGAAGTGTTCAACTCTATGAGTTGAATGCAAACATCACAGAGAAGTTTCTGAGAATGCTTCTGTCTTGATTTCATATGAAGATATTCCCGTTTCCAACGAAACCTTCAAAGCTATCCAAATATCCACTTGCAGATTCTACAAAAAGAGTGTTTCCAAAATGTTGTATCAAAAGAAAGGTTCAACTCTGTTAGTTGAGGACACACATCGCAAATAAGTTTCTGAGAATGCTTCTGTCTAGTTTTTATTTGAAGATATTTCCTTTCTCACCACAGGCCTGAAAGCGCTTAAAACGTCCGCTTGCAGATACTACAGAAAGAGTGTTTCAAACATGCTCTATGAAAGGGAATGTTCAGTTCTGTGACTTGAATGCAAACATCACAAAGAAGTTCCTGAGAATGCTTCTCCCTAGATTTTATATGTAATCCCGTTTCCAACGAAATCCGCAAAGCTATCCAAATATCCACTTTCAGATTCCACAAAAAGAGTGTTTCAAAACTGCTCTGTAAAAAGAAAGGTTCATCTCTGTTAGTTGAGTACACACATCACAAACAAGTTTCTGAGAATGCTTCTGTCTAGTTTTTATGGGAAGATATTACCTTTTTCATCATAGGCTTCAAAGCGCTGCAAAAGTCCACTTCCAAATATTAGAAAAAGAGTGTTTCAAACCTGCTGTATGAAGGGAAGTGTTCAACTCTATGAGTTGAATGCAAACATCACAGAGAAGTTTCTGAGAATGCTTCTGTCTTGATTTTATATGAAGATATTCCCGTTTCCAACGAAACCTTCAAAGCTATCCAAATATCCACTTGCAGATTCCACAAAAAGAGTGTTTCCAAAATGTTGTATCAAAAGAAAGGTTCAACTCTGTTAGTTGAGGACACACATCGCAAATAAGTTTCTGAGAATGCTTCTGTCTGGTTTTTAGGAGAAGATATCTCCTTTTTCACCATAGGCTTCAAAGCGCTGCCAATGTCCACTTCCAAATATTACAAAAAGAGTATTTCAAACCAGCTCTATGAAAGGAAGTGTTCAACTCTATGAGTTGAATGCAAACATCACAGAGAAGTTTCTGAGAATGCTTCTGTGTTGATTTTATATGAAGATATTCCCGTTTCCAACGAAACCTTCAAACCTATCCAAATATCCACCTGCAGATCCTACAAAAAGAGTGTTTCCAAAATGCTGTATCAAAACAAAGGTTCAACTCTGTTAGTTGAGAACACACATCGCAAATAAGTTTCTGAGAATGCTTCTGTCTAGTTTTTATTTGAAGATATTTCCTTTTTCACCACAGGCCTGAAAGCGCTTGAAACGTCCGCTTGCAGATACTACAGAAAGAGTGTTTCAAACCTGCTCTATGAAAGGGAATGTTCAGTTCTGTGACTTGAATGCAAACATCACAAAGGAGTTCCTGAGAATGCATCTCCCTAGATTTTATATGTAATCCCGTTTCCAACGAAATCCGCAAAGCTATCCAAATATCCACTTTCAGATTCCACAAAAAGAGTGTTTCAAAACTGCTCTGTAAAAAGAAAGGTTCATCTCTGTTAGTTGAATACACACATCACAAACAAGTTTCTGAGAATGCTTCTGTCTGGTTTTTAGGAGAAGATATTTCCTTTTTCAACATAGGCCTCAAAGCGCTGCAAATGTCCACTTCCAAATATTAGAAAAAGAGTGTTTCAAACCTGCTGTATGAAGGGAAGTGTTCAACTCTATGAGTTGAATGCAAACATCACAGAGAAGTTTCTGAGAATGCTTCTGTCTTGATTTCATATGAAGATATTCCCGTTTCCAACGAAACCTTCAAAGCTATCCAAATATCCACTTGCAGATTCTACAAAAAGAGTGTTTCCAAAATGTTGTATCAAAAGAAAGGTTCAACTCTGTTAGTTGAGGACACACATCGCAAATAAGTTTCTGAGAATGCTTCTGTCTAGTTTTTATTTGAAGATATTTCCTTTCTCACCACAGGCCTGAAAGCGCTTAAAACGTCCGCTTGCAGATACTACAGAAAGAGTGTTTCAAACCTGCTCTATGAAAGGGAATGTTCAGTTCTGTGACTTGAATGCAAACATCACAAAGAAGTTCCTGAGAATGCTTCTCCCTAGATTTTATATGTAATCCCGTTTCCAACGAAATCCGCAAAGCTATCCAAATATCCACTTTCAGATTCCACAAAAAGAATGTTTCAAAACTGCTCTGTAAAAAGAAAGGTTCATCTCTGTTAGTTGAATACACACATCACAAACAAGTTTCTGAGAATGCTTCTGTCTAGTTTTTATGGGAAGATATTTCCTTTTTCATCATAGGCCTCAAAGCGCTCCAAATGTCCACTTCCAGGTAGTGCAGAAAGAGTGTCTCAAACCTGCTCTATAAAAGGGAACATTCTACTCTGTGACTTGAATGAAAACATCACAAAGCAGTTTCTGAGAATGCTTCCGTCTAGATTTAATATGAAGATATTCCCGTTTCCAACGAAACCTTCAAAACTATCCGAATATCCACCTGCAGATTCTACAAAAAGAGTGTTTCCAAAATGCCGTATCAAAACAAAGGTTCAACTCTGTTAGTTGAGAACACACATGGCAAATAACTTTCTGAGAATGCTTCTGTCTAGTTTTTACTTGAAGATATTTCCTTTCTCACCATAGGCCTGAAAGCGCTTGAAACGTCAGCTTGCAGATACTACAGAAAGAGTGTTTCAAACCTGCTCTATGAAAGGGAATGTTCAGTTCTGTGACTTGAATGCAAACATCACAAAGAAGTTCCTGAGAATGCTTCTCCCTAGATTTTATATGTAATCCCGTTTCCAACGAAATCCTCAAAGCTATCCAAATATCCACTTTCAGATTCCACAAAAAGAGTGTTTCAAAACTGCTCTGTAAAAAGAAAGGTTCATCTCTGTTAGTTGAATACACACATCACAAACAAGTTTCTGAGAATGCTTCTGTCTAGTTTTTATGGGAAGATATTTCCTTTTTCAACATAGGCCTCAAAGCGCTCCAAATGTCCACTTCCAGGTAGTGCAGAAAGAGTGTCTCAAACCTGGTATATAACAGGGAACATTCTACTCTGGGACTTGAATGAAAACATCACAATGCAGCTTCAGAGAAGGCTTCTGTCTTGATTTTATATGAAGATATTCCCGTTTCCAACGAAACCTTCAAAGCTATCCAAATATCCACTTGCAGATTCCACAAAAAGAGTGTTTCCAAAATGTTGTATCAAAAGAAAGGTTCAACTCTGTTAGTTGAGGACACACATCGCAAATAAGTTTCTGAGAATGCTTCTGTCTAGTTTTTATTTGAAGATATTTCCTTTCTCACCATAGGCCTGGAAGCGTTTGAAATGTCCGTTTGTAGATACTACAGAAAGAGTGTTTCAAACATGCTCTATGAAAGGGAATGTTCAGTTCTGTGACGTGAATGCAAACATCACAAAGAAGTTCCTGAGAATGCTTCTCTCTAGATTTTATATGTAATCCCGTTTCCAACGAAATCCTCAAAGCTATCCAAATATCCACTTTCAGATTCCACAAAAAGAGTGTTTCAAAACTGCTCTGTAAAAAGAAAGGTTCATCTCTGTTAGTTGAATACACACATCACAAACAAGTTTCTGAGAATGCTTCTGTCTAGTTTTTATGGGAAGATATTTCCTTTTTCATCATAGGCCTCAAAGCGCTCCAAATGTCCACTTCCAGATAGTGCAGAAAGAGTGTCTCAAACCTGGTATATAAAAGGGAACATTCTACTCTGTGACTTGAATGAAAACATCACAAAGCAGTTTCTGAGAATGCTTCCGTCTAGATTTTATATGAAGATATTCCCGTTTCCAACGAAACCTTCAAAGCTATCCGAATATCCACCTGCAGATTCTACAAAAAGAGTGTTTCCAAAATGCCGTATCAAAACAAAGGTTCAACTCTGTTAGTTGAGAACACACATGGCAAATAAGTTTCTGAGAATGCTTCTGTCTAGTTTTTACTTGAAGATATTTCCTTTCTCACCATAGGCCTGAAAGCGCTTGAAACGTCCGCTTGCAGATACTACAGAAAGAGTGTTTCAAACATGCTCTATGAAAGGGAATGTTCAGTTCTGTGACGTGAATGCAAACAACACAAAGAAGTTCCTGAGAATGCTTCTCTCTAGATTTTCTATGTAATCCCGTTTCCAACGAAATCCTCAAAGCTATCCAAATATCCACTTTCAGATTCCACAAAAAGAGTGTTTCAAAACTGCTCTGTAAAAAGAAAGGTTCATCTCTGTTAGTTGAATACACACATCACAAACAAGTTTCTGAGAATGCTTCTGTCTAGTTATTATGGGAAGTTATTTCCTTTTTCAACATAGGCCTCAAAGCGCTCCAAACGTCCACTTCCAGGTAGTGCAGAAAGAGTGTCTCAAACCTGGTATATAACAGGGAACATTCTACTCTGTGACTTGAATGAAAACATCACAAAGCAGTTTCTGAGAATGCTTCTGTCTTGATTTTATATGAAGATATTCCCGTTTCCAACGAAACCTTCAAAGCTATCCGAATATCCACCTGCAGATTCTACAAAAAGAGTGTTTCCAAAATGCTGTATCAAAACAAAGGTTCAACTCTGTTAGTTGAGAACACACATGGCAAATATGTTTCTGAGAATGCTTCTGTCTAGTTTTTACTTGAAGATATTTCCTTTCTCACCATAGGCCTGAAAGCTCTTGAAACGTCAGCTTGCAGATACTACAGAAAGAGTGTTTCAAACCTGCTCTATGAAAGGGAATGTTCAGTTCTGTGACTTGAATGCAAACATCACAAAGAAGTTCCTGAGAATGCTTCTCTCTAGGTTTTATATGTAATCCCGTTTCCAACGAAATCCTCAAAGCTATCCAAATATCCACTTTCAGATTCCACAAAAAGAGTGTTTCAAAACTGCTCTGTAAAAAGAAAGGTTCATCTCTGTTAGTTGAATACACACATCACAAACAAGTTTCTGAGAATGCTTCTGTCTGGTTTTTAGGAGAAGATATTTCCTTTTTCAACATAGGCCTCAAAGCGCTGCAAATGTCCACTTCCAAATATTAGAAAAAGAGTGTTTCAAACCTGCTGTATGAAGGGAAGTGTTCAACTCTATGAGTTGAATGCAAACATCACAGAGAAGTTTCTGAGAATGCTTCTGTCTTGATTTCATATGAAGATATTCCCGTTTCCAACGAAACCTTCAAAGCTATCCAAATATCCACTTGCAGATTCTACAAAAAGAGTGTTTCCAAAATGTTGTATCAAAAGAAAGGTTCAACTCTGTTAGTTGAGGACACACATCGCAAATAAGTTTCTGAGAATGCTTCTGTCTAGTTTTTATTTGAAGATATTTCCTTTCTCACCACAGGCCTGAAAGCGCTTAAAACGTCCGCTTGCAGATACTACAGAAAGAGTGTTTCAAACCTGCTCTATGAAAGGGAATGTTCAGTTCTGTGACTTGAATGCAAACATCACAAAGAAGTTCCTGAGAATGCTTCTCCCTAGATTTTATATGTAATCCGGTTTCCAACGAAATCCGCAAAGCTATCCAAATATCCACTTTCAGATTCCACAAAAAGAGTGTTTCAAAACTGCTCTGTAAAAAGAAAGGTTCATCTCTGTTAGTTGAATACACACATCACAAACAAGTTTCTGAGAACGCTTCTGTCTAGTTTTTATGGGAAGATATTACCTTTTCATCATAGGCCTCAAAGCGCTGCAAATGTCCACTTCCAAATATTACAAAAAGAGTGTTTCAAACCTGCTGTATGAAGGGAAGTGTTCAACTCTATGAGTTGAATGCAAACATCACAGAGAAGTTTCTGAGAATGCTTCTGTCTTGATTTTATATGAAGATATTCCCGTTTCCAACGAAACCTTCAAAGCTATTCAAATATCCACTTGCAGATTCTACAAAAAGAGTGTTTCCAAAATGTTGTATCAAAAGAAAGGTTCAACTCTGTTAGTTGAGGACACACATCGCAAATAAGTTTCTGAGAATGCTTCTGTCTAGTTTTTACTTGAAGATATTTCCTTTCTCACCATAGGCCTGAAAGCGTTTGAAATGTCCGTTTGCAGATACTACAGAAAGAGTGTTTCAAACATGCTCTATGAAAGGGAATGTTCAGTTCTGTGACGTGAATGCAAACATCACAAAGAAGTTCCTGAGAATGCTTCTGTCTAGATTTTATATGAAGATATCCCGTGTCCAACGAAATCCTCAAAGGTATCAAAATATCCACTTGCAGATTCTACAAAAAGAGTGCTTCAAAACTGCTCTGTCAAAAGGAAGGTTCAACTCTGTTACTTGAGTACACACATCACAAGGAAGTTTCTGAGAATGCTTCTGTCTAGTTTTTATGGGAAGATATTTCCTTTTTCATCATAGGCCTCAAAGCGCTCCAAATGTCCACTTCCAGATAGCGCAGAAAGAGTGTCTCAAACGTGGTATATAAAAGGGAACATTCTACTCTCTGACTTCAATGGAAACATCACAAAGCAGTTTCTGAGAATGCTTCCGTCTAGATTTTATATGAAGATATTCCCGTTTCCAACGAAACCTTCAAAGCTGTCCGAATATCCACCTGCAGATTCTACAAAAAGAGTGTTTCCAAAATGCCGTATCAAAACAAAGGTTCAACTCTGTTAGTTGAGAACACACATGGCAAATAAGTTTCTGAGAATGCTTCTGTCTAGTTTTTACTTGAAGATATTTCCTTTCTCACCATAGGCCTGAAAGCGCTTGAAACGTCCGCTTGCAGATACTACAGAAAGAGTGTTTCAAACATGCTCTATGACAGGGAATGTTAAGTTCTGTGACTTGAATGCAAACATCACAAAGAAGTTCCTGAGAATGCTTCTCTCTAGATTTTATATGTAATCCCGTTTCCAACGAAATCCTCAAAGCTATCCAAATATCCACTTTCAGATTCCACAAAAAGAGTGTTTCAAAACTGCTCTGTAAAAAGAAAGGTTCATCTCTGTTAGTTGAATACACACATCACAAACAAGTTTCTGAGAATGCTTCCTGTCTAGTTTTTATGGGAAGATATTTCCTTTTTCATCATAGGCCTCAAAGCGCTGCAAATGTCCACTTCCAAATATTACAAAAAGAGTGTTTCAAACCTGCTGTATGAAGGGAAGTGTTCAACTCTATGAGTTGAATGCAAACATCACAGAGAAGTTTCTGAGAATGCTTCTGTCTTGATTTTATATGAAGATATTCCCGTTTCCAACGAAACCTTCAAAGCTATCCAAATATCCACTTGCAGATTCCACAAAAAGAGTGTTTCCAAAATGTTGTATCAAAAGAAAGGTTCAACTCTGTTAGTTGAGGACACACATCACAAATAAGTTTCTGAGAATGCTTCTGTCTAGTTTTTATTTGAAGATATTTCCTTTCTCACCATAGGCCTGAAAGCGTTTGAGATGTCCGTTTGCAGATACTACAGAAAGAGTGTTTCAAACATGCTCTATGAAAGGGAATGTTCAGTTCTGTGACGTGAATGCAAACATCACAAAGAAGTTCCTGAGAATGCTTCTGTCTTGATTTTATATGAAGATATTCCCGTTTCCAACGAAACCTTCAAAGCTATCCGAATATCCACTTGCAGATTCTACTAAAAGAGTGTTTCCAAAATGTTGTATCAAAACAAAGGTTCAACTCTGTTAGTTGAGGACACACATCGCAAATAAGTTTCTGAGAATGCTTCTGTCTAGTTTTTATTTGAAGATATTTCCTTTCTTACCATAGGCCTGAAAGCGCTTGAAATGTCCGTTTGCAGATACTACAGAAAGAGTGTTTCAAACATGCTCTATGAAAGGGAATGTTCAGTTCTGTGACGTGAATGCAAACATCACAAAGAAGTTCCTGAGAATGCTTCTCTCTAGATTTTATACGTAATCCCGTTTCAACGAAATCCTCAAAGCTATCCAAATATCCACTTTCAGATTCCACAAAAAGAGTGTTTCAAAACTGCTCTGTAAAAAGAAAGGTTCATCTCTGTTAGTTGAATACACACATCACAAACAAGTTTCTGAGAATGCTTCTGTCTAGTTTTTATGGGAAGATATTTCCTTTTTCATCATAGGCCTCAAAGCGCTCCAAATGTCCACTTCCAGATAGTGCAGAAAGAGTGTCTCAAACCTGGTATATAAAAGGGAACATTCTACTCTGTGACTTCAATGAAAACATCACAAAGCAGTTTCTGAGAATGCTTCCGTCTAGATTTTCTATGAAGATATTCCCGTTTCCAACGAAACCTTCAAAGCTATCCGAATATCCACCTGCAGATTCTACAAAAAGAGTGTTTCCAAAATGCCGTATCAAAACAAAGGTTCAACTCTGTTAGTTGAGAACACACATGGCAAATAAGTTTCTGAGAATGCTTCTGTCTAGTTTTTACTTGAAGATATTTCCTTTCTCACCATAGGCCTGAAAGCGCTTGAAACGTCCGCTTGCAGATACTACAGAAAGAGTGTTTCAAACATGCTCTATGAAAGGGAATGTTCAGTTCTGTGACGTGAATGCAAACATCACAAAGAAGTTCCTGAGAATGCTTCTCTCTAGGTTTTATATGTAATCCCGTTTCCAACGAAATCCTCAAAGCTATCCAAATATCCACTTTCAGATTCCACAAAAAGAGTGTTTCAAAACTGCTCTGTAAAAAGAAAGGTTCATCTCTGTTAGTTGAATACACACATCACAAACAAGTTTCTGAGAATGCTTCTGTCTAGTTTTCATGGGAAGATATTTCCTTTTTCATCATAGGCCTCAAAGCGCTGCAAATGTCCACTTCCAGGTAGTGCAGAAAGAGTGTCTGAAACCTGGTATATAACAGGGAAGATTCTACTCTGTGACTTGAATGAAAACATCACAAAGCAGTTTCTGAGAATGCTTCCGTCAAGATTTTATATGAAGATATTCCCGTTTCCAACGAAACCTTCAAAGCTATCCGAATATCCACCTGCAGATTCTACAAAAAGAGTGTTTCCAAAATGCCGTATCAAAACAAAGGTTCAACTCTGTTAGTTGAGAACACACATGGCAAATAAGTTTCTGAGAATGCTTCTGTCTAGTTTTTACTTGAAGATATTTCCTTTCTCACCATAGGCCTGAAAGCGCTTGAAACGTCAGCTTGCAGATACTACAGAAAGAGTGTTTCAAACCTGCTCTATGAAAGGGAATGTTCAGTCCTGTGACTTGAAGGCAAACATCACAAAGAAGTTCCTGAGAATGCTTCTCTCTAGATTTTATATGTAATCCCGTTTCCAACGAAATCCTCGAAGCTATCCAAATATCCACTTTCAGATTCCACAAAAAGAGTGTTTCAAAACTGCTCTGTAAAAAGAAAGGTTCATCTCTGTTAGTTGAATACACACATCACAAACAAGTTTCTGAGAATGCATCTGTCTGGTTTTTAGGAGAAGATATTTCCTTTTTCAACATAGGCCTCAAAGCGCTGCAAATGTCCACTTCCAAATATTAGAAAAAGAGTGTTTCAAACCTGCTGTATGAAGGGAAGTGTTCAACTCTATGAGTTGAATGCAAACATCACAGAGAAGTTTCTGAGAATGCTTCTCTCTTGATTTTATATGAAGATATTCCCGTTTCCAATGAAACCTTCAAAGCTATCCAAATATCCACTTGCAGATTCTACAAAAAGAGTGTTTCCAAAGTGCTGTATCCAAACAAAGGTTCAACTCTTTTAGTTGAGAACACACATCGCAAATAAGTTTCTGAGAATGCTTCTGTCTGGTTTTTAGGAGAAGATATTTCCTTTTTCAACATAGGCCTCAAAGCGCTGCAAATGTCCACTTCCAAATATTACAAAAAGAGTGTTTCAAACCTGCTCTATGAAGGGAAGTGTTCACCTCTATGAGTTGAATGCAAACATCACAGAGAAGTTTCTGAGAATGCTTCTGTCTTGATTTTATATGAAGATATTCCCGTTTCCAACGAAACCTTCAAAGCTATCCAAATATCCACTTGCAGATTCTACAAAAAGAGTGTTTCCAAAATGTTGTATCAAAACAAAGGTTCAACTCTGTTATTTGAGGACACACATCGCAAATAAGTTTCTGAGAATGCTTCTGTCTAGTTTTTATTTGAATATATTTCCTTTCTTACCATAGGCCTGAAAGCGCTTGAAATGTCCGTTTGCAGATACTACAGAAGGAGTGTTTCAAACATGCTCTATGAAAGGGAATGTTCAGTTCTGTGACGTGAATGCAAACATCACAAAGAAGTTCCTGAGAATGCTTCTCTCTAGATTTTATATGTAATCCCGTTTCCAACGAAATCCTCAAAGCTATCCAAATATCCACTTTCAGATTCCACAAAAAGAGTGTTTCAAAACTGCTCTGTAAAAAGAAAGGTTCATCTCTGTTAGTTGAATACACACATCACAAACAAGTTTCTGAGAATGCTTCTGTCTAGTTTTTATGGGAAGATATTACCTTTTTCATCATAGGCCTCAAAGCGCTGCAAATGTCCACTTCCAAATATTACAAAAAGAGTGTTTCAAACCTGCTGTATGAAGGGAAGCGTTCAACTCTATGAGTTGAATGCAAACATCACAGAGAAGTTTCTGAGAATGCTTCTGTCTTGATTTTATATGAAGATATTCCCGTTTCCAACGAAACCTTCAAAGCTATTCAAATATCCACTTGCAGATTCTACAAAAAGAGTGTTTCCAAAATGTTGTATCAAAAGAAAGCTTCAACTCTGTTAGTTGAGGACACACATCGCAAATAAGTTTCTGAGAATGCTTCTGTCTAGTTTTTATTTGAAGATATTTCCTTTCTCACCATAGGCCTGAAAGCGTTTGAAATGTCCGTTTGCAGATACTACAGAAAGAGTGTTTCAAACATGCTCTATGAAAGGGAATGTTCAGTTCTGTGACGTGAATGCAAACATCACAAAGAAGTTCCTGAGAATGCTTCTCTCTAGATTTTATATGTAATCCCGTTTCCAACGAAATCCTCAAAGCTATCCAAATATCCACTTTCAGATTCCACAAAAAGAGTGTTTCAAAACTGCTCTGTAAAAAGAAAGGTTCATCTCTGTTAGTTGAATACACACATCACAAACAAGTTTCTGAGAATGCTTCTGTCTAGTTTTTATGGGAAGATATTTCCTTTTTCATCATAGGCCTCAAAGCGCTGCAAATGTCCACTTCCAGGTAGTGCAGAAAGAGTGTCTGAAACCTGGTATATAACAGGGAAGATTCTACTCTGTGACTTGAATGAAAACATCACAAAGCAGTTTCTGAGAATGCTTCCGTCAAGATTTTATATGAAGATATTCCCGTTTCCAACGAAACCTTCAAAGCTATCCGAATATTCACCTGCAGATTCTACAAAAAGAGTGTTTCCAAAATGCCGTATCAAAACAAAGGTTCAACTCTGTTAGTTGAGAACACACATGGCAAATAAGTTTCTGAGAATGCTTCTGTCTAGTTTTTACTTGAAGATATTTCCTTTCTCACCATAGGCCTGAAAGCGCTTGAAACGTCAGCTTGCAGATACTACAGAAAGAGTGTTTCAAACCTGCTCTATGAAAGGGAATGTTCAGTCCTGTGACTTGAAGGCAAACATCACAAAGAAGTTCCTGAGAATGCTTCTCTCTAGGTTTTATATGTAATCCCGTTTCCAACGAAATCCTCAAAGCTATCCAAATATCCACTTTCAGATTCCACAAAAAGAGTGTTTCAAAACTGCTCTGTAAAAAGAAAGGTTCATCTCTGTTAGTTGAATACACACATCACAAACAAGTTTCTGAGAATGCTTCTGTCTAGTTTTTATGGGAAGATATTTCCTTTTTCAACATAGGCCTCAAAGCGCTCCAAATGTCCACTTCCAGGTAGTGCAGAAAGAGTGTTTCAATCCTGCTCTATAAAAGGGAATATTCAACTCTGTGACTTGAATGCAAACATCACAAAGCACTTTCTGAGAATGCTTCCGTCTAGATTTTATATGAAGATATTCCCGTTTCCAAGGAAATCTTCCTAGCTATCTAAATATCAACTTGCATATCCTACTAAAGGAGTGTTTCCAAAATGCTGTATCCACACAAAGGTTCAACTCTGTTAATTGAGGACATACAGCACAAAGAAGTTTCTGAGAATGCTTCTGTCTAGATTTTATATGAAGATATCCCGTTTCCAAAGAAATCCTCAAAGGTGTCCAAATATCTACTTCCAGATTCTACAAAAAGACTGTTTCAAAACGGCTCTGTCAAAAGGAAGGTTCAACTGTGTTACTTGAGTACACACATCACAAGGAAGTTTCTGAGAATGCTTCTGTCTGGTTTTTAGGAGAAGATATTTCCTTTTTCAACATAGGCCTCAAAGCGCTGCAAATGTCCACTTCCAAATATTACAAAAAGAGTGTTTCAAACCTGCTCTATGAAGGGAAGTGTTCACCTCTATGAGTTGAATGCAAACATCACAGAGAAGTTTCTGAGAATGCTTCTGTCTTGATTTTATATGAAGATATTCCCGTTTCCAACGAAACCTTCAAAGCTATCCAAATATCCACTTGCAGATTCTACAAAAAGAGTGTTTCCAAAATGTTGTATCAAAACAAAGGTTCAACTCTGTTAGTTGAGGACACACATCGCAAATAAGTTTCTGAGAATGCTTCTGTCTAGTTTTTATTTGAAGATATTTCTTTTCTTACCATAGGCCTGAAAGCGCTTGAAATGTCCGTTTGCAGATACTACAGAAAGAGTGTTTTAAACATGCTCTATGAAAGGGAATGTTCAGTTCTGTGACGTGAATGCAAACATCACAAAGAAGTTCCTGAGAATGCTTCTCTCTAGATTTTATATGTAATCCCGTTTCCAACGAAATCCTCAAAGCTATCCAAATATCCACTTTCAGATTCCACAAAAAGAGTGTTTCAAAACTGCTCTGTAAAAAGAAAGGTTCATCTCTGTTAGTTGAATACACACATCACAAACAAGTTTCTGAGAATGCTTCTGTCTAGTTTTTATGGGAAGATATTTCGTTTTTCAACATAGGCCTCAAAGCGCTCCAAACGTCCACTTCCGGGTAGTGCAGAAAGAGTGTCTCAAACCTGGTATATAACAGGGAACATTCTACTCTGTGACTTGAATGAAAACATCACAAAGCAGTTTCTGAGAATGCTTCCGTCTAGATTTTATATGAAGATATTCCCGTTTCCAACGAAACCTTCAAAGCTATCCGAATATCCACCTGCAGATTCTACAAAAAGAGTGTTTCCAAAATGCCGTATCAAAACAAAGGTTCAACTCTGTTAGTTGAGAACACACATGGCAAATAAGTTTCTGAGAATGCTTCTGTCTAGTTTTTACTTGAAGATATTTCCTTTCTCACCATAGGCCTGAAAGCGCTTGAAACGTCAGCTTGCAGATACTACAGAAAGAGTGTTTCAAACCTGCTCTATGAAAGGGAATGTTCAGTCCTGTGACTTGAAGGCAAACATCACAAAGAAGTTCCTGAGAATGCTTCTCTCTAGGTTTTATATGTAATCCCGTTTCCAACGAAATCCTCAAAGCTATCCAAATATCCACTTTCAGATTCCACAAAAAGAGTGTTTCAAAACTGCTCTGTAAAAAGAAAGGTTCATCTCTGTTAGTTGAATACACACATCACAAACAAGTTTCTGAGCAATGCTTCTGTCTAGTTTTTATGGGAAGATATTTCCTTTTTCATCATAGGCCTCAAAGCGCTGCAAATGTCCACTTCCAGGTAGTGCAGAAAGAGTGTCTGAAACCTGGTATATAACAGGGAAGATTCTACTCTGTGACTTGAATGAAAACATCACAAAGCAGTTTCTGAGAATGCTTCCGTCTAGATTTTATATGAAGATATTCCCGTTTCCAACGAAACCTTCAAAGCTATCCGAATATCCACCTGCAGATTCTACAAAAAGAGTGTTTCCAAAATGCCGTATCAAAACAAAGGTTCAACTCTGTTAGTTGAGAACACACATGGCAAATAAGTTTCTGAGAATGCTTCTGTCTAGTTTTTACTTGAAGATATTTCCTTTCTCACCATAGGCCTGAAAGCGCTTGAAACGTCAGCTTGCAGATACTACAGAAAGAGTGTTTCAAACCTGCTCTATGAAAGGGAATGTTCAGTCCTGTGACTTGAAGGCAAACATCACAAAGAAGTTCCTGAGAATGCTTCTCTCTAGGTTTTATATGTAATCCCGTTTCCAACGAAATCCTCAAAGCTATCCAAATATCCACTTTCAGATTCCACAAAAAGAGTGTTTCAAAACTGCTCTGTAAAAAGAAAGGTTCATCTCTGTTAGTTGAATACACACATCACAAACAAGTTTCTGAGAATGCTTCTGTCTAGTTTTTATGGGAAGATATTTCCTTTTTCATCATAGGCCTCAAAGCGCTGCAAATGTCCACTTCCAGGTAGTGCAGAAAGAGTGTCTCAAACCTGGTATATAACAGGGAACATTCTACTCTGTGACTTGAATGAAAACATCACAAAGCAGTTTCTGAGAATGCTTCTGTCTTGATTTTATATGAAGATATTCCCGTTTCCAAAGAAACCTTCAAAGCTATCCAAATATCCACTTGCAGATACTACAAAAAGAGTGTTTCCAAAATGTTGTATCAAAACAAAGGTTCAACTCTGTTAGTTGAGGACACACATCGCAAATAAGTTTCTGAGAATGCTTCTGTCTAGTTTTTATTTGAAGATATTTCCTTTCTCACCATAGGCCTGAAAGCGTTTGAAATGTCCGTTTGCAGATACTACAGAAAGAGTGTTTCAAACATGCTCTATGAAAGGGAATGTTCAGTTCTGTGACGTGAATGCAAACATCACAAAGAAGTTCCTGAGAATGCTTCTCTCTAGGTTTTATATGTAATCCCGTTTCCAACGAAATCCTCAAAGCTATCCAAATATCCACTTTCAGATTCCACAAAAAGAGTGTTTCAAAACTGCTCTGTAAAAAGAAAGGTTCATCTCTGTTAGTTGAATACACACATCACAAACAAGTTTCTGAGAATGCTTCTGTCTAGTTTTTATGGGAAGATATTTCCTTTTTCATCATAGGCCTCAAAGCGCTGCAAATGTCCACTTCCAAATATTACAAAAAGAGTGTTTCAAACCTGCTGTATGAAGGGAAGTGTTCAACTCTATGAGTTGAATGCAAACATCACAGAGAAGTTTCTGAGAATGCTTCTGTCTTGATTTTATATGAAGATATTCCCGTTTCCAACGAAACCTTCAAAGCTATTCAAATATCCACTTGCAGATTCTACAAAAAGAGTGTTTCCAAAATGTTGTATCAAAAGAAAGGTTCAACTCTGTTAGTTGAGGACACACATCGCAAATAAGTTTCTGAGAATGCTTCTGTCTAGTTTTTACTTGAAGATATTTCCTTTCTCACCATAGGCCTGAAAGCGCTTGAAACGTCAGCTTGCAGATACTACAGAAAGAGTGTTTCAAACCTGCTCTATGAAAGGGAATGTTCAGTTCTGTGACTTGAATGCAAACATCACAAAGAAGTTCCTGAGAATGCTTCTCTCCCTAGATTTTATATGTAATCCCGTTTCCAACGAAATCCGCAAAGCTATCCAAATATCCACTTTCAGATTCCACAAAAAGAGTGTTTCAAAACAGCTCTGTAAAAAGAAAGGTTCATCTCTGTTAGTTGAATACACACATCACAAACAATTTTCTGAGAATGCTTCTGTCTGGTTTTTAGGAGAAGATATTTCCTTTTTCAACATAGGCCTCAAAGCGCTGCAAATGTCCACTTCCAAATATTACAAAAAGAGTGTTTCAAACCTGCTGTATGAAGGGAAGTGTTCAACTCTATGAGTTGAATGCAAACATCACAGAGAAGTTTCTGAGAATGCTTCTGTCTTGATTTCATATGAAGATATTCCCGTTTCCAACGAAACCTTCAAAGCTATCCAAATATCCACTTGCAGATTCTACAAAAAGAGTGTTTCCAAAATGTTGTATCAAAAGAAAGGTTCAACTCTGTTAGTTGAGGACACACATCGCAAATAAGTTTCTGAGAATGCTTCTGTCTAGTTTTTATTTGAAGATATTTCCTTTCTCACCACAGGCCTGAAAGCGCTTAAAACGTCCGCTTGCAGATACTACAGAAAGAGTGTTTCAAACCTGCTCTATGAAAGGGAATGTTCAGTTCTGTGACTTGAATGCAAACATCACAAAGAAGTTCCTGATAATGCTTCTCCCTAGATTTTATATGTAATCCCGTTTCCAACGAAATCCGCAAAGCTATCCAAATATCCACTTTCAGATTCCACAAAAAGAGTGTTTCAAAACTGCTCTGTAAAAAGAAAGGTTCATCTCTGTTAGTTGAATACACACATCACAAACAAGTTTCTGAGAATGCTTCTGTCTAGTTTTTATGGGAAGATATTTCCTTTTTCATCATAGGCCTCAAAGCGCTGCAAATGTCCACTTCCAAATATTACAAAAAGAGTGTTTCAAACCTGCTGTATGAAGGGAAGTGTTCAACTCTATGAGTTGAATGCAAACATCACAGAGAAGTTTCTGAGAATGCTTCTGTCTTGATTTTATATGAAGATATTCCCGTTTCCAACGAAACCTTCAAAGCTATTCAAATATCCACTTGCAGATTCTACAAAAAGAGTGTTTCCAAAATGTTGTATCAAAAGAAAGGTTCAACTCTGTTAGTTGAGGACACACATCGCAAATAAGTTTCTGAGAATGCTTCTGTCTAGTTTTTATTTGAAGATATTTCCTTTCTCACCACAGGCCTGAAAGCGCTTAAAACGTCCGCTAGCAGATACTACAGAAAGAGTGTTTCAAACCTGCTCTATGAAAGGGAATGTTCAGTTCTGTGACTTGAATGCAAACATCACAAAGAAGTTCCTGAGAATGCTTCTCTCTAGATTTTATATGTAATCCCGTTTCCAACGAAATCCTCAAAGCTATCCAAATATCCACTTTCAGATTCCACAAAAAGAGTGTTTCAAAACTGCTCTGTAAAAAGAAAGGTTCATCTCTGTTAGTTGAATACACACATCACAAACAAGTTTCTGAGAATGCTTCTGTCTAGTTTTTATGGGAAGATATTTCCTTTTTCAACATTGGCCTCAAAGCGCTCCAAACGTCCACTTCCGCGTAGTGCAGAAAGAGTGTCTCAAACCTGGTATATAACAGGGAACATTCTACTCTGTGACTTGAATGAAAACATCACAAAGCAGTTTCTGAGAATGCTTCTGTCTAGATTTTATATGAAGATATCCCGTGTCTAACGAAATCCTCAAAGGTATCAAAATATCCACTTACAGATTCTACAAAAAGAGTGCTTCAAAACTGCTCTGTCAAAAGGAAGGTTCAACTCTGTTACTTGAGTACACACATCACAAGAAAGATTCTGAGAATGCTTCTGTCTGGTTTTTAGGAGAAGATATCTCCTTTTTCACCATAGGCTTCAAAGCGCTGCCAATGTCCACTTCCAAATATTACAAAAAGAGTATTTCAAACCAGCTCTATGAAAGGAAGTGTTCAACTCTATGAGTTGAATGCAAACAGAACAGAGAAGTTTCTGAGAATGCTTCTGTCTTGATTTTATATGAAGATATTCCCGTTTCCAAAGAAACCTTCAAAGCTATCCAAATATCCACCTGCAGATCCTACAAAAAGAGTGTTTCCAAAATGCTGTATCAAAACAAAGGTTCAACTCTGTTAGCTGAGAACACACATCGCAAATAAGTTTCTGAGAATGCTTCTGTCTAGTTTTTATTTGAAGATATTTCCTTTTTCACCACAGGCCTGAAAGCGCTTGAAACGTCCACTTGCAGATACTACAGAAAGAGTGTTTCAAACATGCTCTATGAAAGGGAATGTTCAGTTCTGTGACTTGAATGCAAACATCACAAAGAAGTTCCTGAGAATGCTTCTCCCTAGATTTTATATGTAATCCCGTTTCCAACGAAATCCGCAAAGCTATCCAAATATCCACTTTCAGATTCCACAAAAAGAGTGTTTCAAAACTACTCTGTAAAAAGAAAGGTTCATCTCTGTTAGTTGAATACACACATCAGAAACAAGTTTCTGAGAATGCTTCTGTCTAGTTTTTATGAGAAGATATTACCTTTTTCATCATAGGCCTCAAAACGCTGCAAATGTCCACTTCCAAATATTACAAAAAGAGTGTTTCAAACCTGCTGTATGAAGGGAAGTGTTCAACTCTATGAGTTGAATGCAAACATCACAGAGAAGTTTCTGAGAATGTTTCTGTCTTGATTTTATATGAAGATATTCCCGTTTCCAACGAAACCTTCAAAGCTATTCAAATATCCACTTGCAGATTCTACAAAAAGAGTGTTTCCAAAATGTTGTATCAAAAGAAAGGTTCAACTCTGTTAGTTGAGGACACACATCGCAAATAAGTTTCTGAGAATGCTTCTGTCTAGTTTTTACTTGAAGATATTTCCTTTCTCACCATAGGCCTGAAAGCGTTTGAAATGTCCGTTTGCAGATACTACAGAAAGAGTGTTTCAAACATGCTCTATGAAAGGGAATGTTCAGTTCTGTGACGTGAATGCAAACATCACAAAGAAGTTCCTGAGAATGCTTCTGTCTAGATTTTATATGAAGATATCCCGTTTCCAAAGAAATCCTCAAAGGTATCCAAATATCTACTTCCAGATTCTACAAAAAGACTGTTTCAAAACGGCTCTGTCAAAAGGAAGGTTCAACTCTGTTACTTGAGTACACACATCACAAGGAAGTTTCTGAGAATGCTTCTGTCTGGTTTTTAGGAGAAGATATTTCCTTTTTCAACATAGGCCTCAAAGCGCTGCAAATGTCCACTTCCAAATATTACAAAAAGAGTGTTTCAAACCTGCTCTATGAAGGGAAGTGTTCAACTCTATGAGTTGAATGCAAACATCACAGAGAAGTTTCTGAGAATGCTTCTGTCTTGATTTTATATGAAGATATTCCCGTTTCCAACGAAACCTTCAAAGCTATCCAAATATCCACTTGCAGATTCTACAAAAAGAGTGTTTCCAAAATGTTGTATCAAAACAAAGGTTCAACTCTGTTAGTTGAGGACACACATCGCAAATAAGTTTCTGAGAATGCTTCTGTCTAGTTTTTATTTGAAGATATTTCCTTTCTTATCATAGGCCTGAAAGCGCTTGGAATGTCCGTTTGCAGATACTACAGAAAGAGTGTTTCAAACATGCTCTATGAAAGGGAATGTTCAGTTCTGTGACGTGAATGCAAACATCACAAAGAAGTTCCTGAGAATGCTTCTCTCTAGATTTTATATGTAATCCCGTTTCCAACGAAATCCTCAAAGCTATCCAAATATCCACTTTCAGATTCCACAAAAAGAATGTTTCAAAACTGCTCTGTAAAAAGAAAGGTTCATCTCTGTTAGTTGAATACACACATCACAAACAAGTTTCTGAGAATGCTTCTGTCTAGTTTTTATGGGAAGATATTTCCTTTTTCATCATAGGCCTCAAAGCGCTCCAAATGTCCACTTCCAGATAGTGCAGAAAGAGTGTCTCAAACCTGGTATATAAAAGGGAACATTCTACTCTGTGGCTTCAATGAAAACATCACAAAGCAGTTTCTGAGAATGCTTCCGTCTAGATTTTATATGAAGATATTCCCGTTTCCAACGAAACCTTCAAAGCTATCCGAATATCCACCTGCAGATTCTACAAAAAGAGTGTTTCCAAAATGCCGTATCAAAACAAAGGTTCAACTCTGTTAGTTGAGAACACACATGGCAAATAAGTTTCTGAGAATGCTTCTGTCTAGTTTTTACTTGAAGATATTTCCTTTCTCACCATAGGCCTGAAAGCGCTTGAAACGTCAGCTTGCAGATACTACAGAAAGAGTGTTTCAAACCTGCTCTATGAAAGGGAATGTTCAGTCCTGTGACTTGAATGCAAATATCACAAAGAAGTTCCTGAGAATGCTTCTCTCTAGGTTTTATATGTAATCCCGTTTCCAACGAAATCCTCAAAGCTATCCAAATATCCACTTTCAGATTCCACAAAAAGAGTGTTTCAAAACTGCTCTGTAAAAAGAAAGGTTCATCTCTGTTAGTTGAATACACACATCACAAACAAGTTTCTGAGAATGCTTCTGTCTAGTTTTTATGGGAAGATATTTCCTTTTTCATCATAGGCCTCAAAGCGCTCCAAACGTCCACTTCCAGGTAGTGCAGAAAGAGTGTCTCAAACCTGGTATATAACAGGGAACATTCTACTCTGTGACTTGAATGAAAACATCACAAAGCAGTTTCTGAGAATGCTTCCGTCTAGATTTTATATGAAGATATTCCCGTTTCCAACGAAACCTTCAAAGCTATCCGAATATCCACCTGCAGATTCTACAAAAAGAGTGTTTCCAAAATGCCGTATCAAAACAAAGGTTCAACTCTGTTAGTTGAGAACACACATGGCAAATAAGTTTCTGAGAATGCTTCTGTCTAGTTTTTACTTGAAGATATTTCCTTTCTCACCATAGGCCTGAAAGCGCTTGAAACGTCAGCTTGCAGATACTACAGAAAGAGTGTTTCAAACCTGTTCTATGAAAGGGAATGTTCAGTCTTGTGACTTGAAGGCAAACATCACAAAGGAGTTCCTGAGAATGCTTCTCTCTAGGTTTTATATGTAATCCCGTTTCCAACGAAATCCTCAAAGCTATCCAAATATCCACTTTCAGATTCCACAAAAAGAGTGTTTCAAAACTGCTCTGTAAAAAGAAAGGTTCATCTCTGTTAGTTGAATACACACATCACAAACAAGTTTCTGAGAATGCTTCTGTCTAGTTTTTATGGGAAGATATTTCCTTTTTCAACATAGGCCTCAAAGCGCTCCAAACGTCCACTTCCAGGTAGTGCAGAAAGAGTGTCTCAAACCTGGTATATAACACGGAACATTCTACTCTGTGACTTGAATGAAAACATCACAAAGCAGTTTCTGAGAATGCTTCCGTCTAGATTTTATATGAAGATATTCCCGTTTCCAACGAAACCTTCAAAGCTATCCGAATATCCACCTGCAGATTCTACAAAAAGAGTGTTTCCAAAATGCCGTATCAAAACAAAGGTTCAACTCTGTTAGTTGAGAACACACATGGCAAATAAGTTTCTGAGAATGCTTCTGTCTAGTTTTTACTTGAAGATATTTCCTTTCTCACCATAGGCCTGAAAGCGCTTGAAACGTCAGCTTGCAGATACTACAGAAAGAGTGTTTCAAACCTGCTCTATGAAAGGGAATGTTCAGTTCTGTGACTTGAATGCAAACATCACAAAGAAGTTCCTGAGAATGCTTCTGTCTAGATTTTATATGAAGATATCCCGTGTCCAACGAAATCCTCAAAGGTATCAAAATATCCACTTGCAGATTCTACAAAAAGAGTGCTTCAAAACTGCTCTGTCAAAAGGAAGGTTCAACTGTGTTACTTGAGTACACACATCACAAGGAAGTTTCTGAGAATGCTTCTGTCTGGTTTTTAGGAGAAGATATTTCCTTTTTCAACATAGGCCTCAAAGCGCTGCAAATGTCCACTTCCAAATATTACAAAAAGAGTGTTTCAAACCTGCTGTATGAAGGGAAGTGTTCAACTCTATGAGTTGAATGCAAACATCACAGAGAAGTTTCTGAGAATGCTTCCGTCTAGATTTTATATGAAGATATTCCCGTTTCCAACGAATCCTTCAAAGCTATCCGAATATCCACCTGCAGATTCTACAAAAAGAGTGTTTCCAAAATGCCATATCAAAACAAAGGTTCAACTCTGTTAGTTGAGGACACACATGGCAAATAAGTTTCTGAGAATGCTTCTGTCTAGTTTTTACTTGAAGATATTTCCTTTCTCACCATAGGCCTGAAAGCGCTTGAAACGTCCGCTTGCAGATACTACAGAAAGAGTGTTTCAAACATGCTCTATGAAAGGGAATGTTCAGTTCTGTGACTTGAATGCAAACATCACAAAGAAGTTCCTGAGAATGCTTCTCTCTAGATTTTATATGTAATCCCGTTTCCAACGAAATCCTCAAAGCTATCCAAATATCCACTTTCAGATTCCACAAAAAGAGTGTTTCAAAACTGCTCTGTAAAAAGAAAGGTTCATCTCTGTTAGTTGAATACACACATCACAAACAAGTTTCTGAGAATGCTTCTGTCTGGTTTTTAGGAGAAGATATTTCCTTTTTCAACATAGGCCTCAAAGCGCTGCAAATGTCCACTTCCAAATATTAGAAAAAGAGTGTTTCAAACCTGCTGTATGAAGGGAAGTGTTCAACTCTATGAGTTGAATGCAAACATCACAGAGAAGTTTCTGAGAATGCTTCAGTCTTGATTTCATATGAAGATATTCCCGTTTCCAACGAAACCTTCAAAGCTATCCAAATATCCACTTGCAGATTCTACAAAAAGAGTGTTTCCAAAATGTTGTATCAAAAGAAAGGTTCAACTCTGTTAGTTGAGGACACACATCGCAAATAAGTTTCTGAGAATGCTTCTGTCTAGTTTTTATTTGAAGATATTTCCTTTCTCACCACAGGCCTGAAAGCGCTTAAAACGTCCGCTTGCAGATACTACAGAAAGAGTGTTTCAAACCTGCTCTATGAAAGGGAATGTTCAGTTCTGTGACTTGAATGCAAACATCACAAAGAAGTTCCTGAGAATGCTTCTCCCTAGATTTTATATGTAATCCCGTTTCCAACGAAATCCGCAAAGCTATCCAAATATCCACTTTCAGATTCCACAAAAAGAGTGTTTCAAAACTGCTCTGTAAAAAGAAAGGTTCATCTCTGTTAGTTGAATACACACATCACAAACAAGTTTCTGAGAATGCTTCTGTCTAGTTTTTATGGGAAGATATTACCTTTTTCATCATAGGCCTCAAAGCGCTGCAAATGTCCACTTCCAAATATTACAAAAAGAGTGTTTCAAACCTGCTGTATGAAGGGAAGTGTTCAACTCTATGAGTTGAATGCAAACATCACAGAGAAGTTTCTGAGAATGCTTCTGTCTAGTTTTTATTTGAAGATATTCCCGTTTCCAACGAAACCTTCAAAGCTATTCAAATATCCACTTGCAGATTCTACAAAAAGAGTGTTTCCAAAATGTTGTATCAAAAGAAAGGTTCAACTCTGTTAGTTGAGGACACACATCGCAAATAAGTTTCTGAGAATGCTTCTGTCTAGTTTTTATTTGAAGATATTTCCTTTCTCACCATAGGCCTGAAAGCGTTTGAAATGTCCGTTTGCAGATACTACAGAAAGAGTGTTTCAAACATGCTCTATGAAAGGGAATGTTCAGTTCTGTGACATGAATGCAAACATCACAAAGAAGTTCCTGAGAATGCTTCTCTCTAGATTTTATATGTAATCCCGTTTCCAACGAAATCCTCAAAGCTATCCAAATATCCACTTTCAGATTCCACAAAAAGAGTGATTCAAAACTGCTCTGTAAAAAGAAAGGTTCATCTCTGTTAGTTGAATACACACATCACAAACAAGTTTCTGAGAATGCTTCTGTCTAGTTTTTATGGGAAGATATTTCCTTTTTCATCATAGGCCTCAAAGCGCTGCAAATGTCCACTTCCAGGTAGTGCAGAAAGAGTGTCTGAAACCTGGTATATAACAGGGAAGATTCTACTCTGTGACTTGAATGAAAACATCACAAAGCAGTTTCTGAGAATGCTTCTGTCTTGATTTTATATGAAGATATTCCCGTTTCCAACGAAACCTTCAAAGCTATCCAAATATCCACTTGCAGATTCTACAAAAAGAGTGTTTCCAAAATGTTGTATCAAAACAAAGGTTCAACTCTGTCAGTTGAGGACACACATCGCAAATAAGTTTCTGAGAATGCTTCTGTCTAGTTTTTATTTGAAGATATTTCCTTTCTTACCATAGGCCTGAAAGCGCTTGAAATGTCCGTTTGCAGATACTACAGAAAGAGTGTTTCAAACATGATCTATGAAAGGGAATGTTCAGTTCTGTGACGTGAATGCAAACATCACAAAGAAGTTCCTGAGAATGCTTCTCTCTAGGTTTTATATGTAATCCCGTTTCCAACGAAATCCTCAAAGCTATCCAAATATCCACTTTCAGATTCCACAAAAAGAGTGTTTCAAAACTGCTCTGTAAAAAGAAAGGTTCATCTCTGTTAGTTTGAATACACACATCACAAACAAGTTTCTGAGAATGCTTCTGTCTAGTTTTTATGGGAAGATATTTCCTTTTTCATCATAGGCCTCAAAGCGCTGCAAATGTCCACTTCCAGGTAGTGCAGAAAGAGTGTCTCAAACCTGGTATATAACAGGGAAACATTCTACTCTGTGACTTGAATGAAAACATCACAAAGCAGTTTCTGAGAATGCTTCCGTCTAGATTTTATATGAAGATATTCCCGTTTCCAACGAAACCTTCAAAGCTATCCGAATATCCACCTGCAGATTCTACAAAAAGAGTGTTTCCAAAATGCCGTATCAAAACAAAGGTTCAACTCTGTTAGTTGAGAACACACATGGCAAATAAGTTTCTGAGAATGCTTCTGTCTAGTTTTTACTTGAAGATATTTCCTTTCTCACCATAGGCCTGAAAGCGCTTGTAACGTCCGCTTGCAGATACTACAGAAGGAGTGTTTCAAACATGCTCTATGAAAGGGAATGTTCAGTTCTGTGACTTGAATGCAAACATCACAAAGAAGTTCCTGAGAATGCTTCTCTCTAGGTTTTATATGTAATCCCGTTTCCAACGAAATCCTCAAAGCTATCCAAATATCCACTTTCAGATTCCACAAAAAGAGTGTTTCAAAACTGCTCTGTAAAAAGAAAGGTTCATCTCTGTTAGTTGAATACACACATCACAAACAAGTTTCTGAGAATGCTTCTGTCTAGTTTCTATGGGAAGATACTTCCTTTTCCAACATAGGCCTCAAAGCGCTCCAAATGTCCACTTCCAGGTAGTGCACTGAGTGTTTCAAACCTGCTCTATAAAAGGGAAAATTCTACTCTGTGACTTGAATGAAGACATCACAAAGCAGTTTCTGAGAATGCTTCCGTCTAGATTTTATGTGAAGATATTCCCGTTTCCAAGGAAATCTTCCTAGCTATCTAAATATCAACTTGCAGATTCTACTAAAGGAGTGTTTCCAAAATGCTGTATGCACACAAAGGTTCAACTCTGTTAATTGAGGACATACAGCACAAAGAAGTTTCTGAGAATGCTTCTGTCTAGATTTTATATGAAGATATCCCGTGTCCAAAGAAATCCTCAAAGGTATCCAAATATCTACTTCCAGATTCTACAAAAAGACTGTTTCAAAACGGCTCTGTCAAAAGTAAGGTTCAACTCTGTTACTTGAGTACACACATCACAAGGAAGTTTCTGAGAATGCTTCCTGTCTAGTTTTTATGGGAAGATATTTCCTTTTTCATCATAGGCCTCAAAGCGCTGCAAATGTCCACTTCCAAATATTACAAAAAGAGTGTTTCAAACCTGCTGTATGAAGGGAAGTGTTCAACTCTATGAGTTGAATGCAAACATCACAGAGAAGTTTCTGAGAATGCTTCTGTCTTGATTTTATATGAAGATATTCCCGTTTCCAACGAAACCTTCAAAGCTATCCAAATATCCACCTGCAGATCCTACAAAAAGAGTGTTTCCAAAATGCTGTATCAAAACAAAGGTTCAACTCTGTTAGTTGAGAACACACATCGCAAATAAGTTTCTGAGAATGCTTCTGTCTAGTTTTTATTTGAAGATATTTCCTTTTTCACCACAGGCCTGAAAGCGCTTGAAACGTCCACTTGCAGATACTACAGAAAGAGTGTTTCAAACCTGCTCTATGAAAGGGAATGTTCAGTTCTGTGACTTGAATGCAAACATCACAAAGAAGTTCCTGAGAATGCTTCTCCCTAGATTTTATATGTAATCCCGTTTCCAACGAAATCCTCAAAGCTATCCAAATATCCACTTTCAGATTCCACAAAAAGAGTGTTTCAAAACTGCTCTGTTAAAAGAAAGGTTCATCTCTGTTAGTTGAATACACACATCACAAACAAGTTTCTGAGAATGCTTCTGTCTAGTTTTTATGGGAAGATATTTCCTTTTTCAACATAGGCCTCAAAGCGCTCCAAACGTCCACTTCCAGGTAGTGCAGAAAGAGTGTCTCAAACCTGGTATATAACAGGGAACATTCTACTCTGTGACTTGAATGAAAACATCACAAAGCAGTTTCTGAGAATGCTTCCGTCTAGATTTTATATGAAGATATTCCCGTTTCCAACGAAACCTTCAAAGCTATCCGAATATCCACCTGCAGATTCTACAAAAAGAGTGTTTCCAAAATGCCGTATCAAAACAAAGGTTCAACTCTGTTAGTTGAGAACACACATGGCAAATAAGTTTCTGAGAATGCTTCTGTCTAGTTTTTATTTGAAGATATTTCCTTTTTCACCACAGGCCTGAAAGCGCTTGAAACGTCCGCTTGCAGATACTACAGAAAGAGTGTTTCAAACCTGCTCTATGAAAGGGAATGTTCAGTTCTGTGACTTGAACGCAAACATCACAAAGAAGTTCCTGAGAATGCTTCTCCCTAGATTTTATATGTAATCCCGTTTCCAACGAAATCCGCAAAGCTATCCAAATATCCACTTTCAGATTCCACAAAAAGAGTGTTTCAAAACTGCTCTGTAAAAAGAAAGGTTCATCTCTGTTAGTTGAATACACACATCACAAACAAGTTTCTGAGAATGCTTCTGTCTAGTTTTTATGGGAAGATATTTCCTTTTTCATCATAGGCCTCAAAGCGCTGCAAATGTCCACTTCCAGGTAGTGTAGAAAGAGTGTCTGAAACCTGGTATATAACAGGGAAGATTCTACTCTGTGACTTGAATGAAAACATCACAAAGCAGTTTCTGAGAATGCTTCCGTCTAGATTTTATATGAAGATATTCCCGTTTCCAACGAAACCTTCAAAGCTATCCGAATATCCACCTGCAGATTCTACAAAAAGAGTGTTTCCAAAATGCCGTATCAAAACAAAGGTTCAACTCTGTTAGTTGAGAACACACATGGCAAATAAGTTTCTGAGAATGCTTCTGTCTAGTTTTTACTTGAAGATATTTCCTTTCTCACCATAGGCCTGAAAGCGCTTGAAACGTCAGCTTGCAGATACTACAGAAAGAGTGTTTCAAACCTGCTCTATGAAAGGGAATGTTCAGTCCTGTGACTTGAAGGCAAACATCACAAAGAAGTTCCTGAGAATGCTTCTCTCTAGGTTTTATATGTAATCCCGTTTCCAACGAAATCCTCAAAGCTATCCAAATATCCACTTTCAGATTCCACAAAAAGAGTGTTTCAAAACTGCTCTGTAAAAAGAAAGGTTCATCTCTGTTAGTTGAATACACACATCACAAACAAGTTTCTGAGAATGCTTCTGTCTAGTTTTTATGGGAAGATATTTCCTTTTTCAACATAGGCCTCAAAGCGCTCCAAATGTCCACTTCCAGGTAGTGCAGAAAGAGTGTTTCAAACCTGCTCTATAAAAGGGAATATTCAACTCTGTGACTTGAATGCAAACATCACAAAGCACTTTCTGAGAATGCTTCCGTCTAGATTTTATATGAAGATATTCCCGTTTCCAAGGAAATCTTCCTAGCTATCTAAATATCAACTTGCACATTCTACAAAAAGAGTGTTTCCAAAATGCCGTATCAAAACAAAGGTTCAACTCTGTTAGTTGAGGACATACAGCACAAAGAAGTGTCTGAGAATGCTTCTGTCTAGATTTTATATGAAGATATCCCGTGTCCAAAGAAATCCTCAAAGGTATCCAAATATCTACTTCCAGATTCTACAAAAAGACTGTTTCAAAACGGCTCTGTCAAAAGTAAGGTTCAACTCTGTTACTTGAGTACACACATCACAAGGAAGTTTCTGAGAATGCTTCTGTCTGGTTTTTAGGAGAAGATATTTCCTTTTTCAACATAGGCCTCAAAGCGCTGCAAATGTCCACTTCCAAATATTACAAAAAGAGTGTTTCAAACCTGCTGTATGAAGGGAAGTGTTCAACTCTATGAGTTGAATGCAAACATCACAGAGAAGTTTCTGAGAATGCTTCTGTCTTGATTTCATATGAAGATATTCCCGTTTCCAACGAAACCTTCAAAGCTATCCAAATATCCACTTGCAGATTCTACAAAAAGAGTGTTTCCAAAATGTTGTATCAAAAGAAAGGTTCAACTCTGTTAGTTGAGGACACACATCGCAAATAAGTTTCTGAGAATGCTTCTGTCTAGTTTTTATTTGAAGATATTTCCTTTCTCACCACAGGCCTGAAAGCGCTTAAAACGTCCGCTTGCAGATACTACAGAAAGAGTGTTTCAAACCTGCTCTATGAAAGGGAATGTTCAGTTCTGTGACTTGAATGCAAACATCACAAAGAAGTTCCTGAGAATGCTTCTCCCTAGATTTTATATGTAATCCCGTTTCCAACGAAATCCGCAAAGCTATCCAAATATCCACTTTCAGATTCCACAAAAAGAGTGTTTCAAAACTGCTCTGTAAAAAGAAAGGTTCATCTCTGTTAGTTGAATACACACATCACAAACAAGTTTCTGAGAATGCTTCTGTCTAGTTTTTATGGGAAGATATTACCTTTTTCATCATAGGCCTCAAAGCGCTGCAAATGTCCACTTCCAAATATTAGAAAAAGAGTGTTTCAAACCTGCTGTATGAAGGGAAGTGTTCAACTCTATGAGTTGAATGCAAACATCACAGAGAAGTTTCTGAGAATGCTTCTGTCTTGATTTCATATGAAGATATTCCCGTTTCCAACGAAACCTTCAAAGTTATCCAAATATCCACTTGCAGATTCTACAAAAAGAGTGTTTCCAAAATGTTGTATCAAAAGAAAGGTTCAACTCTGTTAGTTGAGGACACACATCGCAAATAAGTTTCTGAGAATGCTTCTGTCTAGTTTTTATTTGAAGATATTTCCTTTCTCACCACAGGCCTGAAAGCGCTTAAAACGTCCGCTTGCAGATACTACAGAAAGAGTGTTTCAAACATGCTCTATGAAAGGGAATGTTCAGTTCTGTGACTTGAATGCAAACATCACAAAGAAGTTCCTGAGAATGCTTCTCTCTAGATTTTATATGTAATCCCGTTTCCAACGAAATCCTCAAAGCTATCCAAATATCCACTTTCAGATTCCACAAAAAGAGTGTTTCAAAACTGCTCTGTAAAAAGAAAGGTTCATCTCTGTTAGTTGAATACACACATCACAAACAAGTTTCTGAGAATGCTTCTGTCTAGTTTTTATGGGAAGATATTTCCTTTTTCAACATAGGCCTCAAAGCGCTCCAAACGTCCACTTCCAGGTAGTGCAGAAAGAGTGTCTCAAACCTGGTATATAACAGGGAACATTCTACTCTGTGACTTGAATGAAAACATCACAAAGCAGTTTCTGAGAATGCTTCCGTCTAGATTTTATATGAAGATATTCCCGTTTCCAACGAAACCTTCAAAGCTATCCGAATATCCACCTGCAGATTCTACAAAAAGAGTGTTTCCAAAATGCCGCATCAAAACAAAGGTTCAACTCTGTTAGTTGAGAACACACATCGCAAATAAGTTTCTGAGAATGCTTCTGTCTAGTTTTTACTTGAAGATATTTCCTTTCTCACCATAGGCCTGAAAGCGCTTGAAACGTCAGCTTGCAGATACTACAGAAAGAGTGTTTCAAACCTGCTCTATGAAAGGGAATGTTCAGTTCTGTGACTTGAATGCAAACATCACAAAGAAGTTCCTGAGAATGCTTCTCTCTAGGTTTTATATGTAATCCCGTTTCCAACGAAATCCTCAAAGCTATCCAAATATCCACTTTCAGATTCCACAAAAAGAGTGTTTCAAAACTGCTCTGTAAAAAGAAAGGTTCATCTCTGTTAGTTGAATACACACATCACAAACAAGTTTCTGAGAATGCTTCTGTCTGGTTTTTAGGAGAAGATATTTCCTTTTTCAACATAGGCCTCAAAGCGCTGCAAATGTCCACTTCCAAATATTAGAAAAAGAGTGTTTCAAACCTGCTGTATGAAGGGAAGTGTTCAACTCTATGAGTTGAATGCAAACATCACAGAGAAGTTTCTGAGAATGCTTCTGTCTTGATTTCATATGAAGATATTCCCGTTTCCAACGAAACCTTCAAAGCTATCCAAATATCCACTTGCAGATTCTACAAAAAGAGTGTTTCCAAAATGTTGTATCAAAAGAAAGGTTCAACTCTGTTAGTTGAGGACACACATCGCAAATAAGTTTCTGAGAATGCTTCTGTCTAGTTTTTATTTGAAGATATTTCCTTTCTCACCACAGGCCTGAAAGCGCTTAAAACGTCCGCTTGCAGATACTACAGAAAGAGTGTTTCAAACCTGCTCTATGAAAGGGAATGTTCAGTTCTGTGACTTGAATGCAAACATCACAAAGAAGTTCCTGAGAATGCTTCTGTCTAGATTTTATATGAAGATATCCCGTGTCCAACGAAATCCTCAAAGGTATCAAAATATCCACTTGCAGATTCTACAAAAAGAGTGCTTCAAAACTGCTCTGTCAAAAGGAAGGTTCAACTCTGTTACTTGAGTACACACATCACAAGGAAGTTTCTGAGAATGCTTCTGTCTGGTTTTTAGGAGAAGATATTTCCTTTTTCAACATAGGCCTCAAAGCGCTGCAAATGTCCACTTCCAAATATTAGAAAAAGAGTGTTTCAAACCTGCTGTATGAAGGGAAGTGTTCAACTCTATGAGTTGAATGCAAACATCACAGAGAAGTTTCTGAGAATGCTTCTGTCTTGATTTCATATGAAGATATTCCCGTTTCCAACGAAACCTTCAAAGTTATCCAAATATCCACTTGCAGATTCTACAAAAAGAGTGTTTCCAAAATGTTGTATCAAAAGAAAGGTTCAACTCTGTTAGTTGAGGACACACATCGCAAATAAGTTTCTGAGAATGCTTCTGTCTAGTTTTTATTTGAAGATATTTCCTTTCTCACCACAGGCCTGAAAGCGCTTAAAACGTCCGCTTGCAGATACTACAGAAAGAGTGTTTCAAACCTGCTCTATGAAAGGGAATGTTCAGTTCTGTGACTTGAATGCAAACATCACAAAGAAGTTCCTGAGAATGCTTCTCCCTAGATTTTATATGTAATCCCGTTTCCAACGAAATCCGCAATGCTATCCAAATATCCACTTTCAGATTCCACAAAAAGAGTGTTTCAAAACTGCTCTGTAAAAAGAAAGGTTCATCTCTGTTAGTTGAATACACACATCACAAACAAGTTTCTGAGAATGCTTCTGTCTAGTTTTTATGGGAAGATATTTCCTTTTTCATCATAGGCCTCAAAGCGCTGCAAATGTCCACTTCCAAATATTACAAAAAGAGTGTTTCAAACCTGCTGTATGAAGGGAAGTGTTCAACTCTATGAGTTGAATGCAAACATCACAGAGAAGTTTCTGAGAATGCTTCTGTCTTGATTTTATATGAAGATATTCCCATTTCCAACGAAACCTTCAAAGCTATCCAAATATCCACTTGCAGATTCTACAAAAAGAGTGGTTCCAAAATGTTGTATCAAAAGAAAGGTTCAACTCTGTTAGTTGAGGACACACATCGCAAATAAGTTTCTGAGAATGCTTCTGTCTAGTTTTTATTTGAAGATATTTCCTTTCTCACCATAGGCCTGAAAGCGTTTGAAATGTCCGTTTGCAGATACTACAGAAAGAGTGTTTCAAACATGCTCTATGAAAGGGAATGTTCAGTTCTGTGACGTGAATGCAAACATCACAAAGAAGTTCCTGAGAATGCTTCTCTCTAGATTTTATATGTAATCCCGTTTCCAACGAAATCCTCAAAGCTATCCAAATATCCACTTTCAGATTCCACAAAAAGAGTGTTTCAAAACTGCTCTGTAAAAAGAAAGGTTCATCTCTGTTAGTTGAATACACACATCACAAACAAGTTTCTGAGAATGCTTCTGTCTAGTTTTTATTGGAAGATATTTCCTTTTTCATCATAGGCCTCAAAGCGCTCCAAATGTCCACTTCCAGGTAGTGCAGAAAGAGTGTCTCAAACCTGGTATATAACAGGGAACATTCTACTCTGTGACTTGAATGAAAACATCACAAAGCAGTTTCTGAGAATGCTTCCGTCTAGATTTTATATGAAGATATTCCCGTTTCCAACGAAACCTTCAAAGCTATCCGAATATCCACCTGCAGATTCTACAAAAAGAGTGTTTCCAAAATGCCGTATCAAAACAAAGGTTCAACTCTGTTAGTTGAGAACACACATGGCAAATAAGTTTCTGAGAATGCTTCTGTCTAGTTTTTACTTGAAGATATTTCCTTTCTCACCATAGGCCTGAAAGCGCTTGAAACGTCAGCTTGCAGATACTACAGAAAGAGTGTTTCAAACCTGCTCTATGAAAGGGAATGTTCAGTTCTGTGACTTGAATGCAAACATCACAAAGAAGTTCCTGAGAATGCTTCTCTCTAGGTTTTATATGTAATCCCGTTTCCAACGAAATCCTCAAAGCTATCCAAATATCCACTTTCAGATTCCACAAAATGAGTGTTTCAAAACTGCTCTGTAAAAAGAAAGGTTCATCTCTGTTAGTTGAATACACACATCACAAACAAGTTTCTGAGAATGCTTCTGTCTAGTTTTTATGGGAAGATATTTCCTTTTTCAACATAGGCCTCAAAGCGCTCCAAATGTCCACTTCCAGGTAGTGCAGAAAGAGTGTTTCAAACCTGCTCTATAAAAGGGAACATTCAACTCTGTGACTTGAATGCAAACATCACAAAGCACTTTCTGAGAATGCTTCCGTCTAGATTTTATATGAAGATATTCCCGTTTCCAAGGAACTCTTCCTAGCTATCTAAATATCAACTTGCAGATTCTACTAAAGGAATGTTTCCAAAATGCTGTATCCACACAAAGGTTCAACTCTGTTAATTGAGGACATACAGCACAAAGAAGTTTCTGAGAATGCTTCTGTCTAGATTTTATATGAAGATATCCCGTGTCCAACGAAATCCTCAATGGTATCAAAATATCCACTTGCAGATTCTACAAAAAGAGTGCTTCAAAACTGCTCTGTAAAAAGAAAGGTTCATCTCTGTTAGTTGAATACACACATCACAAACAAGTTTCTGAGAATGCTTCTGTCTGGTTTTTAGGAGAAGATATTTCCTTTTTCAACATAGGCCTCAAAGCGCTGCAAATGTCCACTTCCAAATATTACAAAAAGAGTGTTTCAAACCTGCTGTATGAAGGGAAGTGTTCAACTCTATGAGTTGAATGCAAACATCACAGAGAAGTTTCTGAGAATGCTTCTGTCTTGATTTCATATGAAGATATTCCCGTTTCCAACGAAACCTTCAAAGCTATCCAAATATCCACTTGCAGATTCTACAAAAAGAGTGTTTCCAAAATGTTGTATCAAAAGAAAGGTTCAACTCTGTTAGTTGAGGACACACATCGCAAATAAGTTTCTGAGAATGCTTCTGTCTAGTTTTTATTTGAAGATATTTCCTTTCTCACCACAGGCCTGAAAGCGCTTAAAACGTCCGCTTGCAGATACTACAGAAAGAGTGTTTCAAACATGCTCTATGAAAGGGAATGTTCAGTTCTGTGACTTGAATGCAAACATCACAAAGAAGTTCCTGAGAATGCTTCTCCCTAGATTTTATATGTAATCCCGTTTCCAACGAAATCCGCAAAGCTATCCAAATATCCACTTTCAGATTCCACAAAAAGAGTGTTTCAAAACTGCTCTGTAAAAAGAAAGGTTCATCTCTGTTAGTTGAATACACACATCACAAACAAGTTTCTGAGAATGCTTCTGTCTAGTTTTTATGGGAAGATATTACCTTTTTCATCATAGGCCTCAAAGCGCTGCAAATGTCCACTTCCAAATATTACAAAAAGAGTGTTTCAAACCTGCTGTATGAAGGGAAGTGTTCAACTCTATGAGTTGAATGCAAACATCACAGAGAAGTTTCTGAGAATGCTTCTGTCTTGATTTTATATGAAGATATTCCCCTTTCCAACGAAACCTTCAAAGCTATTCAAATATCCACTTGCAGATTCTACAAAAAGAGTGGTTCCAAAATGTTGAATCAAAAGAAAGGTTCAACTCTGATAGTTGAGGACACACATCGCAAATAAGTTTCTGAGAATGCTTCTGTCTAGTTTTTATTTGAAGATATTTCCTTTCTCACCATAGGCCTGAAAGCGTTTGAAATGTCCGTTTGCAGATACTACAGAAAGAGTGTTTCAAACATGCTCTATGAAAGGGAATGTTCAGTTCTGTGACGTGAATGCAAACATCACAACGAAGTTCCTGAGAATGCTTCTCTCTAGATTTTACATGTAATCCCGTTTCCAACGAAATCCTCAAAGCTATCCAAATATCCACTTTCAGATTCCACAAAAAGAGTGTTTCAAAACTGCTCTCTAAAAAGAAAGGTTCATCTCTGTTAGTTGAATACACACATCACAAACAAGTTTCTGAGAATGCTTCTGTCTGATTTTTAGGAGAAGATATTTCCCTTTTCAACATAGGCCTCAAAGCGCTGCAAATGTCCACTTCCAAATATTAGAAAAAGAGTGTTTCAAACCTGCTGTATGAAGGGAAGTGTTCAACTCTATGAGTTGAATGCAAACATCACAGAGAAGTTTCTGAGAATGCTTCTGTCTTGATTTCATATGAAGATATTCCCGTTTCCAACGAAACCTTCAAAGCTATCCAAATATCCACTTGCAGATTCTACAAAAAGAGTGTTTCCAAAATGTTGTATCAAAAGAAAGGTTCAACTCTGTTAGTTGAGGACACACATCGCAAATAAGTTTCTGAGAATGCTTCTGTCTAGTTTTTATTTGAAGATATTTCCTTTCTCACCACAGGCCTGAAAGCGCTTAAAACGTCCGCTTGCAGATACTACAGAAAGAGTGTTTCAAACCTGCTCTATGAAAGGGAATGTTCAGTTCTGTGACTTGAATGCAAACATCACAAAGAAGTTCCTGAGAATGCTTCTCCCTAGATTTTATATGTAATCCCGTTTCAAACGAAATCCGCAAAGCTATCCAAATATCCACTTTCAGATTCCACAAAAAGAGTGTTTCAAAACTGCTCTGTAAAAAGAAAGGTTCATCTCTGTTAGTTGAATACACACATCACAAACAAGTTTCTGAGAATGCTTCTGTCTAGTTTTTATGGGAAGATATTTCCTTTTTCATCATAGGCCTCAAAGCGCTGCAAATGTCCACTTCCAAATATTACAAAAAGAGTGTTTCAAACCTGCTGTATGAAGGGAAGTGTTCAACTCTATGAGTTGAATGCAAACATCACAGAGAAGTTTCTGAGAATGCTTCTGTCTTGATTTTATATGAAGATATTCCCGTTTCCAACGAAACCTTCAAAGCTATTCAAATATCCACTTGCAGATTCTACAAAAAGAGTGGTTCCAAAATGTTGAATCAAAAGAAAGGTTCAACTCTGATAGTTGAGGACACACATCGCAAATAAGTTTCTGAGAATGCTTCTGTCTAGTTTTTATTTGAAGATATTTCCTTTCTCACCATAGGCCTGAAAGCGTTTGAAATGTCCGTTTGCAGATACTACAGAAAGAGTGTTTCAAACATGCTCTATGAAAGGGAATGTTCAGTTCTGTGACGTGAATGCAAACATCACAAAGAAGTTCCTGAGAATGCTTCTGTCTAGATTTTATATGAAGATATCCCTTGTCCAACGAAATCCTCAAAGGTATCAAAATATCCACTTGCAGATTCTACAAAAAGAGTGCTTCAAAACTGCTCTGTCAAAATGAAGGTTCAACTCTGTTACTTGAGTACACACATCACAAGAAAGATTCTGAGAATGCTTCTGTCTAGTTTTTATGGGAAGATATTTCCTTTTTCAACATAGGCCTCAAAGCGCTCCAAACGTCCACTTCCAGGTAGTGCAGAAAGAGTGTCTCAAACCTGGTATATAACAGGGAACATTCTACTCTGTGACTTGAATGAAAACATCACAAAGCAGATTCTGAGAATGCTTCCGTCTAGATTTTATATGAAGATATTCCCGTTTCCAACGAAACCTTCAAAGCTATCCGAATATCCACCTGCAGATTCTACAAAAAGAGTGTTTCCAAAATGCCGTATCAAAACAAAGGTTCAACTCTGTTAGTTGAGAACACACATGGCAAATAAGTTTCTGAGAATGCTTCTGTCTAGTTTTTACTTGAAGATATTTCCTTTCTCACCATAGGCCTGAAAGCGCTTGAAACGTCAGCTTGCAGATACTACAGAAAGAGTGTTTCAAACCTGCTCTATGAAAGGGAATGTTCAGTCCTGTGACTTGAAGGCAAACATCACAAAGAAGTTCCTGAGAATGCTTCTCTCTAGGTTTTATATGTAATCCCGTTTCCAACGAAATCCTCAAAGCTATCCAAATATCCACTTTCAGATTCCACAAAAAGAGTGTTTCAAAACTGCTCTGTAAAAAGAAAGGTTCATCTCTGTTAGTTGAATACACACATCACAAACAAGTTTCTGAGAATGCTTCTGTCTAGTTTTTATGGGAAGATATTTCCTTTTTCATCATAGGCCTCAAAGCGCTCCAAATGTCCACTTCCAGGTAGTGCAGAAAGCGTGTCTCAAACCTGGTATATAACAGGGAACATTCTACTCTGTGACTTGAATGAAAACATCACAAAGCAGTTTCTCAGAATGCTTCCGTCTAGATTTTATATGAAGATATTCCCGTTTCCAACGAAACCTTCAAAGCTATCCGAATATCCACCTGCAGATTCTACAAAAAGAGTATTTCCAAAATGCCGTATCAAAACAAAGGTTCCACCCTGTTAGTTGAGAACATACATGGCAAATAAGTTTCTGAGAATGCTTCTGTCTAGTTTTTACTTGAAGATATTTCCTTTCTCACCATAGGCCTGAAAGCGCTTGAAACGTCAGCTTGCAGATACTACAGAAAGAGTGTTTCAAACCTGCTCTATGAAAGGGAATGTTCAGTTCTGTGACTTGAATGCAAACATCACAAAGAAGTTCCTGAGAATGCTTCTGTCTAGATTTTATATGAAGATATCCCGTGTCCAACGAAATCCTCAAAGGTATCAAAATATCCACTTGCAGATTCCACAAAAAGACTGCTTCAAAACTGCTCTGTCAAAAGGAAGGTTCAACTCTGTTACTTGAGTACACACATCACAAGGAAGTTTCTGAGAATGCTTCTGTCTGGTTTTTAGGAGAAGATATTTCCTTTTTCAACATAGGCCTCAAAGCGCTGCAAATGTCCACTTCCAAATATTACAAAAAGAGTGTTTCAAACCTGCTGTATGAAGGGAAGTGTTCAACTCTATGAGTTGAATGCAAACATCACAGAGAAGTTTCTGAGAATGCTTCTGTCTTGATTTTATATGAAGATATTCCCGTTTCCAACGAAATCTTCAAAGCTATCCAAATATCCACTTGCAGATTCCACAAAAAGAGTGTTTCCAAAATGTTGTATCAAATGAAAGGTTCAACTCTGTTAGTTGAGGACACACATCGCAAATAAGTTTCTGAGAATGCTTCTGTCTAGTTTTTATTTGAAGATATTTCCTTTCTCACCATAGGCCTGAAAGCGTTTGAAATGTCCGTTTGCAGATACTACAGAAAGAGTGTTTCAAACATGCTCTATGAAAGGGAATGTTCAGTTCTGTGACGTGAATGCAAACATCACAAAGAAGTTCCTGAGAATGCTTCTCTCTAGATTTTATATGTAATCCCGTTTCCAACGAAATCCTCAAAGCTATCCAAATATCCACTTTCAGATTCCACAAAAAGAGTGTTTCAAAACTGCTCTGTAAAAAGAAAGGTTCATCTCTGTTAGTTGAATACACACATCAAAAACAAGTTTCTGAGAATGCTTCTGTCTAGTTTTTATGGGAAGATATTTCCTTTTTCATCATAGGCCTCAAAGCGCTGCAAATGTCCACTTCCAGGTAGTGCAGAAAGAGTGTCTCAAACCTGGTATATAACAGGGAACATTCTACTGTGTGACTTGAATGAAAACATCACAAAGCAGTTTCTGAGAATGCTTCCGTCTAGATTTTATATGAAGATATTCCCGTTTCCAACGAAACCTTCAAAGCTATCCGAATATCCACCTGCAGATTCTACAAAAAGAGTGTTTCCAAAATGCCATATCAAAACAAAGGTTCAACTCTGTTAGTTGAGAACACACATCGCAAATAAGTTTCTGAGAATGCTTCTGTCTAGTTTTTACTTGAAGATATTTCCTTTCTCACCATAGGCCTGAAAGCGCTTGAAACGTCAGCTTGCAGATACTACAGAAAGAGTGTTTCAAACCTGCTCTATGAAAGGGAATGTTCAGTTCTGTGACTTGAATGCAAACATCACAAAGAAGTTCCTGAGAATGCTTCTGTCTAGATTTTATATGAAGATATCCCGTGTCCAACGAAATCCTCAAAGGTATCAAAATATCCACTTGCAGATTCTACAAAAAGAGTGCTTCAAAACTGCTCTGTCAAAAGGAAGGTTCAACTCTGTTACTTGAGTACACACATCACAAGGAAGTTTCTGAGAATGCTTCTGTCTGGTTTTTAGGAGAAGATATTTCCTTTTTCAACATAGGCCTCAAAGCGCTGCAAATGTCCACTTCCAAATATTAGAAAAAGAGTGTTTCAAACCTGCTGTATGAAGGGAAGTGTTCAACTCTATGAGTTGAATGCAAACATCACAGAGAAGTTTCTGAGAATGCTTCTGTCTTGATTTCATATGAAGATATTCCCGTTTCCAACGAAACCTTCAAAGCTATTCAAATATCCACTTGCAGATTCTACAAAAAGAGTGTTTCCAAAATGTTGTATCAAAAGAAAGGTTCAACTCTGTTAGTTGAGGACACACATCGCAAATAAGTTTCTGAGAATGCTTCTGTCTAGTTTTTATTTGAAGATATTTCCTTTCTCACCATAGGCCTGAAAGCGTTTGAAATGTCCGTTTGCAGATACTACAGAAAGAGTGTTTCAAACATGCTCTATGAAAGGGAATGTTCAGTTCTGTGACGTGAATGCAAACATCACAAAGAAGTTGCTGAGAATGCTTCTCTCTAGATTTTATATGTAATCCCGTTTCCAACGAAATCCTCAAAGCTATCCAAATATCCACTTTCAGATTCCACAAAAAGAGTGTTTCAAAACTGCTCTGTAAAAAGAAAGGTTCATCTCTGTTAGTTGAATACACACATCACAAACAAGTTTCTGAGAATGCTTCTGTCTAGTTTTTATGGGAAGATATTTCCTTTTTCAACATAGGCCTCAAAGCGCTCCAAATGTCCACTTCCAGGTAGTGCAGAAAGAGTGTTTCAAACCTGCTCTATAAAAGGGAATATTCAACTCTGTGACTTGAATGCAAACATCACAAAGCACTTTCTGAGAATGCTCCCTCTAGATTTTATATGAAGATATTCCCGTTTCCAAGGAAATCTTCCTAGCTATCTAAATATCAACTTGCAGATTCTACTAAAGGAATGTTTCCAAAATGCTGTATCCACACAAAGGTTCAACTCTGTTAATTGAGGACATACAGCACAAAGAAGTTTCTGAGAATGCTTTCTGTCTAGTTTTTATTTGAAGATATTTCCTTTTTCACCACAGGCCTGAAAGCGCTTGAAATTTCCGCTTGCAGATACTACAGAAAGAGTGTTTCAAACCTGCTCTATGAAAGGGAATGTTCAGTTCTGTGACTTGAATGCAAACATCAAAAAGAAGTTCCTGAGAATGCTTCTCCCTAGATTTTATATGTAATCCCGTTTCCAACGAAATCCTCAAAGCTATCCAAATATCCACTTTCAGATTCCACAAAAAGAGTGTTTCAAAACTGCTCTGTAAAAAGAAAGGTTCATCTCTGTTAGTTGAATACACACATCACAAACAAGTTTCTGAGAATGCTTCTGTCTGGTTTTTAGGAGAAGATATTTCCTTTTTCAACATAGGCCTCAAAGCGCTGCAAATGTCCACTTCCAAATATTAGAAAAAGAGTGTTTCAAACCTGCTGTATGAAGGGAAGTGTTCAACTCTATGAGTTGAATGCAAACATCACAGAGAAGTTTCTGAGAATGCTTCTGTCTTGATTTCATATGAAGATATTCCCGTTTCCAACGAAACCTTCAAAGCTATCCAAATATCCACTTGCAGATTCTACAAAAAGAGTGTTTCCAAAATGTTGTATCAAAAGAAAGGTTCAACTCTGTTAGTTGAGGACACACATCGCAAATAAGTTTCTGAGAATGCTTCTGTCTAGTTTTTATTTGAAGATATTTCCTTTCTCACCACAGGCCTGAAAGCGCTTAAAACGTCCGCTTGCAGATACTACAGAAAGAGTGTTTCAAACATGCTCTATGAAAGGGAATGTTCAGTTCTGTGACTTGAATGCAAACATCACAAAGAAGTTCCTGAGAATGCTTCTCTCTAGATTTTATATGTAATCCCGTTTCCAACGAAATCCTCAAAGCTATCCAAATATCCACTTTCAGATTCCACAAAAAGAGTGTTTCAAAACTGCTCTGTAAAAAGAAAGGTTCATCTCTGTTAGTTGAATACACACATCACAAACAAGTTTCTGAGAATGCTTCTGTCTAGTTTTTATGGGAAGATATTTCGTTTTTCAACATAGGCCTCAAAGCGCTCCAAATGTCCACTTCCAGGTAGTGCAGAAAGAGTGTTTCAAACCTGCTCTATAAAAGGGAATATTCAACTCTGTGACTTGAATGCAAACATCACAAAGCACTTTCTGAGAATGCTTCTGTCTTGATTTTATATGAAGATATTCCCGTTTCCAACGAAACCTTCAAAGCTATCCAAATATCCACTTGCAGATTCTACAACAAGAGTGTTTCCAAAATGTTGTATCAAAACAAAGGTTCACCTCTGTTAGTTGAGGACACACATCGCAAATAAGTTTCTGAGAATGCTTCTGTCTAGTTTTTATTTGAAGATATTTCCTTTCTCACCATAGGCCTGAAAGCGTTTGAAATGTCCGTTTGCAGATACTACAGAAAGAGTGTTTCAAACATGCTCTATGAAAGGGAATGTTCAGTTCTGTGACTTGAATGCAAACATCACAAAGAAGTTCCTGAGAATGCTTCTGCCTAGATTTTATATGAAGATATCCCGTGTCCAACGAAATCCTCAAAGGTATCAAAATATCCACTTGCAGATTCTACAAAAAGAGTGCTTCAAAACTGCTCCGTCAAAAGGAAGGTTCAACTCTGTTATTTGAGTACACACATCACAAGGAAGTTTCTGAGAATGCTTCTGTCTGGTTTTTAGGAGAAGATATTTCCTTTTTCAACATAGGCCTCAAAGCGCTGCAAATGTCCACTTCCAAATATTACAAAAAGAGTGTTTCAAACCTGCTGTATGAAGGGAAGTGTTCAACTCTATGAGTTGAATGCAAACATCACAGAGAAGTTTCTGAGAATGCTTCTGTCTTGATTTCATATGAAGATATTCCCGTTTCCAACGAAACCTTCAAAGCTATCCAAATATCCACTTGCAGATTCTACAAAAAGAGTGTTTCCAAAATGTTGTATCAAAAGAAAGGTTCAACTCTGTTAGTTGAGGACACACATCGCAAATAAGTTTCTGAGAATGCTTCTGTCTAGTTTTTATTTGAAGATATTTCCTTTCTCACCACAGGCCTGAAAGCGCTTAAAACGTCCGCTTGCAGATACTACAGAAAGAGTGTTTTAAACCTGCTCTATGAAAGGGAATGTTCAGTTCTGTGACTTGAATGCAAACATCACAAAGAAGTTCCTGAGAATGCTTCTCTCTAGATTTTATATGTAATCCCGTTTCCAACGAAATCCTCAAAGCTATCCAAATATCCACTTTCAGATTCCACAAAAAGAGTGTTTCAAAACTGCTCTGTAAAAAGAAAGGTTCATCTCTGTTAGTTGAATACACACATCACAAACAAGTTTCTGAGAATGCTTCTGTCTAGTTTTTATGGGAAGATATTTCCTTTTTCAACATAGGCCTCAAAGCGCTCCAAACGTCCACTTCCAGGTAGTGCAGAAAGAGTGTCTCAAACCTGGTATATAACAGGGAACATTCTACTCTGTGACTTGAATGAAAACATCACAAAGCAGTTTCTGAGAATGCTTTCCGTCTAGATTTTATATGAAGATATTCCCGTTTCCAAGGAACTCTTCCTAGCTATCTAAATATCAACTTGCAGATTCTACTAAAGGAATGTTTCCAAAATGCTGTATCCACACAAAGGTTCAACTCTGTTAATTGAGGACATACAGCACAAAGAAGTTTCTGAGAATGCTTCCGTCAAGGTTTTATATGAAGATATTCCCGTTTCCAACGAAACCTTCAAAGCTATCCGAATATCCACCTGCAGATTCTACAAAAAGAGTGTTTCCAAAATGCCGTATCAAAACAAAGGTTCAACTCTGTTAGTTGAGAACACACATGGCAAATAAGTTTCTGAGAATGCTTCTGTCTAGTTTTTACTTGAAGATATTTCCTTTCTCACCATAGGCCTGAAAGCGCTTGAAACGTCAGCTTGCAGATACTACAGAAAGAGTGTTTCAAACCTGCTCTATGAAAGGGAATGTTCAGTCCTGTGACTTGAAGGCAAACATCACAAAGAAGTTCCTGAGAATGCTTCTCTCTAGGTTTTATATGTAATCCCGTTTCCAACGAAATCCTCAAAGCTATCCAAATATCCACTTTCAGATTCCACAAAAAGAGTGTTTCAAAACTGCTCTGTAAAAAGAAAGGTTCATCTCTGTTAGTTGAATACACACATCACAAACAAGTTTCTGAGAATGCTTCTGTCTAGTTTTTATGGGAAGATATTTCCTTTTTCAACATAGGCCTCAAAGCGCTCCAAACGTCCACTTCCAGGTAGTGCAGAAAGAGTGTCTCCAACCTGGTATATAACAGGGAACATTCTACTCTGTGACTTGAATGAAAACATCACAAAGCAGTTTCTGAGAATGCTTCCGTCTAGATTTTATATGAAGATATTCCCGTTTCCAACGAAACCTTCAAAGCTATCCGAATATCCACCTGCAGATTCTACAAAAAGAGTGTTTCCAAAATGCCATATCAAAACAAAGGTTCAACTCTGTTAGTTGAGAACACACATCGCAAATAAGTTTCTGAGAATGCTTCTGTCTAGTTTTTACTTGAAGATATTTCCTTTCTCACCATAGGCCTGAAAGCGCTTGAAACGTCAGCTTGCAGATACTACAGAAAGAGTGTTTCAAACCTGCTCTATGAAAGGGAATGTTCAGTCCTGTGACTTGAAGGCAAACATCACAAAGAAGTTCCTGAGAATGCTTCTCTCTAGGTTTTATATGTAATCCCGTTTCCAACGAAATCCTCAAAGCTATCCAAATATCCACTTTCAGATTCCAGAAAAAGAGTGTTTCAAAACTGCTCTGTAAAAAGAAAGGTTCATCTCTGTTAGTTGAATACACACATCACAAACAAGTTTCTGAGAATGCTTCTGTCTAGTTTTTATGGGAAGATATTTCCTTTTTCATCATAGGCCTCAAAGCGCTCCAAATGTCCACTTCCAGATAGTGCAGAAAGAGTGTCTCAAACCTGGTATATAAAAGGGAACATTCTACTCTGTGACTTGAATGAAAACATCACAAAGCAGTTTCTGAGAATGCTTCCGTCTAGATTTTATATGAAGATATTCCCGTTTCCAACGAAACCTTCAAAGGTATCCGAATATCCACCTGCAGATTCTACAAAAAGAGTGTTTCCAAAATGCCGTATCAAAACAAAGGTTCAACTCTGTTAGTTGAGAACACACATGGCAAATAAGTTTCTGAGAATGCTTCTGTCTAGTTTTTACTTGAAGATATTTCCTTTCTCACCATAGGCCTGAAAGCGCTTGAAACGTCAGCTTGCAGATACTACAGAAAGAGTGTTTCAAACCTGCTCTATGAAAGGGAATGTTCAGTTCTGTGACTTGAATGCAAACATCACAAAGAAGTTCCTGAGAATGCTTCTCTCTAGGTTTTATATGTAATCCCGTTTCCAACGAAATCCTCAAAGCTATCCAAATATCCACTTTCAGATTCCACAAAAAGAGTGTTTCAAAACTGCTCTGTAAAAAGAAAGGTTCATCTCTGTTAGTTGAATACACACATCACAAACAAGTTTCTGAGAATGCTTCTGTCTAGTTTTTATGGGAAGATATTTCCTTTTTCAACATAGGCCTCAAAGCGCACCAAATATCCACTTCCAGGTAGTGCAGAAAGAGTGTTTCAAACCTGCTCTATAAAAGGGAACATTCAACTCTGTGACTTGAATGCAAACATCACAAAGCACTTTCTGAGAATGCTTCTGTCTTGATTTTATATGAAGATATTCCCGTTTCCAACGAAACCTTCAAAGCTATCCAAATATCCACTTGCAGATTCTACAAAAAGAGTGTTTCCAAAATGTTGTATCCAAACAAAGGTTCAACTCTTTTAGTTGAGAACACACATCGCAAATAAGTTTCTGAGAATGCTTCTGTCTAGTTTTTATTTGAAGATATTTCCTTTTTCACCACAGGCCTGAAAGCGCTTGAAACGTCCGCTTGTAGATACTACAGAAAGAGTGTTTCAAACCTGCACTATGAAAGGGAATGTTCAGTTCTGTGACTTGAATGCAAACATCACAAAGCAGTTTCTGAGAATGCTTCCGTCCAGATTTTATATGAAGATATTCCCGTTTCCAACGAAACCTTCAAAGCTATCCGAATATCCACCTGCAGATTCTACAAAAAGAGTGTTTCCAAAATGCCGTATCAAAACAAAGGTTCAACTCTGTTAGTTGAGAACACACATGGCAAATAAGTTTCTGAGAATGCTTCTGTCTAGTTTTTACTTGAAGATATTTCCTTTCTCACCATAGGCCTGAAAGCGCTTGAAACGTCAGCTTGCAGATACTACAGAAAGAGTGTTTCAAACCTGCTCTATGAAAGGGAATGTTCAGTCCTGTGACTTGAATGCAAACATCACAAAGAAGTTCCTGAGAATGCTTCTCCGTAGATTTTATATGTAATCCCGTTTCCAACGAAATCCGCAAAGCTATCCAAATATCCACTTTCAGATTCCACAAAAAGAGTGTTTCAAAACTGCTCTGTAAAAAGAAAGGTTCATCTCTGTTAGTTGAATACACACATCTCAAACAAGTTTCTGAGAATGCTTCCTGTCTAGTTTTTATGGGAAGATATTTCCTTTTTCATCATAGGCCTCAAAGCGCTGCAAATGTCCACTTCCAAATATTACAAAAAGAGTGTTTCAAACCTGCTGTATGAAGGGAAGTGTTCAACTCTATGAGTTGAATGCAAACATCACAGAGAAGTTTCTGAGAATGCTTCTGTCTTGATTTTATATGAAGATATTCCCGTTTCCAAGGAAACCTTCAAAGCTATTCAAATATCCACTTGCAGATTCTACAAAAAGAGTGTTTCCAAAATGTTGTATCAAAAGAAAGGTTCAACTCTGTTAGTTGAGGACACACATCGCAAATAAGTTTCTGAGAATGCTTCTGTCTAGTTTTTACTTGAAGATATTTCCTTTCTCACCATAGGCCTGAAAGCGTTTGAAATGTCCGTTTGCAGATACTACAGAAAGAGTGTTTCAAACATGCTCTATGAAAGGGAATGTTCAGTTCTGTGACGTGAATGCAAACATCACAAAGAAGTTCCTGAGAATGCTTCTCTCTAGATTTTATATGTAATCCCGTTTCCAACGAAATCCTCAAAGCTATCCAAATATCCACTTTCAGATTCCACAAAAAGAGTGTTTCAAAACTGCTCTGTAAAAAGAAAGGTTCATCTCTGTTAGTTGAATACACACATCACAAACAAGTTTCTGAGAATGCTTCTGTCTAGTTTTTATGGGAAGATATTTCCTTTTTCAACATAGGCCTCAAAGCGCTCCAAACGTCCACTTCCAGGTAGTGCAGAAAGAGTGTCTCAAACCTGGTATATAACAGGGAACATTCTACTCTGTGACTTGAATGAAAACATCACAAAGCAGTTTCTGAGAATGCTTCCGTCTAGATTTTATATGAAGATATTCCCGTTTCCAACGAAACCTTCAAAGCTATCCGAATATCCACCTGCAGATTCTACAAAAAGAGTGTTTCCAAAATGCCGTATCAAAACAAAGGTTCAACTCTGTTAGTTGAGAACACACATGGCAAATAAGTTTCTGAGAATGCTTCTGTCTAGTTTTTACTTGAAGATATTTCCTTTCTCACCATAGGCCTGAAAGCGCATGAAACGTCAGCTTGCAGATACTACAGAAAGAGTGTTTCAAACCTGCTCTATGAAAGGGAATGTTCAGTCCTGTGACTTGAAGGCAAACATCACAAAGAAGTTCCTGAGAATGCTTCTCCCTAGATTTTATATGTAATCCCGTTTATAACGAAATCCGCAAAGCTATCCAAATATCCACTTTCAGATTCCACAAAAAGAGTGTTTCAAAACTGCTCTGTAAAAAGGAAGGTTCAACTCTGTTACTTGAGTACACACATCACAAGGAAGTTTCTGAGAATGCTTCTGTCTGGTTTTTAGGAGAAGATATTTCCTTTTTCAACATAGGCCTCAAAGCGCTGCAAATGTCCACTTCCAAATATTACAAAAAGAGTGTTTCAAACCTGCTGTATGAAGGGAAGTGTTCAACTCTATGAGTTGAATGCAAACATCACAGAGAAGTTTCTGAGAATGCTTCTGTCTTGATTTTATATGAAGATATTCCCGTTTCCAACGAAACCTTCAAAGCTATCCAAATATCCACTTGCAGATACTACAAAAAGAGTGTTTCCAAAATGTTGTATCAAAAGAAAGGTTCAACTCTGTTAGTTGAGGACACACATCGCAAATAAGTTTCTGAGAATGCTTCTGTCTAGTTTTTATTTGAAGATATTTCCTTTCTCACCATAGGCCTGAAAGCGTTTGAAATGTCCGTTTGCAGATACTACAGAAAGAGTGTTTCAAACATGCTCTATGAAAGGGAATGTTCAGTTCTGTGACGTGAATGCAAACATCACAAAGAAGTTCCTGAGAATGCTTCTGTCTAGATTTTATATGAAGATATCCCGTGTCCAACGAAATCCTCAAAGGTATCAAAATATCCACTTGCAGATTCTACAAAAAGAGTGCTTCAAAACTGCTCTGTCAAAAGGAAGGTTCAACTCTGTTACTTGAGTACACACATCACAAGGAAGTTTCTGAGAATGCTTCTGTCTGGTTTTTAGGAGAAGATATTTCCTTTTTCAACATAGGCCTCAAAGCGCTGCAAATGTCCACTTCCAAATATTACAAAAAGAGTGTTTCAAACCTGCTGTATGAAGGGAAGTGTTCAACTCTATGAGTTGAATGCAAACATCACAGAGAAGTTTCTGAGAATGCTTCTGTCTTGATTTTATATGAAGATATTCCCGTTTCCAACGAAACCTTCAAAGCTATTCAAATATCCACTTGCAGATTCTACAAAAAGAGTGTTTCCAAAATGTTGTATCAAAAGAAAGGTTCAACTCTGTTAGTTGAGGACACACATCGCAAATAAGTTTCTGAGAATGCTTCTGTCTAGTTTTTATTTGAAGATATTTCCTTTCTCACCATAGGCCTGAAAGCGTTTGAAATGTCCGTTTGCAGATACTACAGAAAGAGTGTTTCAAACATGCTCTATGAAAGGGAATGTTCAGTTCTGTGACGTGAATGCAAACATCACAAAGAAGTTCCTGAGAATGCTTCTCTCTAGATTTTATATGTAATCCCGTTTCCAACGAAATCCTCAAAGCTATCCAAATATCCACTTTCAGATTCCACAAAAAGAGTGATTCAAAACTGCTCTGTAAAAAGAAAGGTTCATCTCTGTTAGTTGAATACACACATCACAAACAAGTTTCTGAGAATGCTTCTGTCTAGTTTTTTATGGGAAGATATTTCCTTTTTCATCATAGGCCTCAAAGCGCTGCAAATGTCCACTTCCAGGTAGTGCAGAAAGAGTGTCTCAAACCTGGTATATAACAGGGAACATTCTACTCTGTGACTTGAATGAAAACATCACAAAGCAGTTTCTGAGAATGCTTCCGTCTAGATTTTATATGAAGATATTCCCGTTTCCAACGAAACCTTCAAAGCTATCCGAATATCCACCTGCAGATTCTACAAAAAGAGTGTTTCCAAAATGCCATATCAAAACAAAGGTTCAACTCTGTTAGTTGAGAACACACATCGCAAATAAGTTTCTGAGAATGCTTCTGTCTAGTTTTTACTTGAAGATATTTCCTTTCTCACCATAGGCCTGAAAGCGCTTGAAACGTCAGCTTGCAGATACTACAGAAAGAGTGTTTCAAACCTGCTCTATGAAAGGGAATGTTCAGTTCTGTGACTTGAATGCAAACATCACAAAGAAGTTCCTGAGAATGCTTCTCTCTAGGTTTTATATGTAATCCCGTTTCCAACGAAATCCTCAAAGCTATCCAAATATCCACTTTCAGATTCCACAAAAAGAGTGTTTCAAAACTGCTCTGTAAAAAGAAAGGTTCATCTCTGTTAGTTGAATACACACATCACAAACAAGTTTCTGAGAATGCTTCTGTCTAGTTTTTATGGGAAGATATTTCCTTTTTCAACATAGGCCTCAAAGCGCTCCAAACGTCCACTTCCAGGTAGTGCAGAAAGAGTGTCTCAAACCTGGTATATAACAGGGAACATTCTACTCTGTGACTTGAATGAAAACATCACAAAGCAGTTTCTGAGAATGCTTCCGTCCAGATTTTATATGAAGATATTCCCGTTTCCAACGAAACCTTCAAAGCTATCCGAATATCCACCTGCAGATTCTACAAAAAGAGTGTTTCCAAAATGCCGCATCAAAACAAAGGTTCAACTCTGTTAGTTGAGAACACACATGGCAAATAAGTTTCTGAGAATGCTTCTGTCTAGTTTTTACTTGAAGATATTTCCTTTCTCACCATAGGCCTGAAAGCGCTTGAAACGTCAGCTTGCAGATACTACAGAAAGAGTGTTTCAAACCTGCTCTATGAAAGGGAATGTTCAGTCCTGTGACTTGAAAGCAAACATCACAAAGTAGTTCCTGAGAATGCTTCTCTCTAGGTTTTATATGTAATCCCGTTTCCAACGAAATCCGCAAAGCTATCCAAATATCCACTTTCAGATTCCACAAAAAGAGTGTTTCAAAACTGCTCTGTAAAAAGAAAGGTTCATCTGTGTTAGTTGAATACACACATCACAAACAAGTTTCTGAGAATGCTTCTGTCTAGTTTTTATGGGAAGATATTACCTTTTTCATCATAGGCCTCAAAGCGCTGCAAATGTCCACTTCCAAATATTACAAAAAGAGTGTTTCAAACCTGCTGTATGAAGGGAAGTGTTCAACTCTATGAGTTGAATGCAAACATCACAGAGAAGTTTCTGAGAATGCTTCTGTCTTGATTTTATATGAAGATATTCCCGTTTCCAACGAAACCTTCAAAGCTATTCAAATATCCACTTGCAGATTCTACAAAAAGAGTGTTTCCAAAATGTTGTATCAAAAGAAAGGTTCAACTCTGTTAGTAGAGGACACACATCGCAAATAAGTTTCTGAGAATGCTTCTGTCTAGTTTTTATTTGAAGATATTTCCTTTCTCACCATAGGCCTGAAAGCGTTTGAAACGTCCGTTTGCAGATACTACAGAAAGAGTGTTTCAAACATGCTCTATGAAAGGGAATGTTCAGTTCTGTGACTTGAATGCAAACATCACAAAGAAGTTCCTGAGAATGCTTCTCTCTAGGTTTTATATGTAATCCCGTTTCCAACGAAATCCTCAAAGCTATCCAAATATCCACTTTCAGATTCCACAAAAAGAGTGTTTCAAAACTGCTCTGTAAAAAGAAAGGTTCATCTCTGTTAGTTGAATACACACATCACAAACAAGTTTCTGAGAATGCTTCTGTCTAGTTTTTATGGGAAGATATTTCCTTTTTCAACATAGGCCTCAAAGCGCTCCAAATGTCCACTTCCAGGTAGTGCAGAAAGAGTGTTTCAAACCTGCTCTATAAAAGGGAACATTCAACTCTGTGACTTGAATGCAAACATCACAAAGCACTTTCTGAGAATGCTTCCGTCTAGATTTTATATGAAGATATTCCCGTTTCCAAGGAAATCTTCCTAGCTATCTAAATATCAACTTGCAGATTCTACTAAAGGAATGTTTCCAAAATGCTGTATCCACACAAAGGTTCAACTCTGTTAATTGAGGACATACAGCACAAAGAAGTTTCTGAGAATGCTTCTGTTTAGTTTTTATTTGAAGATATTTCCTTTCTCACCATAGGCCTGAAAGCGTTTGAAATGTCCGTTTGCAGATACTACAGAAAGAGTGTTTCAAACATGCTCTATGAAAGGGAATGTTCAGCTCTGTGACGTGAATGCAAACATCACAAAGAAGTTCCTGAGAATGCTTCTCTCTAGATTTTATATGTAATCCCGTTTCCAACGAAATCCTCAAAGCTATCCAAATATCCACTTTCAGATTCCACAAAAAGAGTGTTTCAAAACTGCTCTGTAAAAAGAAAGGTTCATCTCTGTTAGTTGAATACACACATCACAAACAAGTTTCTGAGAATGCTTCTGTCTAGTTTTTATGGGAAGATATTTCCTTTTTCAACATAGGCCTCAAAGCGCTCCAAACGTCCACTTCCGGGTAGTGCAGAAAGAGTGTCTCAAACCTGGTATATAACAGGGAACATTCTACTCTGTGACTTGAATGAAAACATCACAAAGCAGTTTCTGAGAATGCTTCCGTCTAGATTTTATATGAAGATATTCCCGTTTCCAACGAAACCTTCAAAGCTATCCGAATATCCACCTGCAGATTCTACAAAAAGAGTGTTTCCAAAATGCCGTATCAAAACAAAGGTTCAACTCTGTTAGTTGAGAACACACATGGCAAATAAGTTTCTGACAATGCTTCTGTCTAGTTTTTACTTGAAGATATTTCCTTTCTCACCATAGGCCTGAAAGAGCTTGAAACGTCAGCTTGCAGATACTACAGAAAGAGTGTTTCAAACCTGCTCTATGAAAGGGAATGTTCAGTTCTGTGACTTGAATGCAAACATCACAAAGAAGTTCCTGAGAATTCTTCTCTCTAGGTTTTATATGTAATCCCGTTTCCAACGAAATCCTCAAAGCTATCCAAATATCCACTTTCAGATTCCACAAAAAGAGTGTTTCAAAACTGCTCTGTAAAAAGAAAGGTTCATCTCTGTTAGTTGAATACACACATCACAAACAAGTTTCTGAGAATGCTTCTGTCTAGTTTTTATGGGAAGATATTTCCTTTTTCAACATAGGCCTCAAAGCGCTCCAAATGTCCACTTCCAGGTAGTGCAGAAAGAGTGTTTCAAACCTGCTCTATAAAAGGGAATATTCAACTCTGTGACTTGAATGCAAACATCACAAAGCACTTTCTGAGAATGCTTCTGTCTTGATTTTATATGAAGATATTCCCGTTTCCAACGAAACCTTCAAAGCTATCCAAATATCCACTTGCAGATTCTACAAAAAGAGTGTTTCCAAAATGTTGTATCAAAAGAAAGGTTCAACTCTGTTAGTTGAGGACACACATCGCAAATAAGATTCTGAGAATGCTTCTGTCTAGTTTTTATTTGAAGATATTTCCTTTCTCACCATAGGCCTGAAAGCGTTTGAAATGTCCGTTTGCAGATACTACAGAAAGAGTGTTTCAAACATGCTCTATGAAAGGGAATGTTCAGTTCTGTGACGTGAATGCAAACATCACAAAGAAGTTCCTGAGAATGCTTCTCTCTAGATTTTATATGTAATCCCGTTTCCAACGAAATCCTCAAAGCTATCCAAATATCCACTTTCAGATTCCACAAAAAGAGTGTTTCAAAACTGCTCTGTAAAAAGAAATGTTTATCTCTGTTACTTGAATAAACACATCACAAACAAGTTTCTGAGAATGCTTCTGTCTAGTTTTTATGGGAAGATATTTCCTTTTTCATCATAGGCCTCAAAGCGCTCCAAATGTCCACTTCCAGATAGTGCAGAAAGAGTGTCTCAAACCTGGTATATAAAAGGGAACATTCTACTCTGTGACTTCAATGAAAACATCACAAAGCAGTTTCTGAGAATGCTTCCGTCTAGATTTTATATGAAGATATTCCCGTTTCCAACGAAACCTTCAAAGCTATCCGAATATCCACCTGCAGATTCTACAAAAAGAGTGTTTCCAAAATGCCGTATCAAAACAAAGGTTCAACTCTGTTAGTTGAGAACACACATGGCAAATAAGTTTCTGAGAATGCTTCTGTCTAGTTTTTACTTGAAGATATTTCCTTTCTCACCATAGGCCTGAAAGCGCTTGAAACGTCAGCTTGCAGATACTACAGAAAGAGTTTTTCAAACCTGCTCTATGAAAGGGAATGTTCAGTTCTGTGACTTGAATGCAAACATCACAAAGAAGTTCCTGAGAATGCTTCTGTCTAGATTTTATATGAAGATATCCCGTTTCCAAAGAAATCCTCAAATGTATCCAAATATCTACTTCCAGATTCTACAAGAAGACTGTTTCAAAACTGCGCTGTAAAAAGAAAGGTTCATCTCTGTTAGTTGAATACACACATCACAAACAAGTTTCTGAGAATGCTTCTGTCTAGTTTTTATGGGAAGATATTTCCTTTTTCATCATAGGCCTCAAAGCGCTCCAAATGTCCACTTCCAGATAGTGCAGAAAGAGTGTCTCAAACCTGGTATATAAAAGGGAACATTCTACTCTGTGACTTCAACGAAAACATCACAAAGCAGTTTCTGAGAATGCTTCCGTCTAGATTTTATATGAAGATATTCCCGTTTCCAACGAAACCTTCAAAGCTATCCGAATATCCACCTGCAGATTCTACAAAAAGAGTGTTTCCAAAATGCCATATCAAAACAAAGGTTCAACTCTGTTAGTTGAGAACACACATCGCAAATAAGTTTCTGAGAATGCTTCTGTCTAGTTTTTACTTGAAGATATTTCCTTTCTCACCATAGGCCTGAAAGCGCTTGAAACGTCCGCTTGCAGATACTACAGAAAGAGTGTTTCAAACATGCTCTATGAAAGGGAATGTTCAGTTCTGTGACTTGAATGCAAACATCACAAAGAAGTTCCTGAGAATGCTTCTCTCTACATTTTATATGTAATCCCGTTTCCAACGAAATCCTCAAAGCTATCCAAATATCCACTTTCAGATTCCACAAAAAGAGTGTTTCAAAACTGCTCTGTAAAAAGAAAGGTTCATCTCTGTTAGTTGAATACACACATCACAAACAAGTTTCTGAGAATGCTTCTGTCTAGTTTTTATGGGAAGATATTTCCTTTTTCAACATAGGCCTCAAAGCGCTCCAAATGTCCACTTCCAGGTAGTGCAGAAAGAGTGTTTCAAACCTGCTCTATAAAAGGGAACATTCAACTCTGTGACTTGAATGCAAACATCACAAAGCACTTTCTGAGAATGCTTCCGTCTAGATTTTATATGAAGATATTCCCGTTTCCAAGGAACTCTTCCTAGCTATCTAAATATCAACTTGCAGATTCTACTAAAGGAATGTTTCCAAAATGCTGTATCCACACAAAGGTTCAACTCTGTTAATTGAGGACATACAGCACAAAGAAGTTTCTGAGAATGCTTCTGTCTAGATTTTATATGAAGATATCCCGTGTCCAACGAAATCCTCAATGGTATCAAAATATCCACTTGCAGATTCTACAAAAAGAGTGCTTCAAAACTGCTCTGTAAAAAGAAAGGTTCATCTCTGTTAGTTGAATACACACATCACAAACAAGTTTCTGAGAATGCTTCTGTCTAGTTTTTATGGGAAGATATTTCCTTTTTCAACATAGTCCTCAAAGCACTCCAAATGTCCACTTCCATGTAGTGCACAGAGTGTTTCAAACCTGCTCTATGAAAGGAAGTGTTCAACTCTATGAGTTGAATGCAAACATCACAGAGAAGTTTCTGAGAATGCTTCCGTCTAGATTTTATGTGAAGATATTCCCGTTTCCAAGGAAATCTTCCTAGCTATCTAAATATCAACTTGCAGATTCTACTAAAGGAGTGTTTCCAAAGTGCTGTATCCGGACAAAGGTTCAACTCTGTTAATTGAGGACATACAGCACAAAGAAGTTTCTGAGAATGCTTCTGTCTAGTTTTTACTTGAAGATATTTCCTTTCTCACCATAGGCCTGAAAGCGCTTGAAACGTCAGCTTGCAGATACTACAGAAAGAGTGTTTCAAACCTGCTCTATGAAAGGGAATGTTCAGTTCTGTGACTTCAATGCAAACATCACAAAGAAGTTCCTGAGAATGCTTCTCTCTAGGTTTTATATGTAATCCCGTTTCCAACGAAATCCTCAAAGCTATCCAAATATCCACTTTCAGATTCCACAAAAAGAGTGTTTCAAAACTGCTCTGTAAAAAGAAAGGTTCATCTCTGTTAGTTGAATACACACATCACAAACAAGTTTCTGAGAATGCTTCTGTCTGGTTTTTAGGAGAAGATATTTCCTTTTTCAACATAGGCCTCAAAGCGCTGCAAATGTCCACTTCCAAATATTAGAAAAAGAGTGTTTCAAACCTGCTGTATGAAGGGAAGTGTTCAACTCTATGAGTTGAATGCAAACATCACAGAGAAGTTTCTGAGAATGCTTCTGTCTTGATTTCATATGAAGATATTCCCGTTTCCAACGAAACCTTCAAAGCTATCCAAATATCCACTTGCAGATTCTACAAAAAGAGTGTTTCCAAAATGTATCAAAAGAAAGGTTCAACTCTGTTAGTTGAGGACACACATCGCAAATAAGTTTCTGAGAATGCTTCTGTCTAGTTTTTATTTGAAGATATTTCTTTTCTCACCACAGGCCTGAAAGCGCTTAAAACGTCCGCTTGCAGATACTACAGAAAGAGTGTTTCAAACCTGCTCTATGAAAGGGAATGTTCAGTTCTGTGACTTGAATGCAAACATCACAAAGAAGTTCCTGAGAATGCTTCTCCCTAGATTTTATATGTAATCCCGTTTCCAACGAAATCCGCAAAGCTATCCAAATATCCACTTTCAGATTCCACAAAAAGAGTGTTTCAAAACTGCTCTGTAAAAAGAAAGGTTCATCTCTGTTAGTTGAATACACACATCACAAACAAGTTTCTGAGAATGCTTCTGTCTAGTTTTTATGGGAAGATATTACCTTTTTCATCATAGGCCTCAAAGCGCTGCAAATGTCCAGTTCCAAATATTACAAAAAGAGTGTTTCAAACCTGCTGTATGAAGGGAAGTGTTCAACTCTATGAGTTGAATGCAAACATCACAGAGAAGTTTCTGAGAATGCTTCTGTCTTGATTTTATATGAAGATATTCCCGTTTCCAAAGAAACCTTCAAAGCTATCCAAATATCCACTTGCAGATTCTACAAAAAGAGTGTTTCCAAAATGTTGTATCAAAAGAAAGGTTCAACTCTGTTAGTTGAGGAAACACATCGCAAACAAGTTTCTGAGAATGCTTCTGTCTAGTTTTTATTTGAAGATATTTCCTTTCTCACCATAGGCCTGAAAGCGTTTGAAATGTCCGTTTGCAGATACTACAGAAAGAGTGTTTCAAACATGCTCTATGAAAGGGAATGTTCAGTTCTGTGACGTGAATGCAAACATCACAAAGAAGTTCCTGAGAATGCTTCTGTCTAGATTTTATATGAAGATATCCCGTTTCCAAAGAAATCCTCAAAGGTGTCCAAATATCTACTTCCAGATTCTACAAAAAGACTGTGTCAAAACGGCTCTGTCAAAAGTAAGGTTCAACTCTGTTACTTGAGTACACACATCACAAGGAAGTTTCTGAGAATGCTTCTGTCTGGTTTTTAGGAGAAGATATTTCCTTTTTCAAATAGGCCTCAAAGCGCTGCAAATGTCCACTTCCAAATATTACAAAAAGAGTGTTTCAAACCTGCTCTATGAAGGGAAGTGTTCAACTCTATGAGTTGAATGCAAACATCACAGAGAAGTTTCTGAGAATGCTTCCGTCTAGATTTTATATGAAGATATTCCCGTTTCCAACGAAACCTTCAAAGCTATCCGAATATCCACCTGCAGATTCTACAAAAAGAGTGTTTCCAAAATTCCGTATCAAAACAAAGGTTCAACTCTGTTAGTTGAGAACACACATGGCAAATAAGTTTCTGAGAATGCTTTCTGTCTAGTTTTTATTTGAAGATATTTCCTTTCTTACCATAGGCCTGAAAGCGCTTGTAACGTCCGCTTGCAGATACTACAGAAGGAGTGTTTCAAACATGCTCTATGAAAGGGAATGTTCAGTTCTGTGACGTGAATGCAAACATCACAAAGAAGTTCCTGAGAATGCTTCTCTCTAGATTTTATATGTAATCCCGTTTCCAACGAAATCCTCAAAGCTATCCAAATATCCACTTTCAGATTCCACAAAAAGAGTGTTTCAAAACTGCTCTGTAAAAAGAAAGGTTCATCTCTGTTAGTTGAATACACACATCACAAACAAGTTTCTGAGAATGCTTCTGTCTAGTTTTTATGGGAAGATATTTCCTTTTTCATCATAGGCCTCAAAGCGCTCCAAATGTCCACTTCCAGATAGTGCAGAAAGAGTGTCTCAAACCTGGTATATAAAAGGGAACATTCTACTCTGTGACTTCAATGAAAACATCACAAAGCAGTTTCTGAGAATGCTTCCGTCTAGATTTTATATGAAGATATTCCCGTTTCCAACGAAACCTTCAAAGCTATCCGAATATCCACCTGCAGATTCTACAAAAAGAGTGTTTCCAAAATGCCGTATCAAAACAAAGGTTCAACTCTGTTAGTTGAGAACACACATGGCAAATAAGTTTTCTGAGAATGCTTTCTGTCTAGTTTTTATTTGAAGATATTTCCTTTCTCACCATAGGCCTGAAAGCGCTTGAAATGTCCGTTTGCAGATACTACAGAAAGAGTGTTTCAAACATGCTCTATGAAAGGGAATGTTCAGTTCTGTGACGTGAATGCAAACATCACAAAGAAGTTCCTGAGAATGCTTCTCTCTAGATTTTATATGTAATCCCGTTTCCAACGAAATCCTCACAGCTGTCCAAATATCCACTTTCAGATTCCACAAAAAGAGTGTTTCAAAACTGCTCTGTAAAAAGAAAGGTTCATCTCTGTTAGTTGAATACACACATCACAAACAAGTTTCTGAGAATGCTTCTGTCTAGTTTTTATGGGAAGATATTTCCTTTTTCATCATAGGCCTCAAAGCGCTCCAAATGTCCACTTCCAGGTAGTGCAGAAAGAGTGTCTCAAACCTGGTATATAACAGGGAACATTCTACTCTGTGACTTGAATGAAAACATCACAAAGCAGTTTCTGAGAATGCTTCCGTCTAGATTTTATATGAAGATATTCCCGTTTCCAACGAAAGCTTCAAAGCTATCCGAATATCCACCTGCAGATTCTACAAAAAGAGTGTTTCCAAAATGCCATATCAAAACAAAGGTTCAACTCTGTTAGTTGAGAACACACATCGCAAATAAGTTTCTGAGAATGCTTCTGTCTAGTTTTTACTTGAAGATATTTCCTTTCTCACCATAGGCCTGAAAGCGCTTGAAACGTCAGCTTGCAGATACTACAGAAAGAGTGTTTCAAACCTGCTCTATGAAAGGGAATGTTCAGTTCTGTGACTTGAATGCAAACATCACAAAGAAGTTCCTGAGAATGCTTCTCTCTAGGTTTTATATGTAATCCCGTTTCCAACGAAATCCTCAAAGCTATCCAAATATCCACTTTCAGATTCCACAAAAAGAGTGTTTCAAAACTGCTCTGTAAAAAGAAAGGTTCATCTCTGTTAGTTGAATACACACATCACAAACAAGTTTCTGAGAATGCTTCTGTCTAGTTTTTATGGGAAGATATTTCCTTTTTCAACATTGGCCTCAAAGCGCTCCAAACGTCCACTTCCGGGTAGTGCAGAAAGAGTGTCTCAAACCTGGTATATAACAGGGAACATTCTACTCTGTGACTTGAATGAAAACATCACAAAGCAGTTTCTGAGAATGCTTCCGTCTAGATTTTATATGAAGATATTCCCGTTTCCAACGAAACCTTCAAAGCTATCCGAATATCCACCTGCAGATTCTACAAAAAGAGTGTTTCCAAAATGCCGTATCAAAACAAAGGTTCAACTCTGTTAGTTGAGAACACACATGGCAAATAAGTTTCTGAGAATGCTTCTGTCTAGTTTTTACTTGAAGATATTTCCTTTCTCACCATAGGCCTGAAAGCGCTTGAAACGTCAGCTTGCAGATACTACAGAAAGAGTGTTTCAAACCTGCTCTATGAAAGGGAATGTTCAGTCCTGTGACTTGAAGGCAAACATCACAAAGAAGTTCCTGAGAATGCTTCTCCCTAGATTTTATATGTAATCCCGTTTCCAACGAAATCCGCAAAGCTATCCAAATATCCACTTTCAGATTCCACAAAAAGAGTGTTTCAAAACTGCTCTGTAAAAAGAAAGGTTCATCTCTGTTAGTTGAATACACACATCACAAGGAAGTTTCTGAGAATGCTTCTGTCTGGTTTTTAGGAGAAGATATTTCCTTTTTCAACATAGGCCTCAAAGCGCTGCAAATGTCCACTTCCAAATATTAGAAAAAGAGTGTTTCAAACCTGCTGTATGAAGGGAAGTGTTCAACTCTATGAGTTGAATGCAAACATCACAGAGAAGTTTCTGAGAATGTTTCTGTCTTGATTTTATATGAAGATATTCCCGTTTCCAACGAAACCTTCAAAGCTATCCAAATATCCACTTGCAGATTCTACAAAAAGAGTGGTTCCAAAATGTTGTATCAAAAGAAAGGTTCAACTCTGTTAGTTGAGGACACACATCACAAATAAGTTTCTGAGAATGCTTCTGTCTAGTTTTTATTTGAAGATATTTCCTTTCTCACCATAGGCCTGAAAGCGTTTGAAATGTCCGTTTGCAGATACTACAGAAAGAGTGTTTCAAACATGCTCTATGAAAGGGAATGTTCAGTTCTGTGACGTGAATGCAAACATCACAAAGAAGTTCCTGAGAATGCTTCTCTCTAGATTTTATATGTAATCCCGTTTCCTACGAAATCCTCAAAGCTATCCAAATATGCACTTTCAGATTCCACAAAAAGAGTGTTTCAAAACTGCTCTGTAAAAAGAAAGGTTCATCTCTGTTAGTTGAATACACACATCACAAACAAGTTTCTGAGAATGCTTCTGTCTAGTTTTTATGGGAAGATATTTCCTTTTTCATCATAGGCCTCAAAGCGCTCCAAATGTCCACTTCCAGATAGTGCAGAAAGAGTGTCTCAAACCTGGTATATAAAAGGGAACATTCTAATCTGTGACTTGAATGAAAACATCACAAAGCAGTTTCTGAGAATGCTTCCGTCTAGATTTTATATGAAGATATTCCCGTTTCCAACGAAACCTTCAAAGCTATCCGAATATCCACCTGCAGATTCTACAAAAAGAGTGTTTCCAAAATGCCGTATCAAAACAAAGGTTCAACTCTGTTAGTTGAGAACACACATGGCAAATAAGTTTCTGAGAATGCTTCTGTCTAGTTTTTACTTGAAGATATTTCCTTTCTCACCATAGGCCTGAAAGCGCTTGAAACGTCTGCTTGCAGATACTACAGAAAGAGTGTTTCAAACATGCTCTATGAAAGGGAATGTTCAGTTCTGTGACTTGAATGCAAACATCACAAAGAAGTTCCTGAGAATGCTTCTCTCTAGATTTTATATGTAATCCCGTTTCCAACGAAATCCTCAAAGCTATCCAAATATCCACTTTCAGATTCCACAAAAAGAGTGTTTCAAAACTGCTCTGTAAAAAGAAAGGTTCATCTCTGTTAGTTGAATACACACATCACAAACAAGTTTCTGAGAATGCTTCTGTCTGGTTTTTAGGAGAAGATATTTCCTTTTTCAACATAGGCCTCAAAGCGCTGCAAATGTCCACTTCCAAATATTAGAAAAAGAGTGTTTCAAACCTGCTGTATGAAGGGAAGTGTTCAACTCTATGAGTTGAATGCAAACATCACAGAGAAGTTTCTGAGAATGCTTCTGTCTTGATTTCATATGAAGATATTCCCGTTTCCAACGAAACCTTCAAAGCTATCCAAATATCCACTTGCAGATTCTACAAAAAGAGTGTTTCCAAAATGTTGTATCAAAAGAAAGGTTCAACTCTGTTAGTTGAGGACACACATCGCAAATAAGTTTCTGAGAATGCTTCTGTCTAGTTTTTATTTGAAGATATTTCCTTTCTCACCACAGGCCTGAAAGCGCTTAAAACGTCCGCTTGCAGATACTACAGAAAGAGTGTTTCAAACCTGCTCTATGAAAGGGAATGTTCAGTTCTGTGACTTGAATGCAAACATCACAAAGAAGTTCCTGAGAATGCTTCTCCCTAGATTTTATATGTAATCCCGTTTCCAACGAAATCCGCAAAGCTATCCAAATATCCACTTTCAGATTCCACAAAAAGAGTGTTTCAAAACTGCTCTGTAAAAAGAAAGGTTCATCTCTGTTAGTTGAATACACACATCACAAACAAGTTTCTGAGAATGCTTCTGTCTAGTTTTTATGGGAAGATATTACCTTTTTCATCATAGGCCTCAAAGCGCTGCAAATGTCCACTTCCAAATATTACAAAAAGAGTGTTTCAAACCTGCTGTATGAAGGGAAGTGTTCAACTCTATGAGTTGAATGCAAACATCACAGAGAAGTTTCTGAGAATGCTTCTGTCTTGATTTTATGTGAAGATATTCCCGTTTCCAACGAAACCTTCAAAGCTATTCAAATATCCACTTGCAGATTCTACAAAAAGAGTGTTTCCAAAATGTTGTATCAAAAGAAAGGTTCAACTCTGTTAGTTGAGGACACACATCGCAAATAAGTTTCTGAGAATGCTTCTGTCTAGTTTTTATTTGAAGATATTTCCTTTCTCACCACAGGCCTGAAAGCGCTTAAAACGTCCGCTTGCAGATACTACAGAAAGAGTGTTTCAAACCTGCTCTATGAAAGGGAATGTTCAGTTCTGTGACTTGAATGCAAACATCACAAAGAAGTTCCTGAGAATTCTTCTCTCTAGATTTTATATGTAATCCCGTTTCCAACGAAATCCTCAAAGCTATCCAAATATCCACTTTCAGATTCCACAAAAAGAGTGTTTCAAAACTGCTCTGTAAAAAGAAAGGTTCATCTCTGTTAGTTGAATACACACATCACAAACAAGTTTCTGAGAATGCTTCTGTCTAGTTTTTATGGGAAGATATTTCCTTTTTCATCATAGGCCTCAAAGCGCTGCAAATGTCCACTTCCAGGTAGTGCAGAAAGAGTGTCTCAAACCTGGTATATAACAGGGAACATTCTACTCTGTGACTTGAATGCAAACATCACAAAGCAGTTTCTGAGAATGCTTCTGTCTTGATTTTATATGAAGATATTCCCGTTTCCAATGAAACCTTCAAAGCTATCCAAATATCCACTTGCAGATTCTACAAAAAGAGTGTTTCCAAAATGTTGTATCAAAACAAAGGTTCAACTCTGTTAGTTGAGGACACACATCGCAAATAAGTTTCTGAGAATGCTTCTGTCTAGTTTTTATTTGAAGATATTTCCTTTCTTACCATAGGCCTGAAAGTGCTTGAAATGTCCGTTTGCAGATACTAGAGAAAGAGTGTTTCAAACATGCTCTATGAAAGGGAATGTTCAGTTCTGTGACGTGAATGCAAACATCACAAAGAAGTTCCTGAGAATGCTTCTCTCTAGGTTTTATATGTAATCCCGTTTCCAACGAAATCCTCAAAGCTATCCAAATATCCACTTTCAGATTCCACAAAAAGAGTGTTTCAAAACTGCTCTGTAAAAAGAAAGGTTCATCTCTGTTAGTTGAATACACACATCACAAACAAGTTTCTGAGAATGCTTCTGTCTAGTTTTTATGGGAAGATATTTCGTTTTTCAACATAGGCCTCAAAGCGCTCCAAATGTCCACTTCCAGGTAGTTCAGAAAGAGTGTTTCAAACCTGCTCTATAAAAGGGAATATTGAACTCTGTGACTTGAATGCAAACATCACAAAGCACTTTCTGAGAATGCTTCTGTCTTGATTTTATATGAGGATATTCCCGTTTCCAACGAAACCTTCAGAGCTATCCAAATATCCACCTGCAGATTCTACAAAAAGAGTGTTTCCAAAATGCTGTATCAAAACAAAGGTTCAACTCTGTTAGTTGAGAACACACATCGCAAATAAGTTTCTGAGAATGCTTCTGTCTGGTTTTTAGGAGAAGATATCTCCTTTTTCACCATAGGCTTCAAAGCGCTGCCAATGTCCACTTCCAAATATTACAAAAAGAGTATTTCAAACCAGCTCTATGAAAGGAAGTGTTCAACTCTATGAGTTGAATGCAAGCATCACAGAGAAGTTTCTGAGAATGCTTCTCCCTAGATTTTATATGTAATCCCGTTTCCAACGAAATCCTCAAAGCTATCTAAATATCCACTTTCAGATTCCACAAAAAGAGTGTTTCAAAACTGCTCTGTAAAAAGAAAGGTTCATCTCTGTTAGTTGAATACACACATCACAAACAAGTTTCTGAGAATGCTTCTGTCTAGTTTTTATGGGAAGATATTACCTTTTTCATCATAGGCCTCAAAGCGCTGCAAATGTCCACTTCCAAATATTACAAAAAGAGTGTTTCAAACCTGCTGTATGAGGGGAAGTGTTCAACTCTATGAGTTGAATGCAAACATCACAGAGAAGTTTCTGAGAATGCTTCTGTCTTGATTTTATATGAAGATATTCCCGTTTCCAACGAAACCTTCAAAGCTATTCAAATATCCACTTGCAGATTCTACAAAAAGAGTGTTTCCAAAATGTTGTATCAAAAGAAAGGTTCAACTCTGTTAGTTGAGGACACACATCGCAAATAAGTTTCTGAGAATGCTTCTGTCTAGTTTTTACTTGAAGATATTTCCTTTCTCACCATAGGCCTGAAAGCGTTTGAAATGTCCGTTTGCAGATACTACAGAAAGAGTGTTTCAAACATGCTCTATGAAAGGGAATGTTCAGTTCTGTGACGTGAATGCAAACATCACAAAGAAGTTCCTGAGAATGCTTCTGTCTAGATTTTATATGAAGATATCCCGTGTCTAACGAAATCCTCAAAGGTATCAAAATATCCACTTGCAGATTCTACAAAAAGAGTGCTTCAAAACTGCTCTGTCAAAATGAAGGTTCAACTCTGTTACTTGAGTACACACATCACAAGGAAGTTTCTGAGAATGCTTCTGTCTGGTTTTTAGGAGAAGATATTTCCTTTTTCAACATAGGCCTCAAAGCGCTGCAAATGTCCACTTCCAAATATTACAAAAAGAGTGTTTCAAACCTGCTGTATGAAGGGAAGTGTTCAACTCTATGAGTTGAATGCAAACATCACAGAGAAGTTTCTGAGAATGCTTCTGTCTTGATTTCATATGAAGATATTCCCGTTTCCAACGAAACCTTCAAAGCTATCCAAATATCCACTTGCAGATTCTACAAAAAGAGTGTTTCCAAAATGTTGTATCAAAAGAAAGGTTCAACTCTGTTAGTTGAGGACACACATCGCAAATAAGTTTCTGAGAATGCTTCTGTCTAGTTTTTATTTGAAGATATTTCCTTTCTCACCACAGGCCTGAAAGCGCTTAAAACGTCCGCTTGCAGATACTACAGAAAGAGTGTTTCAAACATGCTCTATGAAAGGGAATGTTCAGTTCTGTGACTTGAATGCAAACATCACAAAGAAGTTCCTGAGAATGCTTCTGTCTAGATTTTATATGAAGATATCCCGTGTCCAACGAAATCCTCAAAGGTATCAAAATATCCACTTGCAGATTCTACAAAAAGAGTGCTTCAAAACTGCTCTGTCAAAAGGAAGGTTCAACTCTGTTACTTGAGTACACACATCACAAGGAAGTTTCTGAGAATGCTTCCTGTCTGGTTTTTAGGAGAAGATATTTCCTTTTTCAACATAGGCCTCAAAGCGCTGCAAATGTCCACTTCCAAATATTAGAAAAAGAGTGTTTCAAACCTGCTGTATGAAGGGAAGTGTTCAACTCTATGAGTTGAATGCAAACATCACAGAGAAGTTTCTGAGAATGCTTCTGTCTTGATTTCATATGAAGATATTCCCGTTTCCAACGAAACCTTCAAAGCTATCCAAATATCCACTTGCAGATTCTACAAAAAGTGTGTTTCCAAAATGTTGTATCAAAAGAAAGGTTCAACTCTGTTAGTTGAGGACACACATCGCAAATAAGTTTCTGAGAATGCTTCTGTCTAGTTTTTATTTGAAGATATTTCCTTTCTCACCACAGGCCTGAAAGCGCTTAAAACGTCCGCTTGCAGATACTACAGAAAGAGTGTTTCAAACCTGCTCTATGAAAGGGAATGTTCAGTTCTGTGACTTGAATTCAAACATCACAAAGAAGTTCCTGAGAATGCTTCTCCCTAGATTTTATATGTAATCCCGTTTCCAACGAAATCCGCAAAGCTATCCAAATATCCACTTTCAGATTCCACAAAAAGAGTGTTTCAAAACTGCTCTGTAAAAAGAAAGGTTCATCTCTGTTAGTTGAATACACACATCACAAACAAGTTTCTGAGAATGCTTCTGTCTAGTTTTTATGGGAAGATATTACCTTTTTCATCATAGGCCTCAAAGCGCTGCAAATGTCCACTTCCAAATATTACAAAAAGAGTGTTTCAAACCTGCTGTATGAAGGGAAGTGTTCAACTCTATGAGTTGAATGCAAACATCACAGAGAAGTTTCTGAGAATGCTTCTGTCTTGATTTTATATGAAGATATTCCCGTTTCCAACGAAACCTTCAAAGCTATCCAAATATCCACTTGCAGATTCCACAAAAAGAGTGTTTCCAAAATGTTGTATCAAAAGAAAGGTTCAACTCTGTTAGTTGAGGACACACATCGCAAATAAGTTTCTGAGAATGCTTCTGTCTAGTTTTTACTTGAAGATATTTCCTTTCTCACCATAGGCCTGAAAGCGCTTGAAACGTCAGCTTGCAGATACTACAGAAAGAGTGTTTCAAACCTGCTCTATGAAAGGGAATGTTCAGTTCTGTGACTTGAATGCAAACATCACAAAGAAGTTCCTGAGAATGCTTCTGTCTAGATTTTATATGAAGATATCCCGTGTCCAACGAAATCCTCAAAGGTATCAAAATATCCACTTGCAGATTCTACAAAAAGAGTGCTTCAAAACTGCTCTGTCAAAAGGAAGGTTCAACTCTGTTACTTGAGTACACACATCACAAGGAAGTTTCTGAGAATGCTTCTGTCTGATTTTTAGGAGAAGATATTTCCCTTTTCAACATAGGCCTCAAAGCGCTGCAAATGTCCACTTCCAAATATTAGAAAAAGAGTGTTTCAAACCTGCTGTATGAAGGGAAGTGTTCAACTCTATGAGTTGAATGCAAACATCACAGAGAAGTTTCTGAGAATGCTTCTGTCTTGATTTCATATGAAGATATTCCCGTTTCCAACGAAACCTTCAAAGCTATCCAAATATCCACTTGCAGATTCTACAAAAAGAGTGTTTCCAAAATGTTGTATCAAAAGAAAGGTTCAACTCTGTTAGTTGAGGACACACATCGCAAATAAGTTTCTGAGAATGCTTCTGTCTAGTTTTTACTTGAAGATATTTCCTTTCTCACCATAGGCCTGAAAGCGCTTGAAACGTCCGCTTGCGGATACTACAGAAAGAGTGTTTCAAACATGCTCTATGAAAGGGAATGTTCAGTTCTGTGACTTGAATGCAAACATCACAAAGCACTTTCTGAGAATGCTTCCGTCTAGATTTTATATGAAGATATCCCGTTTCCAAAGAAATCCTCAAATGTATCCAAATATCTACTTCCAGATTCTACAAAAAGACTGTTTCAAAACGGCTCTGTCCAAAGTAAGGTTCAACTCTGTTACTTGAGTACACACATCACAAGGAAGTTTCTGAGAATGCTTCTGTCTGGTTTTTAGGAGAAGATATTTCCTTTTTCAACATAGGCCTCAAAGCGCTGCAAATGTCCACTTCCAAATATTACAAAAAGAGTGTTTCAAACCTGCTGTATGAAGGGAAGTGTTCAACTCTATGAGTTGAATGCAAACATCACAGAGAAGTTTCTGAGAATGCTTCTGTCTTGATTTCATATGAAGATATTCCCGTTTCCAACGAAACCTTCAAAGCTATCCAAATATCCACTTGCAGATTCTACAAAAAGAGTGTTTCCAAAATGTTGTATCAAAAGAAAGGTTCAACTCTGTTAGTTGAGGACACACATCGCAAATAAGTTTCTGAGAATGCTTCTGTCTAGTTTTTATTTGAAGATATTTCCTTTCTCACCACAGGCCTGAAAGCGCTTAAAACGTCCGCTTGCAGATACTACAGAAAGAGTGTTTCAAACCTGCTCTATGAAAGGGAATGTTCAGTTCTGTGACTTGAATGCAAACATCACAAAGAAGTTCCTGAGAATGCTTCTGTCTAGATTTTATATGAAGATATCCCGTGTCCAACGAAATCCTCAAAGGTATCAAAATATCCACTTGCAGATTCTACAAAAAGAGTGCTTCAAAACTGCTCTGTCAAAAGGAAGGTTCAACTCTGTTACTTGAGTACACACATCACAAGGAAGTTTCTGAGAATGCTTCTGTCTGGTTTTTAGGAGAAGATATTTCCTTTTTCAACATAGGCCTCAAAGCGCTGCAAATGTCCACTTCCAAATATTAGAAAAAGAGTGTTTCAAACCTGCTGTATGAAGGGAAGTGTTCAACTCTATGAGTTGAATGCACACATCACAGAGAAGTTTCTGAGAATGCTTCTGTCTTGATTTCATATGAAGATATTCCCGTTTCCAACGAAACCTTCAAAGCTATCCAAATATCCACTTGCAGATTCTACAAAAAGAGTGTTTCCAAAATGTTGTATCAAAAGAAAGGTTCAACTCTGTTAGTTGAGGACACACATCGCAAATAAGTTTCTGAGAATGCTTCTGTCTAGTTTTTATTTGAAGATATTTCCTTTCCCACCACAGGCCTGAAAGCGCTTAAAACGTCCGCTTGCAGATACTACAGAAAGAGTGTTTCAAACCTGCTCTATGAAAGGGAATGTTCAGTTCTGTGACTTGAATGCAAACATCACAAAGAAGTTCCTGAGAATGCTTCTCCCTAGATTTTATATGTAATCCCGTTTCCAACGAAATCCGCAAAGCTATCCAAATATCCACTTTCAGATTCCACAAAAAGAGTGTTTCAAAACTGCTCTGTAAAAAGAAAGGTTCATCTCTGTTAGTTGAATACACACATCACAAACAAGTTTCTGAGAATGCTTCTGTCTAGTTTTTATGGGAAGATATTACCTTTTTCATCATAGGCCTCAAAGCGCTGCAAATGTCCACTTCCAAATATTACAAAAAGAGTGTTTCAAACCTGCTGTATGAAGGGAAGTGTTCAACTCTATGAGTTGAATGCAAACATCACAGAGAAGTTTCTGAGAATGCTTCTGTCTTGATTTTATATGAAGATATTCCCGTTTCCAACGAAACCTTCAAAGCTATCCAAATATCCACTTGCAGATTCTACAAAAAGAGTGTTTCCAAAATGTTGTATCAAAAGAAAGGTTCAACTCTATTAGTTGAGGACACACATCGCAAATAAGTTTCTGAGAATGCTTCTGTCTAGTTTTTATTTGAAGATATTTCCTTTCTCACCATAGGGCTGAAAGCGTTTGAAATGTCCGTTTGCAGATACTACAGAAAGAGTGTTTCAAACGTGCTCTATGAAAGGGAATGTTCAGTTCTGTGACGTGAATGCAAACATCACAAAGAAGTTCCTGAGAATGCTTCTCTCTAGATTTTATATGTAATCCCGTTTCCAACGAAATCCTCAAAGCTATCCAAATATCCACTTTCAGATTCCACAAAAAGAGTGTTTCAAAACTGCTCTGTAAAAAGAAAGGTTCATCTCTGTTAGTTGAATACACACATCACAAACAAGTTTCTGAGAATGCTTCTGTCTAGTTTTTATGGGAAGATATTTCCTTTTTCATCATAGGCCTCAAAGCGCTGCAAATGTCCACTTCCAGGTAGTGCAGAAAGAGTGTCTGAAACCTGGTATATAACAGGGAAGATTCTACTCTGTGACTTGAATGAAAACATCACAAAGCAGTTTCTGAGAATGCTTCTGTCTTGATTTTATATGAAGATATTCCGGTTTCCAACGAAACCTTCAAAGCTATCCAAATATCCACTTGCAGATCCTACAAAAAGAGTGTTTCCAAAACGTTGTATCCAAACAAAGGTTCAACTCTTTTAGTTTTGAACACACATCGCAAATAAGTTTCTGAGAATGCTTCTGTCTAGTTTTTATTTGAAGATATTTCCTTTTTCAACACAGGCCTGAAAGCGCTTGAAACGTCCGCTTGCATATACTACAGAAAGAGTGTTTCAAACCTGCTCTATGAAAGGGAATGTTCAGTTCTGTGACTTGAATGCAAACATCACAAAGAAGTTCCTGAGAATGCTTCTCCCTAGATTTTATATGTAATCCCGTTTCCAACGAAATCCGCAAAGCTATCCAAATATCCACTTTCAGATTCCACAAAAAGAGTGTTTCAAAACTGCTCTGTAAAAAGAAAGGTTCATCTCTGTTAGTTGAATACACACATCACAAACAAGTTTCTAAGAATGCTTCTGTCTAGTTTTTATGGGAAGATATTTCCTTTTTCATCATAGGCCTCAAAGCGCTGCAAATGTCCACTTCCAAATATTACAAAAAGAGTGTTTCAAACCTGCTGTATGAAGGGAAGTGTTCAACTCTATGAGTTGAATGCAAACATCACAGAGAAGTTTCTGAGAATGCTTCTGTCTTGATTTTATATGAAGATATTCCCGTTTCCAACGAAACCTTCAAAGCTATCCAAATATCCACTTGCAGATTCCACAAAAAGAGTGTTTCCAAAATGTTGTATCAAAAGAAAGGTTCAACTCTGTTAGTTGAGGACACACATCGCAAATAAGTTTCTGAGAATGCTTCTGTCTAGTTTTTATTTGAAGATATTTCCTTTCTCACCATAGGCCTGAAAGCGTTTGAAATGTCCGTTTGCAGATACTACAGAAAGAGTGTTTCAAACATGCTCTATGAAAGGGAATGTTCAGTTCTGTGACGTGAATGCAAACATCACAAAGAAGTTCCTGAGAATGCTTCTCTCTAGATTTTATATGTAATCCCGTTTCCAACGAAATCCTCAAAGCTATCCAAATATCCACTTTCAGATTCCACAAAAAGAGTGTTTCAAAACTGCTCTGTAAAAAGAAAGGTTCATCTCTGTTAGTTGAATACACACATCACAAACAAGTTTCTGAGAATGCTTCTGTCTAGTTTTTATGGGAAGATATTTCCTTTTTCATCATAGGCCTCAAAGCGCTCCAAATGTCCACTTCCAGGTAGTGCAGAAATAGTGTCTCAAACCTGGTATATAACAGGGAACATTCTACTCTGTGACTTGAATGAAAACATCACAAAGCAGTTTCTGAGAATGCTTCTGTCTAGTTTTTATTTGAAGATATTCCCGTTTCCAACGAAACCTTCAAAGCTATTCAAATATCCACTTGCAGATTCTACAAAAAGAGTGTTTCCAAAATGTTGTATCAAAAGAAAGGTTCAACTCTGTTAGTTGAGGACACACATCGCAAATAAGTTTCTGAGAATGCTTCTGTCTAGTTTTTATTTGAAGATATTTCCTTTCTCACCATAGGCCTGAAAGCGTTTGAAATGTCCGTTTGCAGATACTACAGAAAGAGTGTTTCAAACATGCTCTATGAAAGGGAATGTTCAGTTCTGAGACGTGAATGCAAACATCACAAAGAAGTTCCTGAGAATGCTTCTCTCTAGATTTTATATGTAATCCCGTTTCCAACGAAATCCTCAAAGGTATCCAAATATCCACTTTCAGATTCCACAAAAAGACTGTTTCAAAACTGCTCTGTAAAAAGAAAGGTTCATCTCTGTTAGTTGAATACACACATCACAAACAAGTTTCTGAGAATGCTTCTGTCTGGTTTTTAGGAGAAGATATTTCCTTTTTCAACATAGGGCCTCAAAGCGCTGCAAATGTCCACTTCCAAATATTAGAAAAAGAGTGTTTCAAACCTGCTGTATGAAGGGAAGTGTTCAACTCTATGAGTTGAATGCAAACATCACAGAGAAGTTTCTGAGAATGCTTCTGTCTTGATTTATATGAAGATATTCCCGTTTCCAACGAAACCTTCAAAGCTATCCAAATATCCACTTGCAGATTCTACAAAAAGAGTGTTTCCAAAATGTTGTATCAAAAGAAAGGTTCAACTCTGTTAGTTGAGGACACACATCGCAAATAAGTTTCTGAGAATGCTTCTGTCTAGTTTTTATTTGAAGATATTTCCTTTCTCACCACAGGCCTGAAAGCGCTTAAAACGTCCGCTTGCAGATACTACAGAAAGAGTGTTTCAAACCTGCTCTATGAAAGGGAATGTTCAGTTCTGTGACTTGAATGCAAACATCACAAAGAAGTTCCTGAGAATGCTTCTCCCTAGATTTTATATGTAATCCCGTTTCCAACGAAATCCGCAAAGCTATCCAAATATCCACTTTCAGATTCCACAAAAAGAGTGTTTCAAAACTGCTCTATAAAAAGAAAGGTTCATCTCTGTTAGTTGAATACACACATCACAAACAAGTTTCTGAGAATGCTTCTGTCTAGTTTTTATGGGAAGATATTACCTTTTTCATCATAGGCCTCAAAGCGCTGCAAATGTCCACTTCCAAATATTACAAAAAGAGTGTTTCAAACCTGCTGTATGAAGGGAAGTGTTCAACTCTATGAGTTGAATGCAAACATCACAGAGAAGTTTCTGAGAATGCTTCTGTCTTGATTTTATATGAAGATATTCCCGTTTCCAACGAAACCTTCAAAGCTATCCAAATATCCACTTGCAGATTCTACAAAAAGAGTGTTTCCAAAATGTTGTATCAAAAGAAAGGTTCAACTCTGTTAGTTGAGGACACACATCGCAAATAAGTTTCTGAGAATGCTTCTGTCTAGTTTTTATTTGAAGATATTTCCTTTCTCACCATAGGCCTGAAAGCGTTTGAAATGTCCGTTTGCAGATACTACAGAAAGAGTGTTTCAAACATGCTCTATGAAAGGGAATGTTCAGTTCTGTGACGTGAATGCATACATCACAAAGAAGTTCCTGAGAATGCTTCTCTCTAGATTTTATATGTAATCCCGTTTCCAACGAAATCCGCAAAGCTATCCAAATATCCACTTTCAGATTCCACAAAAAGAGTGTTTCAAAACTGCTCTGTAAAAAGAAAGGTTCATCTCTGTTAGTTGAATACACACATCACAAACAAGTTTCTGAGAATGCTTCTGTCTAGTTTTTATGGGAAGATATTTCCTTTTTCATCATAGGCCTCAAAGCGCTGCAAATGTCCACTTCCAAATATTACAAAAAGAGTGTTTCAAACCTGCTGTATGAAGGGAAGTGTTCAACTCTATGAGTTGAATGCAAACATCACAGAGAAGTTTCTGAGAATGCTTCTGTCTTGATTTCATATGAAGATATTCCCGTTTCCAACGAAACCTTCAAAGCTATCCAAATATCCACTTGCAGATTCTACAAAAAGAGTGTTTCCAAAATGTTGTATCAAAAGAAAGGTTCAACTCTGTTAGTTGAGGACACACATCGCAAATAAGTTTCTGAGAATGCTTCTGTCTAGTTTTTATTTGAAGATATTTCCTTTCTCACCACAGGCCTGAAAGCGCTTAAAACGTCCGCTTGCAGATACTACAGAAAGAGTGTTTCAAACCTGATCTATGAAAGGGAATGTTCAGTTCTGTGACTTGAATGCAAACATCACAAAGAAGTTCCTGAGAATGCTTCTCTCTAGGTTTTATATGTAATCCCGTTTCCAACGAAATCCTCAAAGCTATCCAAATATCCACTTTCAGATTCCACAAAAAGAGTGTTTCAAAACTGCTCTGTAAAAAGAAAGGTTCATCTCTGTTAGTTGAATACACACATCACAAACAAGTTTCTGAGAATGCTTCTGTCTAGTTTTTATGGGAAGATATTTCCTTCTTCATCATAGGCCTCAAAGCGCTCCAAATGTCCACTTCCAGGTAGTGCAGAAAGAGTGTCTCAAACCTGGTATATAACAGGGAACATTCTACTCTGTGACTTGAATGAAAACATCACAAAGCAGTTTCTGAGAATGCTTCCGTCTAGATTTTATATGAAGATATTCCCGTTTCCAAGGAAATCTTCCTAGCTATCTAAATATCAACTTGCATATCCTACTAAAGGAGTGTTTCCAAAATGCTGTATCCACACAAAGGTACAACTCTGTTAATTGAGGACATACAGCACAAAGAAGTTTCTGAGAATGCTTCTGTCTAGATTTTATATGAAGATATCCCGTTTCCAAAGAAATCCTCAAAGGTGTCCAAATATCTACTTCCAGATTCTACAAAAAGACTGTTTCAAAACGGCTCTGTCAAAAGTAAGGTTCAACTCTGTTACTTGAGTACACACATCACAAGGAAGTTTCTGAGAATGCTTCTGTCTGGTTTTTAGGAGAAGATATTTCCTTTTTCAAATAGGCCTCAAAGCGCTGCAAATGTCCACTTCCAAATATTACAAAAAGAGTGTTTCAAACCTGCTCTATGAAGGGAAGTGTTCAACTCTATGAGTTGAATGCAAACATCACAGAGAAGTTTCTGAGAATGCTTCTGTCTTGATTTTATATGAAGATATTCCCGTTAACAACGAAACCTTCAAAGCTATCCAAATATCCACTTGCAGATTCTACAAAAAGAGTGTTTCCAAAATGTTGTATCAAAACAAAGGTTCAACTCTGTTAGTTGAGGACACACATCGCAAATAAGTTTCTGAGAATGCTTCTGTCTAGTTTTTATTTGAAGATATTTCCTTTCTTACCATAGGCCTGAAAGCGCTTGAAATGTCCGTTTGCAGATACTACAGAAAGAGTGTTTCAAACATGCTCTATGAAAGGGAATGTTCAGTTCTGTGACGTGAATGCAAACATCACAAAGAAGTTCCTGAGAATGCTTCTCTCTAGATTTTATATGTAATCCCGTTTCCAACGAAATCCTCAAAGCTATCCAAATATCCACTTTCAGATTCCACAAAAAGAGTGTTTCAAAACTGCTCTGTAAAAAGAAAGGTTCATCTCTGTTAGTTGAATACACACATCACAAACAAGTTTCTGAGAATGCTTCTGTCTAGTTTTTATGGGAAGATATTTCCTTTATCATCATAGGCCTCAAAGCGCTCCAAATGTCCACTTCCAGATAGTGCATAAAGAGTGTCTCAAACCTGGTGTATAAAAGCGAAGATTCTACTCTGTGACTTGAATGAAAACATCACAAAGCAGTTTCTGAGAATGCTTCCGTCTAGATTTTATATGAAGATATTCCCGTTTCCAACGAAACCTTCAAAGCTATCCGAATATCCACCTGCAGATTCTACAAAAAGAGTGTTTCCAAAATGCCGTATCAAAACAAAGGTTCAACTCTGTTAGTTGAGAACACACATGGCAAATAAGTTTCTGAGAATGCTTCTGTCTAGTTTTTACTTGAAGATATTTCCTTTCTCACCGTAGGCCTGAAAGCGCTTGAAACGTCAGCTTGCAGATACTACAGAAAGAGTGTTTCAAACATGCTCTATGAAAGGGAATGTTCAGTCCTGTGACTAGAAGGCAAACATCACAAAGAAGTTCCTGAGAATGCTTCTCTCTAGGTTTTATATGTAATCCCGTTTCCAACGAAATCCTCAAAGCTATCCAAATATCCACTTTCAGATTCCACAAAAAGAGTGTTTCAAAACTGCTCTGTAAAAAGAAAGGTTCATCTCTGTTAGTTGAATACACACATCACAAACAAGTTTCTGAGAATGCTTCTGTCTGGTTTTTAGGAGAAGATATTTCCTTTTTCAACATAGGCCTCAAAGCGCTGCAAATGTCCACTTCCAAATATTAGAAAAAGAGTGTTTCAAACCTGCTGTATGAAGGGAAGTGTTCAACTCTATGAGTTGAATGCAAACATCACAGAGAAGTTTCTGAGAATGCTTCTGTCTTGATTTTATATGAAGATATTCCCGTTTCCAACGAAAGCTTCAAAGCGATCCAAATATCCACTTGCAGATTCTACAAAAAGAGTGTTTCCAAAATGTTGTATCAAAAGAAAGGTTCAACTCTGTTAGTTGAGGACACACATCGCAAATAAGTTTCTGAGAATGCTTCTGTCTAGTTTTTATTTGAAGATATTTCCTTTCTCACCATAGGCCTGAAAGCGTTTGAAATGTCCGTTTGCAGATACTACAGAAAGAGTGTTTCAAACATGCTCTATGAAAGGGAATGTTCAGTTCTGTGACGTGAATGCAAACATCACAAAGAAGTTCCTGAGAATGCTTCTCTCTAGATTTTATATGTAATCCCGTTTCCAACGAAATCCTCAAAGCTATCCAAATATCCACTTTCAGATTCCACAAAAAGAGTGTTTCAAAACTGCTCTGTAAAAAGAAAGGTTCATCTCTGTTAGTTGAATACACACATCACAAACAAGTTTCTGAGAATGCTTCTGTCTGGTTTTTAGAAGATATTTCCTTTTTCAACATAGGCCTCAAAGCGCTGCAAATGTCCACTTCCAAATATTAGAAAAAGAGTGTTTCAAACCTGCTGTATGAAGGGAAGTGTTCAACTCTATGAGTTGAATGCAAACATCACAGAGAAGTTTCTGAGAATGCTTCTGTCTTGATTTCATATGAAGATATTCCCGTTTCCAACGAAACCTTCAAAGCTATCCAAATATCCACTTGCAGATTCTACAAAAAGAGTGTTTCCAAAATGTTGTATCAAAAGAAAGGTTCAACTCTGTTAGTTGAGGACACACATCGCAAATAAGTTTCTGAGAATGCTTCTGTCTAGTTTTTACTTGCAGAAATTTCCTTTCTCACCATACGCCTGAAAGCGCTTGAAACGTCAGCTTGCAGATACTACAGAAAGAGTGTTTCAAACCTGCTCTATGAAAGGGAATGTTCAGTTCTGTGACTTGAATGCAAACATCGCAAAGAAGTTCCTGAGAATGCTTCTCTCTAGGTTTTATATGTAATCCCGTTTCCAACGAAATCCGCAAAGCTATCCAAATATCCACTTTCAGATTCCACAAAAAGAGTGTTTCAAAACTGCTCTGTAAAAAGAAAGGTTCATCTCTGTTAGTTGAATACACACATCACAAACAAGTTTCTGAGAATGCTTCTGTCTAGTTTTTATGGGAAGATATTACCTTTTTCATCATAGGCCTCAAAGCGCTGCAAATGTCCACTTCCAAATATTACAAAAAGAGTGTTTCAAACCTGCTGTATGAAGGGAAGTGTTCAACTCTATGAGTTGAATGCAAACATCACAGAGAAGTTTCTGAGAATGCTTCTGTCTTGATTTTATATGAAGATATTCCCGTTTCCAACGAAACCTTCAAAGCTATCCAAATATCCACTTGCAGATTCTACAAAAAGAGTGTTTCCAAAATGTTGTATCAAAAGAAAGGTTCAACTCTGTTAGTTGAGGACACACATCGCAAATAAGTTTCTGAGAATGCTTCTGTCTAGTTTTTATTTGAAGATATTTCCTTTCTCACCATAGGCCTGAAAGCGTTTGAAATGTCCGTTTGCAGATACTACAGAAAGAGTGTTTCAAACATGCTCTATGAAAGGGAATGTTCAGTTCTGTGACTTGAATGCAAACATCACAAAGAAGTTCCTGAGAATGCTTCTGTCTAGATTTTATATGAAGATATCCCGTGTCCAAAGAAATCCTCAAAGGTATCAAAATATCCACTTGCAGATTCTACAAAAAGAGTGCTTCAAAACTGCTCTGTCAAAAGGAAGGTTCAACTCTGTTACTTGAGTACACACATCACAAGGAAGTTTCTGAGAATGCTTCTGTCTGGTTTTTAGGAGAAGATATTTCCTTTTTCAACATAGGCCTCAAAGCGCTGCAAATGTCCACTTCCAAATATTAGAAAAAGAGTGTTTCAAACCTGCTGTATGAAGGGAAGTGTTCAACTCTATGAGTTGAATGCAAACATCACAGAGAAGTTTCTGAGAATGCTTCTGTCTTGATTTCATATGAAGATATTCCCGTTTCCAACGAAACCTTCAAAGCTATCCAAATATCCACTTGCAGATTCTACAAAAAGAGTGTTTCCAAAATGTTGTATCAAAAGAAAGGTTCAACTCTGTTAGTTGAGGACACACATCGCAAATAAGTTTCTGAGAATGCTTCTGTCTAGTTTTTATTTGAAGATATTTCCTTTCTCACCACAGGCCTGAAAGCGCTTAAAACGTCCGCTTGCAGATACTACAGAAAGAGTGTTTCAAACCTGCTCTATGAAAGGGAATGTTCAGTTCTGTGACTTGAATGCAAACATCACAAAGAAGTTCCTGAGAATGCTTCTGTCTAGATTTTATATGAAGATATCCCGTTTCCAAAGAAATCCTCAAAGGTATCCAAATATCTACTTCCAGATTCTACAAAAAGACTGTTTCAAAACTGCTCTGTAAAAAGAAAGGTTCATCTCTGTTAGTTGAATACACACATCACAAACAAGTTTCTGAGAATGCTTCTGTCTAGTTTTTATGGGAAGATATTTCCTTTTTCATCATAGGCCTCAAAGCGCTCCAAATGTCCACTTCCAGATAGTGCAGAAAGAGTGTCTCAAACCTGGTATATAAAAGGGAACATTCTACTCTGTGACTTCAATGAAAACATCACAAAGCAGTTTCTGAGAATGCTTCCGTCTAGATTTTATATGAAGATATTCCCGTTTCCAACGAAACCTTCAAAGCTATCCGAATATGCACCTGCAGATTCTACAAAAAGAGTGTTTCCAAAATGCCGTATCAAAACAAAGGTTCAATTCTGTTAGTTGAGAACACACATGGCAAATAAGTTTCTGAGAATGCTTCTGTCTAGTTTTTACATGAAGATATTTCCTTCCGCACCATAGGCCTGAAAGCGCTTGAAACGTCCGCTTGCAGATACTACAGAAAGAGTGTTTCAAACATGCTCTATGAAAGGGAATGTTCAGTTCTGTGACTGGAATGCAAACATCACAAAGAAGTTCCTGAGAATGCTTCTCTCTAGATTTTATATGTAATCCCGTTTCCAACGAAATCCTCAAAGCTATCCAAATATCCACTTTCAGATTCCACAAAAAGAGTGTTTCAAAACTGCTCTGTAAAAAGAAAGGTTCATCTCTGTTAGTTGAATACACACATCACAAACAAGTTTCTGAGAATGCTTCTGTCTAGTTTTTATGGGAAGATATTTCCTTTTTCAACATAGGCCTCAAAGCGCTCCAAATGTCCACTTCCAGGTAGTGCAGAAAGAGTGTTTCAAACCTGCTCTATAAAAGGGAATATTCAACTCTGTGACTTGAATGCAAACATCACAAAGCACTTTCTGAGAATGCTTCCGTCTAGATTTTATATGAAGATATTCCCGTTTCCAACGAAACCTTCAAAGCTATCCGAATATCCACCTGCAGATTCTACAAAAAGAGTGTTTCCAAAATGCCGTATCAAAACAAAGGTTCAACTCTGTTAGTTGAGAACACACATGGCAAATAAGTTTCTGAGAATGCTTCTGTCTAGTTTTTACTTGAAGATATTTCCTTTCTCACCATAGGCCTGAAAGCGCTTGAAACGTCAGCTTGCAGATACTACAGAAAGAGTGTTTCAAACCTGCTCTATGAAAGGGAATGTTCAGTTCTGTGACTTGAATGCAAACATCACAAAGAAGTTCCTGAGAATGCTTCTCTCTAGGTTTTATATGTAATCCCGTTTCCAACGAAATCCTCAAAGCTATCCAAATATCCACTTTCAGATTCCACAAAAAGAGTGTTTCAAAACTGCTCTGTAAAAAGAAAGGTTCATCTCTGTTAGTTGAATACACACATCACAAACAAGTTTCTGAGAATGCTTCTGTCTAGTTTTTATGGGAAGATATTACCTTTTTCATCATAGGCCTCAAAGCGCTGCAAATGTCCACTTCCAAATATTACAAAAAGAGTGTTTCAAACCTGCTGTATGAAGGGAAGTGTTCAACTCTATGAGTTGAATGCAAACATCACAGAGAAGTTTCTGAGAATGCTTCTGTCTTGATTTTATATGAAGATATTCCCGTTTCCAACGAAACCTTCAAAGCTATTCAAATATCCACTTGCAGATTCTACAAAAAGAGTGTTTCCAAAATGTTGTATCAAAAGAAAGGTTCAACTCTGTTAGTTGAGGACACACATCGCAAATAAGTTTCTGAGAATGCTTCTGTCTAGTTTTTATTTGAAGATATTTCCTTTCTCACCGTAGGCCTGAAAGCGTTTGAAATGTCCGTTTGTAGATACTACAGAAAGAGTGTTTCAAACATGCTCTATGAAAGGGAATGTTCAGTTCTGTGACGTGAATGCAAACATCACAAAGAAGTTCCTGAGAATGCTTCTCTCTAGATTTTATATGTAATCCCGTTTCCAACGAAATCCTCAAAGCTATCCAAATATCCACTTTCAGATTCCACAAAAAGAGTGTTTCAAAACTGCTCTGTAAAAAGAAAGGTTCATCTCTGTTAGTTGAATACACACATCACAAACAAGTTTCTGAGAATGCTTCTGTCTAGTTTTTATGGGAAGATATTTCCTTTTTCATCATAGGCCTCAAAGCGCTGCAAATGTCCACTTCCAGGTAGTGCAGAAAGAGTGTCTGAAACCTGGTATATAACAGGGAAGATTCTACTCTGTGACTTGAATGAAAACATCACAAAGCAGTTTCTGAGAATGCTTCCGTCTAGATTTTATATGAAGATATTCCCGTTTCCAACGAAACCTTCAAAGCTATCCGAATATCCATCTGCAGATTCTACAAAAAGAGTGTTTCCAAAATGCCGTATCAAAACAAAGGTTCAACTCTGTTAGTTGAGAACACACATGGCAAATAAGTTTCTGAGAATGCTTCTGTCTAGTTTTTACTTGAAGATATTTCCTTTCTCACCATAGGCCTGAAAGCGCTTGAAACGTCAGCTTGCAGATACTACAGAAAGAGTGTTTCAAACCTGCTCTATGAAAGGGAACGTTCAGTTCTCTGACTTGAATGCAAACATCACAAAGAAGTTCCTGAGAATGCTTCTCTCTAGGTTTTATATGTAATCCCGTTTCCAACGAAATCCTCAAAGCTATCCAAATATCCACTTTCAGATTCCACAAAAAGAGTGTTTCAAAACTGCTCTGTAAAAAGAAAGGTTCATCTCTGTTAGTTGAATACACACATCACAAACAAGTTTCTGAGAATGCTTCTGTCTAGTTTTTATGGGAAGATATTTCCTTTTTCATCATAGGCCTCAAAGCGCTGCAAATGTCCACTTCCAGGTAGTGCAGAAAGAGTGTCTGAAACCTGGTATATAACAGGGAAGATTCTACTCTGTGACTTGAATGAAAACATCACAAAGCAGTTTCTGAGAATGCTTCCGTCTAGATTTTATATGAAGATATTCCCGTTTCCAACGAAACCTTCAAAGCTATCCGAATATCCACCTGCAGATTCTACAAAAAGAGTGTTTCCAAAATGCCGTATCAAAACAAAGGTTCAACTCTGTTAGTTGAGAACACACATGGCAAATAAGTTTCTGAGAATGCTTCTGTCTAGTTTTTACTTGAAGATATTTCCTTTCTCACCATAGGCCTGAAAGCGCTTGAAACGTCAGCTTGCAGATACTACAGAAAGAGTGTTTCAAACCTGCTCTATGAAAGGGAATGTTCAGTCCTGTGACTTGAAGGCAAACATCACAAAGAAGTTCCTGAGAATGCTTCTCTCTAGGTTTTATATGTAATCCCGTTTCCAACGAAATCCTCAAAGCTATCCAAATATCCACTTTCAGATTCCACAAAAAGAGTGTTTCAAAACTGCTCTGTAAAAAGAAAGGTTCATCTCTGTTAGTTGAATACACACATCACAAACAAGTTTCTGAGAATGCTTCCTGTCTAGTTTTTATGGGAAGATATTTCCTTTTTCATCATAGGCCTCAAAGCGCTGCAAATGTCCACTTCCAAATATTACAAAAAGAGTGTTTCAAACCTGCTGTATGAAGGGAAGTGTTCAACTCTATGAGTTGAATGCAAACATCACAGAGAAGTTTCTGAGAATGCTTCTGTCTTGATTTTATATGAAGATATTCCCGTTTCCAACGAAACCTTCAAAGCTATTCAAATATCCACTTGCAGATTCTACAAAAAGAGTGTTTCCAAAATGTTGTATCAAAAGAAAGGTTCAACTCTGATAGTTGAGGACACACATCGCAAATAAGTTTCTGAGAATGCTTCTGTCTAGTTTTTATTTGAAGATATTTCCTTTCTCACCATAGGCCTGAAAGCGTTTGAAATGTCCGTTTGCAGATACTACAGAAAGAGTGTTTCAAACATGCTCTATGAAAGGGAATGTTCAGTTCTGTGACGTGAATGCAAACATCACAAAGAAGTTCCTGAGAATGCTTCTCTCTAGATTTTATATGTAATCCCGTTTCCAACGAAATCCTCACAGCTGTCAAAATATCCACTTTCAGATTCCACAAAAAGAGTGTTTCAAAACTGCTCTGTAAAAAGAAAGGTTCATCTCTGTTAGTTGAATACACACATCACAAACAAGTTTCTGAGAATGCTTCTGTCTAGTTTTTATGGGAAGATATTTCCTTTTTCATCATAGGCCTCAAAGCGCTCCAAATGTCCACTTCCAGATAGTGCAGAAAGAGTGTCTCAAACCTGGTATATAAAAGGGAACATTCTACTCTGTGACTTGAATGAAAACATCACAAAGCAGTTTCTGAGAATGCTTCCGTCTAGATTTTATATGAAGATATTCCCGTTTCCAACGAAACCTTCAAAGCTATCCGAATATCCACCTGCAGATTCTACAAAAAGAGTGTTTCCAAAATGCCGTATCAAAACAAAGGTTCAACTCTGTTAGTTGAGAACACACATGGCAAATAAGTTTCTGAGAATGCTTCTGTCTAGTTTTTACTTGAAGATATTTCCTTTCTCACCATAGGCCTGAAAGCGCTTGAAACGTCCGCTTGCAGATACTACAGAAAGAGTATTTCAAACCTGCTCTATGAAAGGGAATGTTCAGTTCTGTGACTTGAATGCAAACATCACAAAGAAGTTCCTGAGAATGCTTCTCTCTAGATTTTATATGTAATCCCGTTTCCAACGAAATCCTCAAAGCTATCCAAATATCCACTTTCAGATTCCACAAAAAGAGTGTTTCAAAACTGCTCTGTAAAAAGAAAGGTTCATCTCTGTTAGTTGAATACACACATCACAAACAAGTTTCTGAGAATGCTTCTGTCTAGTTTTTATGGGAAGATATTTCCTTTTTCATCATAGGCCTCAAAGCGCTCCAAATGTCCACTTCCAGATAGTGCAGAAAGAGTGTCTCAAACCTGGTATATAAAAGGGAACATTCTACTCTGTGGCTTGAATGAAAACATCACAAAGCAGTTTCTGAGAATGCTTCCGTCTAGATTTTATATGAAGATATTCCCGTTTCCAACGAAACCTTCAAAGCTATCCGAATATCCACCTGCAGATTCTACAAAAAGAGTGTTTCCAAAATGCCGTATCAAAACAAAGGTTCAACTCTGTTAGTTGAGAACACACATGGCAAATAAGTTTCTGAGAATGCTTCTGTCTAGTTTTTATTTGAAGATATTTCCTTTCTCACCATAGGCCTGAAAGCGCTTGAAATGTCCGTTTGCAGATACTACAGAAAGAGTGTTTCAAACATGCTCTATGAAAGGGAATGTTCAGTTCTGTGACGTGAATGCAAACATCACAAAGAAGTTCCTGAGAATGCTTCTCTCTAGATTTTATATGTAATCCCGTTTCCTACGAAATCCTCAAAGCTATCCAAATATGCACTTTCAGATTCCACAAAAAGAGTGTTTCAAAACTGCTCTGTAAAAAGAAAGGTTCATCTCTGTTAGTTGAATACACACATCACAACCAAGTTTCTGAGAATGCTTCTGTCTAGTTTTTATGGGAAGATATTACCTTTTTCATCATAGGCCACAAAGCGCTGCAAAAGTCCACTTCCAAATATTACAAAAAGAGTGTTTCAAACCTGCTGTATGAAGGGAAGTGTTCAACTCTATGAGTTGAATGCAAACATCACAGAGAAGTTTCTGAGAATGCTTCTGTCTTGATTTTATATGAAGATATTCCCGTTTCCAACGAAACCTTCAAAGCTATTCAAATATCCACTTGCAGATTCTACAAAAAGAGTGTTTCCAAAATGTTGTATCAAAAGAAAGGTTCAACTCTGTTAGTTGAGGACACACATCGCAAATAAGTTTCTGAGAATGCTTCTGTCTAGTTTTTACTTGAAGTAAATTTCCTTTCTCACCATAGGCCTGAAAGCGTTTGAAATGTCCGTTTGCAGATACTACAGAAAGAGTGTTTCAAACATGCTCTATGAAAGGGAATGTTCAGTTCTGTGACGTGATTGCAAACATCACAAAGAAGTTCCTGAGAATGCTTCTCTAGGTTTTATATGTAATCCCGTTTCCAACGAAATCCTCAAAGCTATCCAAATATCCACTTTCAGATTCCACAAAAAGAGTGTTTCAAAACTGCTCTGTAAAAAGAAAGGTTCATCTCTGTTAGTTGAATACACACATCACAAACAAGTTTCTGAGAATGCTTCTGTCTAGTTTTTATGGGAAGATATTTCCTTTTTCAACATAGGCCTCAAAGCGCTCCAAACATCCACTTCCAGGTAGTGCAGAAAGAGTGTCTCAAACCTGGTATATAACAGGGAACATTCTACTCTGTGACTTGAATGAAAACATCACAAAGCAGTTTCTGAGAATGCTTCCGTCTAGATTTTATATGAAGATATTCCCGTTTCCAACGAAACCTTCAAAGCTATCCGAATATCCACCTGCAGATTCTACAAAAAGAGTGTTTCCAAAATGCCGTATCAAAACAAAGGTTCAACTCTGTTAGTTGAGAACACACATGGCAAATAAGTTTCTGAGAATGCTTCTGTCTAGTTTTTACTTGAAGATATTTCCTTTCTCACCATAGGCCTGAAAGCGCTTGAAACGTCAGCTTGCAGATACCACAGAAAGAGTGTTTCAAACCTGCTCTATGAAAGGGAATGTTCAGTTCTGTGACTTGAATGCAAACATCACAAAGAAGTTCCTGAGAATGCTTCTCTCTAGGTTTTATATGTAATCCCGTTTCCAACGAAATCCTCAAAGCTATCCAAATATCCACTTTCAGATTCCACAAAAAGAGTGTTTCAAAACTGCTCTGTAAAAAGAAAGGTTCATCTCTGTTAGTTGAATACACACATCACAAACAAGTTTCTGAGAATGCTTCTGTCTAGTTTTTATGGGAAGATATTTCCTTTTTCAACATAGGCCTCAAAGCGCTCCAAATGTCCACTTCCAGGTAGTGCAGAAAGAGTGTTTCAAACCTGCTCTATAAAAGGGAACATTCAACTCTGTGACTTGAATGCAAACATCACAAAGCACTTTCTGAGAATGCTTCCGTCTAGATTTTATATGAAGATATTCCCGTTTCCAAGGAACTCTTCCTAGCTATCTAAATATCAACTTGCAGATTCTACTAAAGGAATGTTTCCAAAATGCTGTATCCACACAAAGGTTCAACTCTGTTAATTGAGGACATACAGCACAAAGAAGTTTCTGAGAATGCTTCTGTCTAGATTTTATATGAAGATAACCCGTGTCCAACGAAATCCTCAATGGTATCAAAATATCCACTTGCAGATTCTACAAAAAGAGTGCTTCAAAACTGCTCTGTAAAAAGAAAGGTTCATCTCTGTTAGTTGAATACACACATCACAAACAAGTTTCTGAGAATGCTTCTTTCTAGTTTTTATGTGAAGATATTACCTTTTTCATCATAGGCTTCAAAGCGCTGCAAAAGTCCACTTCCAAATATTAGAAAAAGAGTGTTTCAAACCTGCTGTATGAAGGGAAGTGTTCAACTCTATGAGTTGAATGCAAACATCACAGAGAAGTTTCTGAGAATGCTTCTGTCTTGATTTTATATGAAGATATTCCCGTTTCCAACGAAACCTTCAAAGCTATCCAAATATCCACTTGCAGATTCCACAAAAAGAGTGTTTCCAAAATGTTGTATCAAAAGAAAGGTTCAACTCTGTTAGTTGAGGACACACATCGCAAATAAGTTTCAGAGAATGCTTCTGTCTACTTTTTATTTGAAGATATTTCCTTTCTCACCATAGGCCTGAAAGCGTTTGAAATGTCCGTTTGCAGATACTACAGAAAGAGTGTTTCAAACATGCTCTATGAAAGGGAATGTTCAGTTCTGTGACGTGAATGCAAACATCACAAAGAAGTTCCTGAGAATGCTTCTCTCTAGATTTTATATGTAATCCCGTTTCCAACGAAATCCTCAAAGCTATCCAAATATCCACTTTCAGATTCCACAAAAAGAGTGTTTCAAAACTGCTCTGTAAAAAGAAAGGTTCATCTCTGTTAGTTGAATACACACATCACAAACAAGTTTCTGAGAATGCTTCTGTCTAGTTTTTATGGGAAGATATTTCCTTTTTCAACATAGGCCTCAAAGCGCTCCAAACGTCCACTTCCAGGTAGTGCAGAAAGAGTGTCTCAAACCTGGTATATAACAGGCAACATTCTACTCTGTGACTTGAATGAAAACATCACAAAGCAGTTTCTGAGAATGCTTCCGTCTAGATTTTATATGAAGATATTCCCGTTTCCAACGAAACCTTCAAAGCTATCCGAATATCCACCTGCAGATTCTACAAAAAGAGTGTTTCCAAAATGCCGTATCAAAACAAAGGTTCAACTCTGTTAGTTGAGAACACACATGGCAAATAAGTTTCTGAGAATGCTTCTGTCTAGTTTTTACTTGAAGATATTTCCTTTCTCACCATAGGCCTGAAAGCGCTTGAAACGTGAGCTTGCAGATACTACAGAAAGAGTGTTTCAAACCTGCTCTATGAAAGGGAATGTTCAGTCCTGTGACTTGAAGGCAAACATCACAAAGAAGTTCCTGAGAATGCTTCTCTCTAGGTTTTATATGTAATCCCGTTTCCAACGAAATCCTCAAAGCTATCCAAATATCCACTTTCAGATTCCACAAAAAGAGTGTTTCAAAACTGCTCTGTAAAAAGAAAGGTTCATCTCTGTTAGTTGAATACACACATCACAAACAAGTTTCTGAGAATGCTTCTGTCTGGTTTTTAGGAGAAGATATTTCCTTTTTCAACATAGGCCTCAAAGCGCTGCAAATGTCCACTTCCAAATGTTACAAAAAGAGTGTTTCAAACCTGCTGTATGAAGGGAAGTGTTCAACTCTATGAGTTGAATGCAAACATCACAGAGAAGTTTCTGAGAATGCTTCTGTCTTGATTTTATATGAAGATATTCCCGTTTCCAACGAAACCTTCAAAGCTATTCAAATATCCACTTGCAGATTGTACAAAAAGAGTGTTTCCAAAATGTTGTATCAAAAGAAAGGTTCAACTCTGTTAGTTGAGGACACACATCGCAAATAAGTTTCTGAGAATGCTTCTGTCTAGTTTTTATTTGAAGATATTTCCTTTCTCACCATAGGCCTGAAAGCGTTTGAAATGTCCGTTTGTAGATACTACAGAAAGAGTGTTTCAAACATGCTCTATGAAAGGGAATGTTCAGTTCTGTGACGTGAATGCAAACATCACAAAGAAGTTCCTGAGAATGCTTCTCTCTAGATTTTATATGTAATCCCGTTTCCAACGAAATCCTCAAAGCTATCCAAATATCCACTTTCAGATTCCACAAAAAGAGTGTTTCAAAACTGCTCTGTAAAAAGAAAGGTTCATCTCTGTTAGTTGAATACACACATCACAAACAAGTTTCTGAGAATGCTTCTGTCTAGTTTTTATGGGAAGATATTTCCTTTTTCATCATAGGCCTCAAAGCGCTGCAAATGTCCACTTCCAGGTAGTGCAGAAAGAGTGTCTCAAACCTGGTATATAACAGGGAACATTCTACTCTGTGACTTGAATGAAAACATCACAAAGCAGTTTCTGAGAATGCTTCCGTCTAGATTTTATATGAAGATATTCCCGTTTCCAACGAAACCTTCAAAGCTATCCGAATATCCACCTGCAGATTCTACAAAAAGAGTGTTTCCAAAATGCCATATCAAAACAAAGGTTCAACTCTGTTAGTTGAGAACACACATGGCAAATAAGTTTCTGAGAATGCTTCTGTCTAGTTTTTACTTGAAGATATTTCCTTTCTCACCATAGGCCTGAAAGCGCTTGAAACGTCAGCTTACAGATACTACAGAAAGAGTGTTTCAAACCTGCTCTATGAAAGGGAATGTTCAGTTCTGTGACTTGAATGCAAACATCACAAAGAAGTTCCTGAGAATGCTTCTCTCTAGGTTTTATATGTAATCCCGTTTCCAACGAAATCCTCCAAGCTATCCAAATATCCACTTTCAGATTCCACAAAAAGAGTGTTTCAAAACTGCTCTGTAAAAAGAAAGGTTCATCTCTGTTAGTTGAATACACACATCACAAACAAGTTTCTGAGAATGCTTCTGTCTAGTTTTTATGGGAAGATATTTCCTTTTTCAACATAGGCCTCAAAGCGCTCCAAACGTCCACTTCCAGGTAGTGCAGAAAGAGTGTCTCAAACCTGGTATATAACAGGGAACATTCTACTCTGTGACTTGAATGAAAACATCACAAAGCAGTTTCTGAGAATGCTTCCGTCTAGATTTTATATGAAGATATTCCCGTTTCCAACGAAACCTTCAAAGCTATCCGAATATCCACCTGCAGATTCTACAAAAAGAGTGTTTCCAAAATGCCGTATCAAAACAAAGGTTCAACTCTGTTAGTTGAGAACACACATGGCAAATAAGTTTCTGAGAATGCTTCTGTCTAGTTTTTACTTGAAGATATTTCCTTTCTCACCATAGGCCTGAAAGCGCTTGAAACGTCCGCTTGCAGATACTACAGAAAGAGTGTTTCAAACATGCTCTATGAAAGGGAATGTTCAGTTCTGTGACTTGAATGCAAACATCACAAAGAAGTTCCTGAGAATGCTTCTCTCTAGATTTTATATGTAATCCCGTTTCCAACGAAATCCTCAAAGCTATCCAAATATCCACTTTCAGATTCCACAAAAAGAGTGTTTCAAAACTGCTCTGTAAAAAGAAAGGTTCATCTCTGTTAGTTGAATACACACATCACAAACAAGTTTCTGAGAATGCTTCTGTCTAGTTTTTATGGGAAGATATTTCCTTTTTCAACATAGGCCTCAAAGCGCTCCAAACGTCCACTTCCAGGTAGTGCAGAAAGAGTGTCTCAAACCTGGTATATAACAGGGAACATTCTACTCTGTGACTTGAATGAAAACATCACAAAGCCAGTTTCTGAGAATGCTTCTGTCTAGATTTTATATGAAGATATCCCGTGTCCAACGAAATCCTCAAAGGTATCAAAATATCCACTTGCAGATTCTACAGAAAGAGTGTTTCAAAACTGCTCTGTCAAAAGGAAGGTTCAACTCTGTTACTTGAGTACACACATCACAAGGAAGTTTGTGAGAATGCTTCTGTCTGGTTTTTAGGAGAAGATATTTCCTTTTTCACCGTAGGCCTCAAAGCGCTGCCAATGTCCACTTCCAAATATTACAAAAAGGGTGTTTCATACCTGCCCTATGAAAGGAAGTGTTCCACTCTATGAGTTGAATGCAAACATCACAGAGAAGTTTCTGAGAATGCTTCTGTCTTGATTTTATGTGAAGATATTCCCGTTTCAAACGAAACCTTCAAAGGTATCCAAGTATCCACCTGCAGATTCTACCAAAAGAGTGTTTCCAAAGTGCTGTATCAAAACAAAGGATCAACTCTGTTAGTTGAGGACACACATCGCAAATAAGTTTCTGAGAATGCTTCTGTCTAGTTTTTATTTGAAGATATTTCCTTTCTCACAATAGGCCTGAAAGCGCTTGAAATGTCCGCTTGCAGATACTACAGAAAGAGTGTTTCAAACATGCTCTATGAAAGGGAATGTTCAGTTCTGTGACGTGAATGCAAACATCACAAAGAAGTTCCTGAGAATGCTTCTCTCTAGATTTTATATGTAATCCCGTTTCCAACGAAATCCTCAAAGCTATCCAAATATCCACTTTCAGATTCCACAAAAAGAGTGTTTCAAAACTGCTCTGTAAAAAGAAAGGTTCATCTCTGTTAGTTGAATACACACATCACAAACAAGTTTCTGAGAATGCTTCTGTCTAGTTTTTATGGGAAGATATTTCCTTTTTCAACATAGGCCTCAAAGCGCTCCAAATGTCCACTTCCAGATAGTGCAGAAAGAGTGTCTCAAACCTGGAATATAAAAGAGAACATTGTACTCTGTGACTTGAATGAAAACATCACAAAGCTGTTTCTGAGAATGCTTCCGTCTAGATTTTATATGAAGATACTCCCGTTTCCAACGAAACCTTCAAAGCTATCCGAATATCCACCTGCAGATTCTACCAAAAGAGTGTTTCCAAAATGCCGTATCAAAACAAAGGTTCAACTCTGTTAGTTGAGAACACACATGGCAAATAAGTTTCTGAGAATGCTTCTGTCTAGCTTTTACTTGAAGATATTTCCTTTCTCACCATAGGCCTGAAAGCGCTTGAAACGTCCGCTTGCAGATACTACAGAAAGAGTGTTTCAAACATGCTCTATGAAAGGGAATGTTCAGTTCTGTGACTTGAATGCAAACATCACAAAGAAGTTCCTGAGAATGCTTCTCTCTAGGTTTTATATGTAATCCCGTTTCCAACGAAATCCGCAAAGCTATCCAAATATCCACTTTCAGATTCCACAAAAAGAGTGTTTCAAAACTGCTCTGTAAAAAGAAAGGTTCATCTCTGTTAGTTGAATACACACATCAAAAACAAGTTTCTGAGAATGCTTCTGTCTAGTTTTTATGGGAAGATATTTCCTTTTTCATCATAGGCCTCAAAGCGCTGCAAATGTCCACTTCCAGGTAGTGCAGAAAGAGTGTCTGAAACCTGGTATATAACAGGGAAGATTCTACTCTGTGACTTGAATGAAAACATCACAAAGCAGTTTCTGAGAATGCTTCCGTCTAGATTTTATATGAAGATATTCCCGTTTCCAACGAAACGTTCAAAGCTATCCGAATATCCACCTGCAGATTCTACAAAAAGAGTGTTTCCAAAATGCCATATCAAAACAAAGGTTCAACTCTGTTAGTTGAGAACACACATCGCAAATAAGTTTCTGAGAATGCTTCTGTCTAGTTTTTACTTGAAGATATTTCCTTTCTCACCATAGGCCTGAAAGCGCTTGAAACGTCCGCTTGCAGATACTACAGAAAGAGTGTTTCAAACCTGTTCTATGAAAGGGAATGTTCAGTTCTGTGACTTGAATGCAAACATCACAAAGAAGTTCCTGAGAATGCTTCTCTCTAGGTTTTATATGTAATCCCGTTTCCAACAAAATCCTCAAAGCTATCCAAATATCCACTTTCAGAATCCACAAAAAGAGTGTTTCAAAACTGCTCTGTAAAAAGAAAGGTTCATCTCTGTTAGTTGAATACACACATCACAAACAAATTTCTGAGAATGCTTCTGTCTGGTTTTTAGGAGAAGATATTTCCTTTTTCAACATAGGCCTCAAAGCGCTGCAAATGTCCACTTCCAAATATTAGAAAAAGAGTGTTTCAAACCTGCTGTATGAAGGGAAGTGTTCAACTCTATGAGTTGAATGCAAACATCACAGAGAAGTTTCTGAGAATGCATCTGTCTTGATTTCATATGAAGATATTCCCGTTTCCAACGAAACCTTCAAAGCTATCCAAATATCCACTTGCAGATTCTACAAAAAGAGTGTTTCCAAAATGTTGTATCAAAAGAAAGGTTCAACTCTGTTAGTTGAGGACACACATCGCAAATAAGTTTCTGAGAATGCTTCTGTCTAGTTTTTATTTGAAGATATTTCCTTTCTCACCATAGGCCTGAAAGCGTTTGAAATGTCCGTTTGCAGATACTACAGAAAGAGTGTTTCAAACATGCTCTATGAAAGGGAATGTTCAGTTCTGTGACGTGAATGCAAACATCACAAAGAAGTTCCTGAGAATGCTTCTCTCTAGGTTTTATATGTAATCCCGTTTCCAACGAAATCCTCAAAGCTATCCAAATATCCACTTTCAGATTCCACAAAAAGAGTGTTTCAAAACTGCTCTGTAAAAAGAAAGGTTCATCTCTGTTAGTTGAATACACACATCACAAACAAGTTTCTGAGAATGCTTCTGTCTAGTTTTTATGGGAAGATATTTCCTTTTTCATCATAGGCCTCAAAGCGCTGCAAATGTCCACTTCCAGGTAGTGCAGAAAGAGTGTCTCAAACCTGGTATATAACAGGGAACATTCTACTCTGTGACTTGAATGAAAACATCACAAAGCAGTTTCTGAGAATGCTTCCGTCTAGATTTTATATGAAGATATTCCCGTTTCCAACGAAACCTTCAAAGCTATCCGAATATCCACCTGCAGATTCTACAAAAAGAGTGTTTCCAAAATGCCATATCAAAACAAAGGTTCAACTCTGTTAGTTGAGAACACACATCGCAAATAAGTTTCTGAGAATGCTTCTGTCTAGTTTTTACTTGAAGATATTTCCTTTCTCACCATAGGCCTGAAAGCGCTTGAAATGTCCGTTTGCAGATACTACAGAAAGAGTGTTTCAAACCTGCTCTATGAAAGGGAATGTTCAGTTCTGTGACTTGAATGCAAACATCACAAAGAAGTTCCTGAGAATGCTTCTCTCTAGGTTTTATATGTAATCCCGTTTCCAACGAAATCCTCAAAGCAATCCAAATATCCACTTTCAGATTCCACAAAAAGAGTGTTTCAAAACTGCTCTGTAAAAAGAAAGGTTCATCTCTGTTAGTTGAATACACACATCACAAACAAGTTTCTGAGAATGCTTCTGTCTAGTTTTTATGGGAAGATATTTCCTTTTTCAACATAGGCCTCAAAGCGCTCCAAACGTCCACTTCCAGGTAGTGCAGAAAGAGTGTCTCAAACCTGGTATATAACAGGGAACATTCTACTCTGTGACTTGAATGCAAACATCACAAAGCAGTTTCTGAGAATGCTTCCGTCTAGATTTTATGTGAAGATATTCCCGTTTCCAAGGAAATCTTCCTAGCTATCTAAATATCAACTTGCAGATTCTACTAAAGGAGTGTTTCCAAAATGCTGTATCCACACAAAGGTTCAACTCTGTTAATTGAGGACATACAGCACAAAGAAGTTTCTGAGAATGCTTCTGTCTGGATTTTATATGAAGATATCCCGTTTCCAAAGAAATCCTCAAAGGTATCCAAATATCTACTTCCAGATTCTACAAAAAGACTGTTTCAAAACGGCTCTGTCAAAAGTAAGGTTCAACTCTGTTACTTGAGTACACACATCACAAGGAAGTTTCTGAGAATTCTTCCTGTCTGGTTTTTAGGAGAAGATATTTCCTTTTTCAACATAGGCCTCAAAGCGCTGCAAATGTCCACTTCCAAATATTACAAAAAGAGTGTTTCAAACCTGCTCTATGAAGGGAAGTGTTCAACTCTATGAGTTGAATGCAAACATCACAGAGAAGTTTCTGAGAATGCTTCTGTCTTGATTTTATATGAAGATATTCCCGTTTCCAACGAAACCTTCAAAGCTATCCAAATATCCACTTGCAGATTCTACAAAAAGAGTGGTTCCAAAATGTTGTATCAAAACAAAGGTACAACTCTGTTAGTTGAGGACGCACATCGCAAATAAGTTTCTGAGAATGCTTCTGTCTAGTTTTGCTTTGAAGATATTTCCTTTCTTACCATAGGCCTGAAAGCGCTTGAAATGTCCGTTTGCAGATACTACAGAAAGAGTGTTTCAAACATGCTCTATGAAAGGGAATGTTCAGTTCTGTGACTTGAATGCAAACATCACAAAGAAGTTCCTGAGAATGCTTCTGTCTAGATTTTATATGAAGATATCCCGTGTCCAACGAAATCCTCAAAGGTATCAAAATATCCACTTGCAGATTCTACAAAAAGAGTGCTTCAAAACTGCTCTGTCAAAAGGAAGGTTCAACTCTGTTACTTGAGTACACACATCACAAGGAAGTTTCTGAGAATGCTTCTGTCTGGTTTTTAGGAGAAGATATTTCCTTTTTCAACATAGGCCTCAAAGCGCTGCAAATGTCCACTTCCAAATATTAGAAAAAGAGTGTTTCAAACCTGCTGTATGAAGGGAAGTGTTCAACTCTATGAGTTGAATGCAAACATCACAGAGAAGTTTCTGAGAATGCTTCTGTCTTGATTTCATATGAAGATATTCCCGTTTCCAACGAAACCTTCAAAGCTATCCAAATATCCACTTGCAGATTCTACAAAAAGAGTGTTTCCAAAATGTTGTATCAAAAGAAAGGTTCAACTCTGTTAGTTGAGGACACACATCGCAAATAAGTTTCTGAGAATGCTTCTGTCTAGTTTTTATTTGAAGATATTTCCTTTCTCACCACAGGCCTGAAAGCGCTTAAAACGTCCGCTTGCAGATACTACAGAAAGAGTGTTTCAAACCTGCTCTATGAAAGGGAATGTTCAGTTCTGTGACTTGAATGCAAACATCACAAAGAAGTTCCTGAGAATGCTTCTGTCTAGATTTTATATGAAGATATCCCGTGTCCAACGAAATCCTCAAAGGTATCAAAATATCCACTTGTAGATTCTACAAAAAGAGTGCTTCAAAACTGCTCTGTCAAAATGAAGGTTCAACTCTGTTACTTGAGTACACACATCACAAGAAAGATTCTGAGAATGCTTCTGTCTGGTTTTTAGGGGAAGATATCTCCTTTTTCACCATAGGCTTCAAAGCGCTGCCAATGTCCACTTCCAAATGTTACAAAAAGAGTATTTCAAACCAGCTCTATGAAAGGAAGTGTTCAACTCTATGAGTTGAATGCAAACATCACAGAGAAGTTTCTGAGAATGCTTCTGTGTTGATTTTATATGAAGATATTCCCGTTTCCAACGAAACCTTCAAATCTATCCAAATATCCACCTGCAGATCCTACAAAAAGAGTGTTTCCAAAATGCTGTATCAAAACAAAGGTTCAACTCTGTTAGTTGAGAACACACATCGCAAATAAGTTTCTGAGAATGCTTCTGTCTAGTTTTTATTTCAAGATATTTCCTTTCTCACCATAGGCCTGAAAGCGTTTGAAATGTCCGTTTGCAGATACTACAGAAAGAGTGTTTCAAACATGCTCTATGAAAGGGAATGTTCAGTTCTGTGACGTGAATGCAAACATCACAAAGAAGTTCCTGAGAATGCTTCTCTCTAGATTTTATATGTAATCCCGTTTCCAACGAAATCCTCAAAGCTATCCAAATATCCACTTTCAGATTCCACAAAAAGAGTGTTTCAAAACTGCTCTGTAAAAAGAAAGGTTCATCTCTGTTAGTTGAATACACACATCACAAACAAGTTTCTGAGAATGCTTCTGTCTAGTTTTTATGGGAAGATATTACCTTTTTCATCATAGGCCTCAAAGCGCTGCAAATGTCCACTTCCAAATATTACAAAAAGAGTGTTTCAAACCTGCTGTATGAAGGGAAGTGTTCAACTCTATGAGTTGAATGCAAACATCACAGAGAAGTTTCTGAGAATGCTTCTGTCTTGATTTTATATGAAGATATTCCCGTTTCCAACGAAACCTTCAAAGCTATCCAAATATCCACTTGCAGATTCTACAAAAAGAGTGTTTCCAAAATGTTGTATCAAAAGAAAGGTTCAACTCTGTTAGTTGAGGACACACATCGCAAATAAGTTTCTGAGAATTCTTCTGCCCTAGTTTTTATTTGAAGATATTTCCTTTCTCACCACAGGCCTGAAAGCGCTTAAAACGTCCGCTTGCAGATACTACAGAAAGAGTGTTTCAAACCTGCTCTATGAAAGGGAATGTTCAGTTCTGTGACTTGAATGCAAACATCACAAAGAAGTTCCTGAGAATGCTTCTCCCTAGATTTTATATGTAATCCCGTTTCCAACGAAATCCGCAAAGCTATCCAAATATCCACTTTCAGATTCCACAAAAAGAGTGTTTCAAAACTGCTCTGTAAAAAGAAAGGTTCATCTCTGTTAGTTGAATACACACATCACAAACAAGTTTCTGAGAATGCTTCTGTCTAGTTTTTATGGGAAGATATTTCCTTTTTCAACATATGCCTCAAAGCGCTCCAAACGTCCACTTCCAGGTACTGCAGAAAGAGTGTCTCAAACCTGGTATATAACAGGGAACATTCTACTCTGTGACTTGAATGAAAACATCACAAAGCAGTTTCTGAGAATGCTTCCGTCTAGATTTTATATGAAGATATTCCCGTTTCCAACGAAACCTTCAAAGCTATCCGAATATCCACCTGCAGATTCTACAAAAAGAGTGTTTCCAAAATGCCGTATCCAAACAAAGGTTCAACTCTGTTAGTTGCGAACACACATGGCAAATAAGTTTCTGAGAATGCTTCTGTCTAGTTTTTATTTGAAGATATTTCCTTTCTCACCATAGGCCTGAAAGCGCTTGAAATGTCCGTTTGCAGATACTACAGAAAGAGTGTTTCAAACATGCTCTATGAAAGGGAATGTTCAGTTCTGTGACGTGAATGCAAACATCACAAAGAAGTTCCTGAGAATGCTTCTGTCTAGATTTTATATGAAGATATCCCGTGTCCAACGAAATCCTCAAAGGTATCAAAATATCCACTTGCAGATTCTACAAAAAGAGTGCTTCAAAACTGCTCTGTCAAAAGGAAGGTTCAACTCTGTAACTTGAGTACACACATCACAAGGAAGTTTCTGACAATGCTTCTGTCTGGTTTTTAGGAGAAGATATTTCCTTTTTCAACATAGGCCTCAAAGCGCTGCAAATGTCCACTTCCAAATATTAGAAAAAGAGTGTTTCAAACCTGCTGTATGAAGGGAAGGGTTCAACTCTATGAGTTGAATGCAAACATCACAGAGAAGTTTCTGAGAATGCTTCTGTCTTGATTTTATATGAAGATATTCCCGTTTCCAACGAAACCTTAAAAGCTATCCAAATATCCACCTGCAGATCCTACAAAAAGAGTGTTTCCAAAATGCTGTATCAAAACAAAGGTTCAACTCTGTTAGTTGAGGACACACATCGCAAATAAGTTTCTGAGAATGCTTCTGTCTAGTTTTTATTTGAAGATATTTCCTTTCTTACCATAGGCCTGAAAGCGCTTGAAATGTCCGTTTGCAGATACTACAGAAAGTGTTTCAAACATGCTCTATGAAAGGGAATGTTCAGTTCTGTGACGTGAATGCAAACATCACAAAGAAGTTCCTGAGAATGCTTCTCTCTAGATTTTATATGTAATCCCGTTTCCAACGAAATCCTCAAAGCTATCCAAATATCCACTTTCAGATTCCACAAAAAGAGTGTTTCAAAACTGCTCTGTAAAAAGAAAGGTTCATCTCTGTTAGTTGAATACACACATCACAAACAAGTTTCTGAGAATGCTTCTGTCTAGTTTTTATGGGAAGATATTTCCTTTTTCATCATAGGCCTCAAAGCGCTCCAAATGTCCTCTTCCAGATAGTGCAGAAAGAGTGTCTCAAACCTGGTATATAAAAGGGAACATTCTACTCTGTGACTTGAATGAAAACATCACAAAGCAGTTTCTGAGAATGCTTCCGTCTAGATTTTCTATGAAGATATTCCCGTTTCCAACGAAACCTTCAAAGCTATCCGAATATCCACCTGCAGATTCTACGAAAAGAGTGTTTCCAAAATGCCGTATCAAAACAAAGGTTCAACTCTGTTAGTTGAGAACACACATGGCAAATAAGTTTCTGAGAATGCTTCTGTCTAGTTTTTACTTGAAGATATTTCCTTTCTCACCATAGGCCTGAAAGCGCTTGAAACGTCCGCTTGCAGAAACTACAGAAAGAGTGTTTCAAACATGCTCTATGAAAGGGAATGTTCAGTTCTGTGACTTGAATGCAAACATCACAAAGAAGTTCCTGAGAATGCTTCTCTCTAGATTTTATATGTAATCCCGTTTCCAACGAAATCCTCAAAGCTATCCAAATATCCACTTTCAGATTCCACAAAAAGAGTGTTTCAAAACTGCTCTGTAAAAAGAAAGGTTCATCTCTGTTAGTTGAATACACACATCACAAACAAGTTTCTGAGAATGCTTCTGTCTAGTTTTTATGGGAAGATATTTCCTTTTTCAACATTGGCCTCAAAGCGCTCCAAACGTCCACTTCCGGGTAGTGCAGAAAGAGTGTCTCAAACCTGGTATATAACAGGGAACATTCAACTCTGTGACTTGAATGAAAACATCACAAAGCAGTTTCTGAGAATGCTTCTGTCTTGATTTTATATGAAGATATTCCCGTTTCCAACGAAACCTTCAAAGCTATCCGAATATCCACCTGCAGATTCTACAAAAAGAGTGTTTCCAAAATGCCATATCAAAACAAAGGTTCAACTCTGTTAGTTGAGAACACACATCTCAAATAAGTTTCTGAGAATGCTTCTGTCTAGTTTTTACTTGAAGATATTTCCTTTCTCACCATAGGCCTGAAAGCGCTTGAAACGTCAGCTTGCAGATACTACAGAAAGAGTGTTTCAAACCTGCTCTATGAAAGGGAATGTTCAGTCCTGTGACTTGAAGGCAAACATCACAAAGAAGTTCCTGAGAATGCTTCTGTCTAGATTTTATATGAAGATATCCCGTGTCCAACGAAATCCTCAAAGGTATCAAAATATCCACTTGCAGATTCTACAAAAAGAGTGCTTCAAAACTGCTCTGTCAAAAGGAAGGTTCAACTCTGTTACTTGAGTACACACATCACAAGGAAGTTTCTGAGAATGCTTCCTGTCTGGTTTTTAGGAGAAGATATTTCCTTTTTCAACATAGGCCTCAAAGCGCTGCAAATGTCCACTTCCAAATATTAGAAAAAGAGTGTTTCAAACCTGCTGTATGAAGGGAAGTGTTCAACTCTATGAGTTGAATGCAAACATCACAGAGAAGTTTCTGAGAATGCTTCTGTCTTGATTTTATATGAAGATATTCCCGTTTCCAACGAAACCTTCAAAGCTATCCAAATATCCACTTGCAGATCCTACAAAAAGAGTGTTTCCAAAACGTTGTATCCAAACAAAGGTTCAACTCTTTTAGTTGAGAACACACATCGCAAATAAGTTTCTGAGAATGCTTCGGTCTAGTTTTTATTTGAAGATATTTCCTTTTTCACCACAGGCCTGAAAGCGCTTGAAACGTCCGCTTGCAGATACTACGGAAAGAGTGTTTCAAACCTGCTCTATGAAAGGGAATGTTCAGTTCTGTGACTTGAATGCAAACATCACAAAGAAGTTCCTGAGAATGCTTCTCTCTAGGTTTTATATGTAATCCCGTTTCCAACGAAATCCGCAAAGCTATCCAAATATCCACTTTCAGATTCCACAAAAAGAGTGTTTCAAAACTGCTCTGTAAAAAGAAAGGTTCATCTCTGTTAGTTGAATACACACATCACAAACAAGTTTCTGAGAATGCTTCTGTCTAGTTTTTATGGGAAGATATTACCTTTTTCATCATAGGCCTCAAAGCGCTGCAAATGTCCACTTCCAAATATTACAAAAAGAGTGTTTCAAACCTGCTGTATGAAGGGAAGTGTTCAACTCTATGAGTTGAATGCAAACATCACAGAGAAGTTTCTGAGAATGCTTCTGTCTTGATTTTATATGAAGATATTCCCGTTTCCAACGAAACCTTCAAAGCTATTCAAATATCCACTTGCAGATTCTACAAAAAGAGTGGTTCCAAAATGTTGTATCAAAAGAAAGGTTCAACTCTGATAGTTGAGGACACACATCGCAAATAAGTTTCTGAGAATGCTTCTGTCTAGTTTTTATTTGAAGATATTTCCTTTCTCACCATAGGCCTGAAAGCGTTTGAAATGTCCATTTGCAGATACTACAGAAAGAGTGTTTCAAACATGCTCTATGAAAGGGAATGTTCAGTTCTGTGACGTGAATGCAAACATCACAAAGAAGTTCCTGAGAATGCTTCTCTCTAGATTTTATATGTAATCCCGTTTCCAACGAAATCCTCAAAGCTATCCAAATATCCACTTTCAGATTCCACAAAAAGAGTGTTTCAAAACTGCTCTGTAAAAAGAAAGGTTCATCTCTGTTAGTTGAATACACACATCACAAACAAGTTTCTGAGAATGCTTCTGTCTAGTTTTTATGGGAAGATATTTCCTTTTTCAACATAGGCCTCAAAGCGCTCCAAACGTCCACTTCCGGGTAGTGCAGAAAGAGTGTCTCAAACCTGGTATATAACAGGGAACATTCTACTCTGTGACTTGAATGAAAACATCACAAAGCAGTTTCTGAGAATGCTTCCTTCTAGATTTTATATGAAGATATTCCCGTTTCCAAGGAAATCTTCCTAGCTATCTAAATATCAACTTGCAGATTCTACTAAAGGAATGTTTCCAAAATGCTGTATCCACACAAAGGTTCAACTCTGTTAATTGAGGACATACAGCACAAAGAAGTTTCTGAGAATGCTTCTGTCTAGATTTTATATGAAGATATCCCGTTTCCAAAGAAATCCTCAAAGGTATCCAAATATCTACTTCCAGATTCTACAAAAAGACTGTTTCAAAACGGCTCTGTCAAAAGTAAGGTTCAACTGTGTTACTTGAGTACACACATCACAAGGAAGTTTCTGAGAATGCTTCTGTCTGGTTTTTAGGAGAAGATATTTCCTTTTTCAACATAGGCCTCAAAGCGCTGCAAATGTCCACTTCCAAATATTACAAAAAGAGTGTTTCAAACCTGCTCTATGAAGGGAAGTGTTCAACTCTATGAGTTGAATGCAAACATCACAGAGAAGTTTCTGAGAATGCTTCTGTCTTGATTTTATATGAAGATATTCCCGTTTCCAACGAAACCTTCAAAGCTATCCAAATATCCACTTGCAGATTCTACAAAAAGAGTGTTTCCAAAATGTTGTATCAAAAGAAAGGTTCAACTCTGTTAGTTGAGGACACACATCGCAAATAAGTTTCTGAGAATGCTTCTGTCTAGTTTTTATTTGAAGATATTTCCTTTCTCACCATAGGCCTGAAAGCGTTTGAAATGTCCGTTTGCAGATACTACAGAAAGAGTGTTTCAAACATGCTCTATGAAAGGGAATGTTCAGTTCTGTGACGTGAATGCAAACATCACAAAGAAGTTCCTGAGAATGCTTCTCTCTAGATTTTATATGTAATCCCGTTTCCAACGAAATCCTCAAAGCTATCCAAATATCCACTTTCAGATTCCACAAAAAGAGTGTTTCAAAACTGCTCTGTAAAAAGAAAGGTTCATCTCTGTTAGTTGAATACACACATCACAAACAAGTGTCTGAGAATGCTTCTGTCTAGTTTTTATGGGAAGATATTTCCTTTTTCATCATAGGCCTCAAAGCGCTGCAAATGTCCACTTCCAGGTAGTGCAGAAAGAGTGTCTCAAACCTGGTATATAACAGGGAACATTCTACTCTGTGACTTGAATGAAAACATCACAAAGCAGTTTCTGAGAATGCTTCCGTCTAGATTTTATATGAAGATATTCCCGTTTCCAACGAAACCTTCAAAGCTATCCGAATATCCACCTGCAGATTCTACAAAAAGAGTGTTTCCAAAATGCCGTATCAAAACAAAGGTTCAACTCTGTTAGTTGAGAACACACATGGCAAATAAGTTTCTGAGAATGCTTCTGTCTAGTTTTTACTTGAAGATATTTCCTTTCTCACCATAGGCCTGAAAGCGCTTGAAACGTCAGCTTGCAGATACTACAGAAAGAGTGTTTCAAACCTGCTCTATGAAAGGGAATGTTCAGTTCTGTGACTTGAATGCAAACATCACAAAGAAGTTCCTGAGAATGCTTCTCCCTAGATTTTATATGTAATCCCGTTTCCAACGAAATCCGCAAAGCTATCCAAATATCCACTTTCAGATTCCACAAAAAGAGTGTTTCAAAACTGCTCTGTAAAAAGAAGGGTTCATCTCTGTTAGTTGAATACACACATCACAAACAAGTTTCTGAGAATGCTTCTGTCTAGTTTTTATGGGAAGATATTTCCTTTTTCATCATAGGCCTCAAAGCGCTGCAAATGTCCACTTCCAAATATTACAAAAAGAGTGTTTCAAACCTGCTGTATGAAGGGAAGTGTTCAACTCTATGAGTTGAATGCAAACATCACAGAGAAGTTTCTGAGAATGCTTCTGTCTTGATTTTATATGAAGATATTCCCGTTTCCAACGAAACCTTCAAAGCTATCCAAATATCCACTTGCAGATTCTACAAAAAGAGTGTTTCCAAAATGTTGTATCAAAACAAAGGTTCAACTCTGTTAGTTGAGGACACACATCGCAAATAAGTTTCTGAGAATGCTTCTGTCTAGTTTTTATTTGAAGATATTTCCTTTCTCACCACAGGCCTGAAAGCGCTTAAAACGTCCGCTTGCAGATACTACAGAAAGAGTGTTTCAAACATGCTCTATGAAAGGGAATGTTCAGTTCTGTGACTTGAATGCAAACATCACAAAGAAGTTCCTGAGAATGCTTCTCCCTAGATTTTATATGTAATCCCGTTTCCAACGAAATCCGCAAAGCTATCCAAATATCCACTTTCAGATTCCACAAAAAGAGTGTTTCCAAACTGCTCTGTAATAAGAAAAGTTCATCCCTGTTAGTTGAATACACACATCACAAACAAGTTTCTGAGAATGCTTCTGTCTAGTTTTTATGGGAAGATATTTCCTTTTTCAACATAGGCCTCAAAGCGCTCCAAACGTCCACTTCCAGGTAGTGCAGAAAGAGTGTCTCAAACCTGGTATATAACAGGGAACATTCTACTCTGTGACTTGAATGAAAACATCACAAAGCAGTTTCTGAGAATGCTTCCGTCTAGATTTTATATGAAGATATTCCCGTTTCCAACGAAACCTTCAAAGCTATCCGAATATCCACCTGCAGATTCTACAAAAAGAGTGTTTCCAAAATGCCGTATCAAAACAAAGGTTCAACTCTGTTAGTTGAGAACACACATGGCAAATAAGTTTCTGAGAATGCTTCTGTCTAGTTTTTACTTGAAGATATTTCCTTTCTCACCATAGGCCTGAAAGCGCTTGAAACGTCAGCTTGCAGATACTACAGAAAGAGTGTTTCAAACCTGCTCTATGAAAGGGAATGTTCAGTTCTGTGACTTGAATGCAAACATCACAAAGAAGTTCCTGAGAATTCTTCTCTCTAGGTTTTATATGTAATCCCGTTTCCAACGAAATCCTCAAAGCTATCCAAATATCCACTTTCAGATTCCACAAAAAGAGTGTTTCAAAACTGCTCTGTAAAAAGAAAGGTTCATCTCTGTTAGTTGAATACACACATCACAAACAAGTTTCTGAGAATGCTTCTGTCTAGTTTTTATGGGAAGATATTTCCTTTTTCAACATAGGCCTCAAAGCGCTCCAAATGTCCACTTCCAGGTAGTGCAGAAAGAGTGTTTCAAACCTGCTCTATAAAAGGGAATATTCAACTCTGTGACTTGAATGCAAACATCACAAAGCACTTTCTGAGAATGCTTCCGTCTAGATTTTATATGAAGATATTCCCGTTTCCAAGGAAATCTTCCTAGCTATCTAAATATCAACTTGCAGATTCTACTAAAGGAATGTTTCCAAAATGCTGTATCCACACAAAGGTTCAACTCTGTTAATTGAGGACATACAGCACAAAGAAGTTTCTGAGAATGCTTCTGTCTAGATTTTATATGAAGATATCCCGTGTCTAACGAAATCCTCAAAGGTATCAAAATATCCACTTGCAGATTCTACAAAAAGAGTGCTTCAAAACTGCTCTGTCAAAAGGAAGGTTCAACTCTGTTACTTGAGTACACACATCACAAGGAAGTTTCTGAGAATGCTTCTGTCTGGTTTTTAGGAGAAGATATTTCCTTTTTCAACATAGGCCTCAAAGCGCTGCAAATGTCCACTTCCAAATATTAGAAAAAGAGTGTTTCAAACCTGCTGTATGAAGGGAAGTGTTCAACTCTATGAGTTGAATGCAAACATCACAGAGAAGTTTCTGAGAATGCTTCTGTCTTGATTTCATATGAAGATATTCCCGTTTCCAACGAAACCTTCAAAGCTATCCAAATATCCACTTGCAGATTCTACAAAAAGAGTGTTTCCAAAATGTTGTATCAAAAGAAAGGTTCAACTCTGTTAGTTGAGGACACACATCGCAAATAAGTCTCTGAGAATGCTTCTGTCTAGTTTTTATTTGAAGATATTTCCTTTCTCACCACAGGCCTGAAAGCGCTTAAAACGTCCGCTTGCAGATACTACAGAAAGAGTGTTTCAAACCTGCTCTATGAAAGGGAATGTTCAGTTCTGTGACTTGAATGCAAACATCACAAAGAAGTTCCTGAGAATGCTTCTCCCTAGATTTTATATGTAATCCCGTTTCCAACGAAATCCGCAAAGCTATCCAAATATCCACTTTCAGATTCCACAAAAAGAGTGTTTCAAAACTGCTCTGTAAAAAGAAAGGTTCATCTCTGTTAGTTGAATACACACATCACAAACAAGTTTCTGAGAATGCTTCTGTCTAGTTTTTATGGGAAGATATTACCTTTTTCATCATAGGCCTCAAAGCGCTGCAAATGTCCACTTCCAAATATTACAAAAAGAGTGTTTCAAACCTGCTGTATGAAGGGAAGTGTTCAACTCTATGAGTTGAATGCAAACATCACAGAGAAGTTTCTGAGAATGCTTCTGTCTTGATTTTATATGAAGATATTCCCGTTTCCAACGAAACCTTCAAAGCTATTCAAATATCCACTTGCAGATTCTACAAAAAGAGTGTTTCCAAAATGTTGTATCAAAAGAAAGGTTCAACTCTGTTAGTTGAGGACACACATCGCAAATAAGTTTCTGAGAATGCTTCTGTCTAGTTTTTACTTGAAGATATTTCCTTTCTCACCATAGGCCTGAAAGCGTTTGAAATGTCCGTTTGCAGATACTACAGAAAGAGTGTTTCAAACATGCTCTATGAAAGGGAATGTTCAGTTCTGTGACGTGATTGCAAACATCACAAAGAAGTTCCTGAGAATGCTTCTCTCTAGATTTTATATGTAATCCCGTTTCCAACGAAATCCTCAAAGCTATCCAAATATCCACTTTCAGATTCCACAAAAAGAGTGTTTCAAAACTGCTCTGTAAAAAGAAAGGTTCATCTCTGTTAGTTGAATACACACATCACAAACAAGTTTCTGAGAATGCTTCTGTCTAGTTTTTATGGGAAGATATTTCGTTTTTCAACATAGGCCTCAAAGCGCTCCAAACGTCCACTTCCGGGTAGTGCAGAAAGAGTGTCTCAAACCTGGTATATAACAGGGAACATTCTACTCTGTGACTTGAATGAAAACATCACAAAGCAGTTTCTGAGAATGCTTCCGTCTAGATTTTATATGAAGATATTCCCGTTTCCAACGAAACCTTCAAAGCTATCCGAATATCCACCTGCAGATTCTACAAAAAGAGTGTTTCCAAAATGCCGTATCAAAACAAAGGTTCAACTCTGTTAGTTGAGAACACACATGGCAAATAAGTTTCTGAGAATGCTTCTGTCTAGTTTTTACTTGAAGATATTTTCTTTCTCACCATAGGCCTGAAAGCGCTTGAAACGTCAGCTTGCAGATACTACAGAAAGAGTGTTTCAAACCTGCTCTATGAAAGGGAATGTTCAGTCCTGTGACTTGAAGGCAAACATCACAAAGAAGTTCCTGAGAGTGCTTCTGTCTAGATTTTGTATGAAGATATCCCGTTTCCAAAGAAATCCTCAAAGGTATCCAAATATCTACTTCCAGATTCTACAAAAAGACTGTTTCAAAACGGCTCTATCAAAAGTAAGGTTCAACTCTGTTACTTGAGTACACACATCACAAGGAAGTTTCTGAGAATGCTTCTGTCTGGTTTTTAGGAGAAGATATTTCCTTTTTCAACATAGGCCTCAAAGCGCTGCAAATGTCCACTTCCAAATATTACAAAAAGAGTGTTTCAAACCTGCTCTATGAAAGGAAGTGTTCAACTCTATGAGTTGAATGCAAACATCACAGAGAAGTTTCTGAGAATGCTTCTGTCTTGATTTTATATGAAGATATTCCCGTTTCCAACGAAACCTTCAAAGCTATCCAAATATCCACCTGCAGATCCTACAAAAAGAGTGTTTCCAAAATGCTGTATCAAAACAAAGGTTCAACTCTGTTAGTTGAGAACACACATCGCAAATAAGTTTCTGAGAATGCTTCTGTCTAGTTTTTATTTGAAGATATTTCCTTTTTCACCACAGGCCTGAAAGCGCTTGAAACGTCCACTTGCAGATACTACAGAAAGAGTGTTTCAAACCTGCTCTATGAAAGGGAATGTTCAGTTCTGTGACTTGAATGCAAACATCACAAAGAAGTTCCTGAGAATGCTTCTCTCTAGATTTTATATGTAATCCCGTTTCCAACGAAATCCTCAAAGCTATCCAAATATCCACTTTCAGATTCCACAAAAAGAGTGTTTCAAAACTGCTCTGTAAAAAGAAAGGTTCATCTCTGTTAGTTGAATACACACATCACAAACAAGTTTCTGAGAATGCTTCTGTCTAGTTTTTATGGGAAGATATTTCCTTTTTCATCATAGGCCTCAAAGCGCTCCAAATGTCCACTTCCAGATAGTGCAGAAAGAGTGTCTCAAACCTGGTATATAAAAGGGAACATTCTACTCTGTGACTTGAATGAAAACATCACAAAGCAGTTTCTGAGAATGCTTCCGTCTAGATTTTATATGAAGATATTCCCGTTTCCAACGAAACCTTCAAAGCTATCCGAATATCCACCTGCAGATTCTACAAAAAGAGTGTTTCCAAAATGCCGTATCAAAACAAAGGTTCAACTCTGTTAGTTGAGAACACACATGGCAAATAAGTTTCTGAGAATGCTTCTGTCTAGTTTTTACTTGAAGATATTTCCTTTCTCACCATAGGCCTGAAAGCGCTTGAAACGTCAGCTTGCAGATACTACAGAAAGAGTGTTTCAAACCTGCTCTATGAAAGGGAATGTTCAGTTCTGTGACTTGAATGCAAACATCACAAAGTAGTTCCTGAGAATGCTTCTCTCTAGGTTTTATATGTAATCCCGTTTCCAACGAAATCCTCAAAGCTATCCAAATATCCACTTTCAGATTCCACAAAAAGAGTGTTTCAAAACTGCTCTGTAAAAAGAAAGGTTCATCTCTGTTAGTTGAATACACACATCACAAACAAGTTTCTGAGAATGCTTCTGTCTAGTTTTTATGGGAAGATATTACCTTTTTCATCATAGGCCTCAAAGCGCTGCAAATGTCCACTTCCAAATATTACAAAAAGAGTGTTTCAAACCTGCTGTATGAAGGGAAGCGTTCAACTCTATGAGTTGAATGCAAACATCACAGAGAAGTTTCTGAGAATGCTTCTGTCTTGATTTTATATGAAGATATTCCCGTTTCCAACGAAACCTTCAAAGCTATTCAAATATCCACTTGCAGATTCTACAAAAAGAGTGTTTCCAAAATGTTGTATCAAAAGAATGGTTCAACTCTGTTAGTTGAGGACACACATCGCAAATAAGTTTCTGAGAATGCTTCTGTCTAGTTTTTATTTGAAGATATTTCCTTTCTCACCATAGGCCTGAAAGCGTTTGAAATGTCCGTTTGCAGATACTACAGAAAGAGTGTTTCAAACATGCTCTATGAAAGGGAATGTTCAGTTCTGTGACGTGAATGCAAACATCACAAAGAAGTTCCTGAGAATGCTTCTGTCTAGATTTTATATGAAGATATCCCGTGTCCAACGAAATCCTCAAAGGTATCAAAATATCCACTTGCAGATTCTACAAAAAGAGTGCTTCAAAACTGCTCCGTCAAAAGGAAGGTTCAACTCTGTTACTTGAGTACACACATCACCAGGAAGTTTCTGAGAATGCTTCTGTCTGGTTTTTAGGAGAAGATATTTCCTTTTTCAACATAGGCCTCAAAGCGCTGCAAATGTCCACTTCCAAATATTAGAAAAAGAGTGTTTCAAACCTGCTGTATGAAGGGAAGTGTTCAACTCTATGAGTTGAATGCAAACATCACAGAGAAGTTTCTGAGAATGCTTCTGTCTTGATTTCATATGAAGATATTCCCGTTTCCAACGAAACCTTCAAAGCTATCCAAATATCCACTTGCAGATTCTACAAAAAGAGTGTTTCCAAAATGTTGTATCAAAAGAAAGGTTCAACTCTGTTAGTTGAGGACACACATCGCAAATAAGTTTCTGAGAATGCTTCTGTCTAGTTTTTATTTGAAGATATTTCCTTTCTCACCACAGGCCTGAAAGCGCTTAAAACGTCCGCTTGCAGATACTACAGAAAGAGTGTTTCAAACCTGCTCTATGAAAGGGAATGTTCAGTTCTGTGACTTGAATGCAAACATCACAAAGAAGTTCCTGAGAGTGCTTCTCCCTAGATTTTATATGTAATCCCGTTTCCAACGAAATCCGCAAAGCTATCCAAATATCCACTTTCAGATTCCACAAAAAGAGTGTTTCAAAACTGCTCTGTAAAAAGAAAGGTTCATCTCTGTTAGTTGAATACACACATCACAAACAAGTTTCTGAGAATGCTTCTGTCTAGTTTTTATGGGAAGATATTTCCTTTTTCATCATAGGCCTCAAAGCGCTGCAAATGTCCACTTCCAAATATTACAAAAAGAGTGTTTCAAACCTGCTGTATGAAGGGAAGTGTTCAACTCTATGAGTTGAATGCAAACATCACAGAGAAGTTTCTGAGAATGCTTCTGTCTTGATTTTATATGAAGATATTCCCGTTTCCAACGAAACCTTCAAAGCTATTCAAATATCCACTTGCAGATTCTACAAAAAGAGTGGTTCCAAAATGTTGTATCAAAAGAAAGGTTCAACTCTGATAGTTGAGGACACACATCGCAAATAAGTTTCTGAGAATGCTTTCTGTCTAGTTTTTACTTGAAGATATTTCCTTTCTCACCATAGGCCTGAAAGCGCTTGAAACGTCAGCTTGCAGATACTACAGAAAGAGTGTTTCAAACCTGCTCTATGAAAGGGAATGTTCAGTTCTGTGACTTGAATGCAAACATCACAAAGAAGTTCCTGAGAATGCTTCTCTCTAGGTTTTATATGCAATCCCGTTTCCAACGAAATCCTCAAAGCTATCCAAATATCCACTTTCAGATTCCAGAAAAAGAGTGTTTCAAAACTGCTCTGTAAAAAGAAAGGTTCATCTCTGTTAGTTGAATACACACATCACAAACAAGTTTCTGAGAATGCTTCTGTCTAATTTTTATGGGAAGATATTTCCTTTTTCAACATACGCCTCAAAGCGCTCCAAACGTCCACTTCCAGGTAGTGCAGAAAGAGTGTCTCAAACCTGGTATATAACAGGGAACATTCTACTCTGTGACTTGAATGAAAACATCACAAAGCAGTTTCTGAGAATGCTTCCGTCTAGATTTTATATGAAGATATTCCCGTTTCCAACGAAACCTTCAAAGCTATCCGAATATCCACCTGCAGATTCTACAAAAAGAGTGTTTCCAAAATGCCGTATCAAAACAAAGGTTCAACTCTGTTAGTTGAGAACACACATGGCAAATAAGTTTCTGAGAATGCTTCTGTCTAGTTTTTACTTGAAGATATTTCCTTTCTCACCATAGGCCTGAAAGCGCTTGAAACGTCAGCTTGCAGATACTACAGAAAGAGTGTTTCAAACCTGCTCTATGAAAGGGAATGTTCAGTTCTGTGACTTGAATGCAAACATCACAAAGAAGTTCCTGAGAATGCTTCTCCCTAGATTTTATATGTAATCCCGTTTCCAACGAAATCCGCAAAGCTATCCAAACATCCACTTTCAGATTCCACAAAAAGAGTGTTTCAAAACTGCTCTGTAAAAAGAAAGGTTCATCTCTGTTAGTTGAATACACACATCACAAACAAGTTTCTGAGAATGCTTCTGTCTAGTTTTTATGGGAAGATATTACCTTTTTCATCATAGGCCTCAAAGCGCTGCAAATGTCCACTTCCAAATATTACAAAAAGAGTGTTTCAAACCTGCTGTATGAAGGGAAGTGTTCAACTCTATGAGTTGAATGCAAACATCACAGAGAAGTTTCTGAGAATGCTTCTGTCTTGATTTTATATGAAGATATTCCCGTTTCCAAAGAAACCTTCAAAGCTATCCAAATATCCACTTGCAGATTCTACAAAAAGAGTGTTTCCAAAATGTTGTATCAAAAGAAAGGTTCAACTCTGTTAGTTGAGGAAACACATCGCAAACAAGTTTCTGAGAATGCTTCTGTCTAGTTTTTATTTGAAGATATTTCCTTTCTCACCATAGGCCTGAAAGCGTTTGAAATGTCCGTTTGCAGATACTACAGAAAGAGTGTTTCAAACATGCTCTATGAAAGGGAATGTTCAGTTCTGTGACTTGAATGCAAACATCACAAAGAAGTTCCTGAGAATGCTTCTGTCTAGATTTTATATGAAGATATCCCGTTTCCAAAGAAATCCTCAAAGGTATCCAAATATCTACTTCCAGATTCTACAAAAAGACTGTTTCAAAACGGCTCTGTCAAAAGTAAGGTTCAACTCTGTTACCTGAGTACACACATCACAAGGAAGTTTCTGAGAATGCTTCTGTCTGGTTTTTAGGAGAAGATATTTCCTTTTTCAACATAGGCCTCAAAGCGCTGCAAATGTCCACTTCCAAATATTACAAAAAGAGTGTTTCAAACCTGCTGTATGAAGGGAAGTGTTCAACTCTATGAGTTGAATGCAAACATCACAGAGAAGTTTCTGAGAATGCTTCTGTCTTGATTTCATATGAAGATATTCCCGTTTCCAACGAAACCTTCAAAGCTATCCAAATATCCACTTGCAGATTCTACAAAAAGAGTGTTTCCAAAATGTTGTATCAAAAGAAAGGTTCAACTCTGTTAGTTGAGGACACACATCGCAAATAAGTTTCTGAGAATGCTTCTGTCTAGTTTTTATTTGAAGATATTTCCTTTCTCACCACAGGCCTGAAAGCGCTTAAAACGTCCGCTTGCAGATACTACAGAAAGAGTGTTTCAAACATGCTCTATGAAAGGGAATGTTCAGTTCTGTGACTTGAATGCAAACATCACAAAGAAGTTCCTGAGAATGCTTCTCTCTAGATTTTATATGTAATCCCGTTTCCAACGAAATCCTCAAAGCTATCCAAATATCCACTTTCAGATTCCACAAAAAGAGTGTTTCAAAACTGCTCTGTAAAAAGAAAGGTTCATCTCTGTTAGTTGAATACACACATCACAAACAAGTTTCTGAGAATGCTTCTGTCTAGTTTTTATGGGAAGATATTTCCTTTTTCAACATAGGCCTCAAAGCGCTCCAAACGTCCACTTCCGGGTAGTGCAGAAAGAGTGTCTCAAACCTGGTATATAACAGGGAACATTCTACTCTGTGACTTGAATGAAAACATCACAAAGCAGTTTCTGAGAATGCTTCCGTCTAGATTTTATATGAAGATATTCCCGTTTCCAACGAAACCTTCAAAGCTATCCGAATATCCACCTGCAGATTCTACAAAAAGAGTGTTTCCAAAATGCCATATCAAAACAAAGGTTCAACTCTGTTAGTTGAGAACACACATGGCAAATAAGTTTCTGAGAATGCTTCTCTGTCTAGTTTTTACTTGAAGCATATTTCCTTTCTCACCATAGGCCTGAAAGCGCTTGAAACGTCAGCTTGCAGATACTACAGAAAGAGTGTTTCAAACCTGCTCTATGAAAGGGAATGTTCAGTCCTGTGACTTGAAGGCAAACATCACAAAGAAGTTCCTGAGAATGCTTCTCTCTAGGTTTTATATGTAATCCCGTTTCCAACGAAATCCGCAAAGCTATCCAAATATCCACTTTCAGATTCCACAAAAAGAGTGTTTCAAAACTGCTCTGTAAAAAGAAAGGTTCATCTCTGTTAGTTGAATACACACATCACAAACAAGTTTCTGAGAATGCTTCTGTCTAGTTTTTATGGGAAGATATTACCTTTTTCATCATAGGCCTCAAAGCGCTGCAAATGTCCACTTCCAAATATTACAAAAAGAGTGTTTCAAACCTGCTGTATGAAGGGAAGTGTTCAACTCTATGAGTTGAATGCAAACATCACAGAGAAGTTTCTGAGAATGCTTCTGTCTTGATTTTATATGAAGATATTCCCGTTTCCAACGAAACCTTCAAAGCTATTCAAATATCCACTTGCAGATTCTACAAAAAGAGTGTTTCCAAAATGTTGTATCAAAAGAAAGGTTCAACTCTGTTAGTTGAGGACACACATCGCAAATAAGTTTCTGAGAATGCTTCTGTCTAGTTTTTATTTGAAGATATTTCCTTTCTCACCATAGGCCTGAAAGCGTTTGAAATGTCCGTTTGCAGATACTACAGAAAGAGTGTTTCAAACATGCTCTATGAAAGGGAATGTTCAGTTCTGTGACGTGAATGCAAACATCACAAAGAAGTTCCTGAGAATGCTTCTGTCTAGATTTTATATGAAGATATCCCGTGTCCAACGAAATCCTCAAAGGTATCAAAATATCCACTTGCAGATTCTACAAAAAGAGTGCTTCAAAACTGCTCTGTCAAAAGGAAGGTTCAACTCTGTTACTTGAGTACACACATCACAAGGAAGTTTCTGAGAATGCTTCTGTCTGGTTTTTAGGAGAAGATATTTCCTTTTTCAACATAGGCCTCAAAGCGCTGCAAATGTCCACTTCCAAATATTACAAAAAGAGTGTTTCAAACCTGCTGTATGAAGGGAAGTGTTCAACTCTATGAGTTGAATGCAAACATCACAGAGAAGTTTCTGAGAATGCTTCTGTCTTGATTTTATATGAAGATATTCCCGTTTCCAACGAAACCTTCAAAGCTATGCAAATATCCACTTGCAGATTCTACAAAAAGAGTGTTTCCAAAATGTTGTATCAAAAGAAAGGTTCAACTCTGTTAGTTGAGGACACACATCGCAAATAAGTTTCTGAGAATGCTTCTGTCTAGTTTTTATTTGAAGATATTTCCTTTCTCACCATAGGCCTGAAAGCGTTTGAAATGTCCGTTTGTAGATACTACAGAAAGAGTGTTTCAAACATGCTCTATGAAAGGGAATGTTCAGTTCTGTGACGTGAATGCAAACATCACAAAGAAGTTCCTGAGAATGCTTCTGTCTAGATTTTATATGAAGATATCCCGTGTCCAACGAAATCCTCAAAGGTATCAAAATATCCACTTGCAGATTCTACAAAAAGAGTGCTTCAAAACTGCTCTGTCAAAAGGAAGGTTCAACTCTGTTACTTGAGTACACACATCACAAGGAAGTTTCTGAGAATGCTTCTGTCTGGTTTTTAGGAGAAGATATTTCCTTTTTCAACATAGGCCTCAAAGCGCTGCAAATGTCCACTTCCAAATATTAGAAAAAGAGTGTTTCAAACCTGCTGTATGAAGGGAAGTGTTCAACTCTATGAGTTGAATGCACACATCACAGAGAAGTTTCTGAGAATGCTTCTGTCTTGATTTCATATGAAGATATTCCCGTTTCCAACGAAACCTTCAAAGCAATCCAAATATCCACTTGCAGATTCTACAAAAAGAGTGTTTCCAAAATGTTGTATCAAAAGAAAGGTTCAACTCTGTTAGTTGAGGACACACATCGCAAATAAGTTTCTGAGAATGCTTCTGTCTAGTTTTTATTTGAAGATATTTCCTTTCTCACCACAGGCCTGAAAGCGCTTAAAACGTCCGCTTGCAGATACTACAGAAAGAGTGTTTCAAACATGCTCTATGAAAGGGAATGTTCAGTTCTGTGACGTGAATGCAAACATCACAAAGAAGTTCCTGAGAATGCTTCTGTCTAGATTTTATATGAAGATATCCCGTGTCCAACGAAATCCTCAAAGGTATCAAAATATCCACTTGCAGATTCTACAAAAAGAGTGCTTCAAAACTGCTCTGTCAAAAGGAAGGTTCAACTCTGTTACTTGAGTACACACATCACAAGGAAGTTTCTGAGAATGCTTCTGTCTGGTTTTTAGGAGAAGATATTTCCTTTTTCAACATAGGCCTCAAAGCGCTGCAAATGTCCACTTCCAAATATTACAAAAAGAGTGTTTCAAACCTGCTGTATGAAGGGAAGTGTTCAACTCTATGAGTTGAATGCAAACATCACAGAGAAGTTTCTGAGAATGCTTCTGTCTTGATTTTATATGAAGATATTCCCGTTTCCAACGAAACCTTCAAAGTTATCCAAATATCCACTTGCAGATTCTACAAAAAGAGTGTTTCCAAAATGTTGTATCAAAACAAAGGTTCAACTCTGTTAGTTGAGGACACACATCGACAAAATAAGTTTCGTGAGAATGCTTCTGTCTAGTTTTGATTTGAAGATATTTCCTTTCTTACCATAGGCCTGAAAGCGCTTGAAATGTCCGTTTGCAGATACTACAGAAAGAGTGTTTCAAACATGCTCTATGAAAGGGAATGTTCAGTTCTGTGACGTGAATGCAAACATCACAAAGAAGTTCCTGAGAATGCTTCTCTCTAGATTTTATATGTAATCCCGTTTCCAACGAAATCCTCAAAGCTATCCAAATATCCACTTTCAGATTCCACAAAAAGAGTGTTTCAAAACTGCTCTGTAAAAAGAAAGGTTCATCTCTGTTAGTTGAATACACACATCACAAACAAGTTTCTGAGAATGCTTCTGTCTAGTTTTTATGGGAAGATATTTCCTTTTTCAACATAGGCCTCAAAGCGCTCCAAATGTCCACTTCCAGGTAGTGCAGAAAGAGTGTTTCAAACCTGCTCTATAAAAGGGAATATTCAACTCTGTGACTTGAATGCAAACATCACAAAGCACTTTCTGAGAATGCTTCCGTCTAGATTTTATATGAAGATATTCCCGTTTCCAAGGAAATCTTCCTAGCTATCTAAATATCAACTTGCAGATTCTACTAAAGGAATGTTTCCAAAATGCTGTATCGAAACAAAGGTTCAACTCTGTTAATTGAGGACATACAGCACAAAGAAGTTTCTGAGAATGCTTCTGTCTAGATTTTATATGAAGATATCCCGTGTCCAACGAAATCCTCAAAGGTATCAAAATATCCACTTGCAGATTCTACAAAAAGAGTGCTTCAAAACTGCTCTGTCAAAAGGAAGGTTCAACTCTGTTACTTGAGTACACACATCACAAGGAAGATTCTGAGAATGCTTCTGTCTGGTTTTTAATAGAAGATATCTCCTTTTTCACCATAGGCCTCAAAGCGCTGCCAATGTCCACTTCCAAATATTACAAAATGAGTATTTCAAACCAGCTCTATGAAAGGAAGTGTTCAACTCTATGAGTTGAATGCAAACATCACAGAGAAGTTTCTGAGAATGCTTCCGTCTTGATTTTATATGAAGATATTCCCGTTTCCAATGAAACCTTCAAAGCTATCCAAATATCCACCTGCAGATCCTACAAAAAGAGTGTTTCCAAAATGCTGTATCAAAACAAAGGTTCAACTCTGTTAGTTGAGAACACACATCGCAAATAAGTTTCTGAGAATGCTTCTGTCTAGTTTTTACTTGAAAGATATTTCCTTTCTCACCACAGGCCTGAAAGCGCTTGAAACGTCCGCTTGCAGATACTACAGAAAGAGTGTTTCAAACCTGCTCTATGAAAGGGAATGTTCAGTTCTGTGACTTGAATGCAAACATCACAAAGAAGTTCCTGAGAATGCTTCTCTCTAGGTTTTATATGTAATCCCGTTTCCAACGAAATCCTCAAAGCTATCCAAATATCCACTTTCAGATTCCACAAAAAGAGTGTTTCAAAACTGCTCTGTAAAAAGAAAGGTTCATCTCTGTTAGTTGAATACACACATCACAAACAAGTTTCTGAGAATGCTTCTGTCTAATTTTTATGGGAAGATATTTCCTTTTTCAACATACGCCTCAAAGCGCTCCAAACGTCCACTTCCAGGTAGTGCAGAAAGAGTGTCTCAAACCTGGTATATAACAGGGAACATTCTACTCTGTGACTTGAATGAAAACATCACAAAGCAGTTTCTGAGAATGCTTCTGTCTTGATTTTATATGAAGATATTCCCGTTTCCAACGAAACCTTCAAAGCTATCCAAATATCCACTTGCAGATTCTACAAAAAGAGTGTTTCCAAAATGCTGTATCCAAACAAAGGTTCAACTCTTTTAGTTGAGAACACACATCGCAAATAAGTTTCTGAGAATGCTTCTATCTAGTTTTTATTTGAAGATATTTCCTTTTTCACCACAGGCCTGAAAGCGCTTCAAACGTCCGCTTGCAGATACTACAGAAAGAGTGTTTCAAACCTGCTCTATGAAAGGGAATGTTCAGTTCTGTGACTTCAATGCAAACATCACAAAGAAGTTGCTGAGACTGCTTCTCCCTAGATTTTATATGTAATCCCGTTTCCAACGAAATCCGCAAAGCTATCCAAATATCCACTTTCAGATTCCACAAAAAGAGTGTTTCAAAACTGCTCTGTAAAAAGAAGGGTTCATCTCTGTTAGTTGAATACACACATCACAAACAAGTTTCTGAGAATGCTTCTGTCTAGTTTTTATGGGAAGATATTTCCTTTTTCATCATAGGCCTCAAAGCGCTGCAAATGTCCACTTCCAAATATTACAAAAAGAGTGTTTCAAACCTGCTGTATGAAGGGAAGTGTTCAACTCTATGAGTTGAATGCAAACATCACAGAGAAGTTTCTGAGAATGCTTCTGTGTTGATTTTATATGAAGATATTCCCGTTTCCAACGAAACCTTCAAAGCTATCCAAATATCCACTTGCAGATTCTACAAAAAGAGTGGTTCCAAAATGTTGTATCAAAAGAAAGGTTCAACTCTGTTAGTTGAGGACACACATCGCAAATAAGTTTCTGAGAATGCTTCTGTCTAGTTTTTATTTGAAGATATTTCCTTTCTCACCATAGGCCTGAAAGCGTTTGAAATGTCCGTTTGCAGATACTACAGAAAGAGTGTTTCAAACATGCTCTATGAAAGGGAATGTTCAGTTCTGTGACGTGAATGCAAACATCACAAAGAAGTTCCTGAGAATGCTTCTCTCTAGATTTTATATGTAATCCCGTTTCCAACGAAATCCTCAAAGCTATCCAAATATCCACTTTCAGATTCCACAAAAAGAGTGTTTCAAAACTGCTCTGTAAAAAGAAAGGTTCATCTCTGTTAGTTGAATACACACATCACAAACAAGTTTCTGAGAATGCTTCTGTCTAGTTTTTATGGGAAGATATTTCCTTTTTCAACATAGGCCTCAAAGCGCTCCAAACGTCCACTTCCAGGTAGTGCAGAAAGAGTGTCTCAAACCTGGTGTATAACAGGGAACATTCTACTCTGTGACTTGAATGAAAACATCACAAAGCAGTTTCTGAGAATGCTTCCGTCTAGTATTTTATATGAAGATATTCCCGTTTCCAACGAAACCTTCAAAGCTATCCGAATATCCACCTGCAGATTCTACAAAAAGAGTGTTTCCAAAATGCCGTATCAAAACAAAGGTTCAACTCTGTTAGTTGAGAACACACATGGCAAAGAAGTTTCTGAGAATGCTTCTGTCTAGTTTTTACTTGAAGATATTTCCTTTCTCACCATAGGCCTGAAAGCGCTTGAAACGTCAGCTTGCAGATACTACAGAAAGAGTGTTTCAAACCTGCTCTATGAAAGGGAATGTTCAGTCCTGTGACTTGAAGGCAAACATCACAAAGAAGTTCCTGAGAATGCTTCTCCCTAGATTTTATATGTAATCCCGTTTCCAACGAAATCCGCAAAGCTATCCAAATATCCACTTTCAGATTCCACAAAAAGAGTGTTTCAAAACTCCTCTGTAAAAAGAAAGGTTCATCTCTGTTAGTTGAATACACACATCACAAACAAGTTTCTGAGAATGCTTCTGTCTGGTTTTTAGGAGAAGATATTTCCTTTTTCAACATAGGCCTCAAAGCGCTGCAAATGTCCACTTCCAAATATTACAAAAAGAGTGTTTCAAACCTGCTGTATGAAGGGAAGTGTTCAACTCTATGAGTTGAATGCAAACATCACAGAGAAGTTTCTGAGAATGCTTCTGTCTTGATTTTATATGAAGATATTCCCGTTTCCAACGAAACCTTCAAAGCTATCCAAATATCCACTTGCAGATTCTACAAAAAGAGTGTTTCCAAAATGTTGTATCAAAAGAAAGGTTCAACTCTGTTAGTTGAGGACACACATCGCAAATAAGTTTCTGAGAATGCTTCTGTCTAGTTTTTATTTGAAGATATTTCCTTTCTCACCACAGGCCTGAAAGCGCTTAAAACGTCCGCTTGCAGATACTACAGAAAGAGTGTTTCAAACCTGCTCTATGAAAGGGAATGTTCAGTTCTGTGACTTGAATGCAAACATCACAAAGAAGTTCCTGAGAATGCTTCTCTCTAGATTTTATATGTAATCCCGTTTCCAACGAAATCCTCAAAGCTATCCAAATATCCACTTTCAGATTCCACAAAAAGAGTGTTTCAAAACTGCTCTGTAAAAAAAAAGGTTCATCTCTGTTAGTTGAATACACACATCACAAACAAGTTTCTGAGAATGCTTCTGTCTAGTTTTTATGGGAAGATATTTCCTTTTTCATCATAGGCCTCAAAGCGCTCCAAATGTCCACTTCCAGATAGTGCAGAAAGAGTGTCTGAAACCTGGTATATAAAAGGGAACATTCTACTCTGTGACTTGAATGAAAACATCACAAAGCAGTTTCTGAGAATGCTTCCGTCTAGATTTTATATGAAGATATTCCCGTTTCCAACGAAACCTTCAAAGCTATCCGAATATCGACCTGCAGATCCTACAAAAAGAGTGTTTCCAAAATGCCGTATCAAAACAAAGGTTCAACTCTGTTAGTTGAGAACACACATGGCAAATAAGTTTCTGAGAATGCTTCTGTCTAGTTTTTACTTGAAGATATTACCTTTCTCACCATAGGCCTGAAAGCGCTTGAAACGTCCGCTTGCAGATACTACAGAAAGAGTGTTTCAAACATGCTCTATGAAAGGGAATGTTCAGTTCTGTGACTTGAATGCAAACATCACAAAGAAGTTCCTGAGAATGCTTCTCTCTAGATTTTATATGTAATCCCGTTTCCAACGAAATCCTCAAAGCTATCCAAATATCCACTTTCAGATTCCACAAAAAGAGTGTTTCAAAACTGCTCTGTAAAAAGAAAGGTTCATCTCTGTTAGTTGAATACACACATCACAAACAAGTTTCTGGGAATGCTTCTGTCTAGTTTTTATGGGAAGATATTACCTTTTTCATCATAGGCCTCAAAGCGCTGCAAATGTCCACTTCCAAATATTACAAAAAGAGTGTTTCAAACCTGCTGTATGAAGGGAAGTGTTCAACTCTATGAGTTGAATGCAAACATCACAGAGAAGTTTCTGAGAATGCTTCTGTCTTGATTTCATATGAAGATATTCCCGTTTCCAACGAAACCTTCAAAGTTATCCAAATATCCACTTGCAGATTCTACAAAAAGAGTGCTTCCAAAATGTTGTATCAAAAGAAAAGTTCAACTCTGTTAGTTGAGGACACACAACGCAAATAAGTTTCTGAGAATGCTTCTGTCTAGTTTTTATTTGAAGATATTTCCTTTCTCACCACAGGCCTGAAAGCGCTTAAAACGTCCGCTTGCAGATACTACAGAAAGAGTGTTTCAAACCTGCTCTATGAAAGGGAATGTTCAGTTCTGTGACTTGAATGCAAACATCACAAAGAAGTTCCTGAGAATGCTTCTCCCTAGATTTTATATGTAATCCCGTTTCCAACGAAATCCGCAAAGCTATCCAAATATCCACTTTCAGATTCCACAAAAAGAGTGTTTCAAAACTGCTCTGTAAAAAGAAAGGTTCATCTCTGTTAGTTGAATACACACATCACAAACAAGTTTCTGAGAATGCTTCTGTCTAGTTTTTATGGGAAGATATTTCCTTTTTCATCATACGCCTCAAAGCGCTGCAAATGTCCACTTCCAAATATTACAAAAAGAGTGTTTCAAACCTGCTGTATGAAGGGAAGTGTTCAACTCTATGAGTTGAATGCAAACATCACAGAGAAGTTTCTGAGAATGCTTCTGTCTTGATTTTATATGAAGATATTCCCGTTTCCAACGAAACCTTCAAAGCTATTCAAATATCCACTTGCAGATTCTACAAAAAGAGTGTTTCCAAAATGTTGTATCAAAAGAAAGGTTCAACTCTGTTAGTTGAGGACACACATCGCAAATAAGTTTCTGAGAATGCTTCTGTCTAGTTTTTACTTGGAGATATTTCCTTTCTCACCATAGGCCTGAAAGCGTTTGAAATGTCCGTTTGCAGATACTACAGAAAGAGTGTTTCAAACATGCTCTATGAAAGGGAATGTTCAGTTCTGTGACGTGAATGCAAACATCACAAAGAAGTTCCTGAGAATGCTTCTCTCTAGATTTTATATGTAATCCCGTTTCCAACGAAATCCTCAAAGCTATCCAAATATCCACTTTCAGATTCCACAAAAAGAGTGTTTCAAAACTGCTCTGTAAAAAGAAAGGTTCATCTCTGTTAGTTGAATACACACATCACAAACAAGTTTCTGAGAATGCTTCTGTCTAGTTTTTATGGGAAGATATTTCCTTTTTCAACATAGGCCTCAAAGCGCTCCAAACGTCCACTTCCGGGTAGTGCAGAAAGAGTGTCTCAAACCTGGTATATAACAGGGAACATTCTACTCTGTGACTTGAATGAAAACATCACAAAGCAGTTTCTGAGAATGCTTCTGTCTTGATTTTATATGAAGATATTCCCGTTTCCAACGAAACCTTAAAAGCTATCCAAATATCCACCTGCAGATCCTACAAAAAGAGTGTTTCCAAAATGCTGTATCAAAACAAAGGTTCAACTCTGTTAGTTGAGGACACACATCGCAAATAAGTTTCTGAGAATGCTTCTGTCTAGTTTTTACTTGAAGATATTTCCTTTCTCACCATAGGCCTGAAAGCGCTTGAAACGTCAGCTTGCAGATACTACAGAAAGAGTGTTTCAAACCTGCTCTATGAAAGGGAATGTTCAGTCCTGTGACTTGAAGGCAAACATCACAAAGAAGTTCCTGAGAATGCTTCTCCCTAGATTTTATATGTAATCCCGTTTCCAACGAAATCCGCAAAGCTATCCAAATATCCACTTTCAGATTCCACAAAAAGAGTGTTTCAAAACTGCTCTGTAAAAAGAAAGGTTCATCTCTGTTAGTTGAATACACACATCACAAACAAGTTTCTGAGAATGCTTCCTGTCTAGTTTTTATGGGAAGATATTTCCTTTTTCATCATAGGCCTCAAAGCGCTGCAAATGTCCACTTCCAAATATTACAAAAAGAGTGTTTCAAACCTGCTGTATGAAGGGAAGTGTTCAACTCTATGAGTTGAATGCAAACATCACAGAGAAGTTTCTGAGAATGCTTCTGTCTTGATTTTATATGAAGATATTCCCGTTTCCAACGAAATCTTCAAAGCTATCCAAATATCCACTTGCAGATTCCACAAAAAGAGTGTTTCCAAAATGTTGTATCAAAAGAAAGGTTCAACTCTGTTAGTTGAGGACACACATCGCAAATAAGTTTCTGAGAATGCTTCTGTCTAGTTTTTACTTGAAGATATTTCCTTTCTCACCATAGGGCTGAAAGCGCTTGAAACGTCAGCTTGCAGATACTACAGAAAGAGTGTTTCAAACCTGCTCTATGAAAGGGAATGTTCAGTTCTGTGACTTGAATGCAAACATCACAAAGAAGTTCCTGAGAATGCTTCTGTCTAGATTTTATATGAAGATATCCCGTGTCCAACGAAATCCTCAAAGGTATCAAAATATCCACTTGCAGATTCTACAAAAAGAGTGCTTCAAAACTGCTCTGTCAAAAGGAAGGTTCAACTCTGTAACTTGAGTACACACATCACAAGGAAGTTTCTGAGAATGCTTCTGTCTGGTTTTTAGGAGAAGATATTTCCTTTTTCAACATAGGCCTCAAAGCGCTGCAAATGTCCACTTCCAAATATTACAAAAAGAGTGTTTCAAACCTGCTGTATGAAGGGAAGGGTTCAACTCTATGATTTGAATGCAAACATCACAGAGAAGTTTCTGAGAATGCTTCTGTCTTGATTTTATATGAAGATATTCCCGTTTCCAACGAAACCTTCAAAGCTATCCAAATATCCACTTGCAGATTCTACAAAAAGAGTGTTTCCAAAATGCTGTATCCAAACAAAGGTTCAACTCTGTCAGTTGAGGACACACATCGCAAATAAGTTTCTGAGAATGCTTCTGTCTAGTTTTTATTTGAAGATATTTCCTTTTTCACCACAGGCCTGAAAGCGCTTGAAACGTCCGCTTGCAGATACTACAGAAAGAGTGTTTCAAACCTACTCTATGAAAGGGAATGTTCAGTTCTGTGACTTGAATGCAAACATCACAAAGAAGTTCCTGAGAATGCTTCTGTCTAGATTTTATATGAAGATATCCCGTGTCCAACGAAATCCTCAAAGGTATCAAAATATCCACTTGCAGATTCTACAAAAAGAGTGCTTCAAAACTGCTCTGTCAAAAGGAAGGTTCAACTCTGTTACTTGAGTACACACATCACAAGGAAGTTTCTGAGAATGCTTCTGTCTGGTTTTTAGGAGAAGATATTTCCTTTTTCAACATAGGCCTCAAAGCGCTGCAAATGTCCACTTCCAAATATTAGAAAAAGAGTGTTTCAAACCTGCTGTATGAAGGGAAGTGTTCAACTCTATGAGTTGAATGCAAACATCACAGAGAAGTTTCTGAGAATGCTTCTGTCTTGATTTCATATGAAGATATTCCCGTTTCCAACGAAACCTTCAAAGCTATCCAAATATCCACTTGCAGATTCTACAAAAAGAGTGTTTCCAAAATGTTGTATCAAAAGAAAGGTTCAACTCTGTTAGTTGAGGACACACATCGCAAATAAGTTTCTGAGAATGCTTCTGTCTAGTTTTTATTTGAAGATATTTCCTTTCTCACCACAGGCCTGAAAGCGCTTAAAACGTCCGCTTGCAGATACTACAGAAAGAGTGTTTCAAACCTGATCTATGAAAGGGAATGTTCAGTTCTGTGACTTGAATGCAAACATCACAAAGAAGTTCCTGAGAATGCTTCTCCCTAGATTTTATATGTAATCCCGTTTCCAACGAAATCCGCAAAGCTATCCAAATATCCACTTTCAGATTCCACAAAAAGAGTGTTTCAAAACTGCTCTGTAAAAAGAAAGGTTCATCTCTGTTAGTTGAATACACACATCTCAAACAAGTTTCTGAGAATGCTTCTGTCTAGTTTTTATGGGAAGATATTACCTTTTTCATCATAGGCCTCAAAGCGCTGCAAATGTCCACTTCCAAATATTACAAAAAGAGTGTTTCAAACCTGCTGTATGAAGGGAAGTGTTCAACTCTATGAGTTGAATGCAAACATCACAGAGAAGTTTCTGAGAATGCTTCTGTCTTGATTTTATATGAAGATATTCCCGTTTCCAACGAAACCTTCAAAGCTATTCAAATATCCACTTGCAGATTCTACAAAAAGAGTGTTTCCAAAATGTTGTATCAAAAGAAAGGTTCAACTCTGTTAGTTGAGGACACACATCGCAAATAAGTTTCTGAGAATGCTTCTGTCTAGTTTTTATTTGAAGATATTTCCTTTCTCACCACAGGCCTGAAAGCGCTTAAAACGTCCGCTTGCAGATACTACAGAAAGAGTGTTTCAAACATGCTCTATGAAAGGGAATGTTCAGTTCTGTGACTTGAATGCAAACATCACAAAGAAGTTCCTGAGAATGCTTCTCTCTAGGTTTTATATGTAATCCCGTTTCCAACGAAATCCTCAAAGCTATCCAAATATCCACTTTCAGATTCCACAAAAAGAGTGTTTCAAAACTGCTCTGTAAAAAGAAAGGTTCATCTCTGTTAGTTGAATACACACATCACAAACAAGTTTCTGAGAATGCTTCTGTCTAGTTTTTATGGGAAGATATTTCCTTTTTCAACATAGGCCTCAAAGCGCTCCAAACGTCCACTTCCAGGTAGTGCAGAAAGAGTGTCTCAAACCTGGTATATAACAGGGAACATTCTACTCTGTGACTTGAATGAAAACATCACAAAGCAGTTTCTGAGAATGCTTCCGTCTAGATTTTATATGAAGATATTCCCGTTTCCAACGAAACCTTCAAAGCTATCCGAATATCCACCTGCAGATTCTACAAAAAGAGTGTTTCCAAAATGCCGTATCAAAACAAAGGTTCAACTCTGTTAGTTGAGAACACACATGGCAAATAAGTTTCTGAGAATGCTTCTGTCTAGTTTTTACTTGAAGATATTTCCTTTCTCACCATAGGCCTGAAAGCGCTTGAAACGTCAGCTTGCAGATACTACAGAAAGAGTGTTTCAAACCTGCTCTATGAAAGGGAATGTTCAGTCCTGTGACTTGAATGCAAACATCACAAAGAAGTTCCTGAGAATGCTTCTCTCTAGGTTTTATATGTAATCCCGTTTCCAACGAAATCCTCAAAGCTATCCAAATATCCACTTTCAGATTCCACAAAAAGAGTGTTTCAAAACTGCTCTGTAAAAAGAAAGGTTCATCTCTGTTAGTTGAATACACATATCACAAACAAGTTTCTGAGAATGCTTCTGTCTAGTTTTTATGGGAAGATATTTCCTTTTTCATCATAGGCCTCAAAGCGCTGCAAATGTCCACTTCCAGGTAGTGCAGAAAGAGTGTCTCAAACCTGGTATATAACAGGGAACATTCTACTCTGTGACTTGAATGAAAACATCACAAAGCAGTTTCTGAGAATGCTTCCGTCTAGATTTTATATGAAGATATTCCCGTTTCCAACGAAACCTTCAAAGCTATCCGAATATCCACCTGCAGATTCTACAAAAAGAGTGTTTCCAAAATGCCGTATCAAAACAAAGGTTCAACTCTGTTAGTTGAGAACACACATGGCAAATAAGTTTCTGAGAATGCTTCTGTCTAGTTTTTACTTGAAGATATTTCCTTTCTCACCATAGGCCTGAAAGCGCTTGAAACGTCCGCTTGCAGATACTACAGAAAGAGTGTTTCAAACATGCTCTATGAAAGGGAATGTTCAGTTCTGTGACTTGAATGCAAACATCACAAAGAAGTTCCTGAGAATGCTTCTCTCTAGATTTTATATGTAATCCCGTTTCCAACGAAATCCTCGAAGCTATCCAAATATCCACTTTCAGATTCCACAAAAAGAGTGTTTCAAAACTGCTCTGTAAAAAGAAAGGTTCATCTCTGTTAGTTGAATACACACATCACAAACAAGTATCTGAGAATGCTTCTGTCTAGTTTTTATGGGAAGATATTTCCTTCTTCATCATAGGCCTCAAAGCGCTCCAAATGTCCACTTCCAGGTAGTGCAGAAAGAGTGTCTCAAACCTGGTATATAACAGGGAACATTCTACTCTGTGACTTGAATGAAAACATCACAAAGCAGTTTCTGAGAATGCTTCCGTCTAGATTTTATATGAAGATATTCCCGTTTCCAACGAAACCTTCAAAGCTATCCGAATATCCACCTGCAGATTCTACAAAAAGAGTGTTTCCAAAATGCCATATCAAAACAAAGGTTCAACTCTGTTAGTTGAGAACACACATCGCAAATAAGTTTCTGAGAATGCTTCTGTCTAGTTTTTACTTGAAGCATATTTCCTTTCTCACCATAGGCCTGAAAGCGCTTGAAACGTCAGCTTGCAGATACTACAGAAAGAGTGTTTCAAACCTGCTCTATGAAAGGGAATGTTCAGTCCTGTGACTTGAAGGCAAACATCACAAAGTAAGTTCCTGAGAATGCTTCTCTCTAGGTTTTATATGTAATCCCGTTTCCAACGAAATCCTCAAAGCTATCCAAATATCCACTTTCAGATTCCACAAAAAGAGTGTTTCAAAACTGCTCTGTAAAAAGAAAGGTTCATCTCTGTTAGTTGAATACACACATCACAAACAAGTTTCTGAGAATGCTTCTGTCTAGTTTTTATGGGAAGATATTACCTTTTTCATCATAGGCCTCAAAGCGCTGCAAATGTCCACTTCCAAATATTACAAAAAGAGTGTTTCAAACCTGCTGTATGAAGGGAAGTGTTCAACTCTATGAGTTGAATGCAAACATCACAGAGAAGTTTCTGAGAATGCTTCTGTCTTGATTTTATATGAAGATATTCCCGATTCCAACGAAATCTTCAAAGCTATACAAATATCCACTTGCAGATTCCACAAAAAGAGTGTTTCCAAAATGTTGTATCAAAAGAAAGGTTCAACTCTGTTAGTTGAGGACACACATCGCAAATAAGTTTCTGAGAATGCTTCTGTCTAGTTTTTATTTGAAGATATTTCCTTTCTCACCATAGGCCTGAAAGCGTTTGAAATGTCCGTTTGCAGATACTACAGAAAGAGTGTTTCAAACATGCTCTATGAAAGGGAATGTTCAGTTCTGTGACGTGAATGCAAACATCACAAAGAAGTTCCTGAGAATGCTTCTCTCTAGATTTTATATGTAATCCCGTTTCCAACGAAATCCTCAAAGCTATCCAAATATCCACTTTCAGATTCCACAAAAAGAGTGTTTCAAAACTGCTCTGTAAAAAGAAAGGTTCATCTCTGTTAGTTGAATACACACATCACAAACAAGTTTCTGAGAATGCTTCTGTCTAGTTTTTATGGGAAGATATTTCCTTTTTCAACATAGGCCTCAAAGCGCTCCAAACGTCCACTTCCATGTAGTGCAGAAAGAGTGTCTCAAACCTGGTATATAACAGGGAACATTCTACTCTGTGACTTGAATGAAAACATCACAAAGCAGTTTCTGAGAATGCTTCCGTCTAGATTTTATATGAAGATATTCCCGTTTCCAACGAAACCTTCAAAGCTATCCGAATATCCACCTGCAGATTCTACAAAAAGAGTGTTTCCAAAATGCCATATCAAAACAAAGGTTCAACTCTGTTAGTTGAGAACACACATCGCAAATAAGTTTCTGAGAATGCTTCTGTCTAGTTTTTACTTGAAGATATTTCCTTTCTCACCATAGGCCTGAAAGCGTTTGAAATGTCCGTTTGCAGATACTACAGAAAGAGTGTTTCAAACATGCTCTATGAAAGGGAATGTTCAGTTCTGTGACTTGAATGCAAACATCACAAAGAAGTTCCTGAGAGTGCTTCTCCCTAGATTTTATATGTAATCCCGTTTCCAACGAAATCCGCAAAGCTATCCAGATATCCACTTTCAGATTCCACAAAAAGAGTGTTTCAAAACTGCTCTGTAAAAAGAAAGGTTCATCTCTGTTAGTTGAATACACACATCACAAACAAGTTTCTGAGAATGCTTCTGTCTAGTTTTTATGGGAAGATATTACCTTTTTCATCATAGGCCTCAAAGCGCTGCAAATGTCCACTTCCAAATATTACAAAAAGAGTGTTTCAAACCTGCTGTATGAAGGGAAGTGTTCAACTCTATGAGTTGAATGCAAACATCACAGAGAAGTTTCTGAGAATGCTTCTGTCTTGATTTTATATGAAGATATTCCCGTTTCCAACGAAACCTTCAAAGCTATTCAAATATCCACTTGCTGATTCTACAAAAAGAGTGTTTCCAAAATGTTGTATCAAAAGAAAGGTTCAACTCCTGTTAGTTGAGGACACACATCGCAAATAAGTTTCTGAGAATGCTTCTGTCTAGTTTTTATTTGAAGATATTCCCGTTTCCAACGAAACCTTCAAAGCTATTCAAATATCCACTTGCAGATTCTACAAAAAGAGTGTTTCCAAAATGTTGTATCAAAAGAAAGGTTCAACTCTGTTAGTTGAGGACACACATCGCAAATAAGTTTCTGAGAATGCTTCTGTCTAGTTTTTATTTGAAGATATTTCCTTTCTCACCATAGGCCTGAAAGCGTTTGAAATGTCCGTTTGCAGATACTACAGAAAGAGTGTTTCAAACATGCTCTATGAAAGGGAATGTTCAGTTCTGAGACGTGAATGCAAACATCACAAAGAAGTTCCTGAGAATGCTTCTCTCTAGATTTTATATGTAATCCCGTTTCCAACGAAATCCTCAAAGCTATCCAAATATCCACTTTCAGATTCCACAAAAAGACTGTTTCAAAACTGCTCTGTAAAAAGAAAGGTTCATCTCTGTTAGTTGAATACACACATCACAAACAAGTTTCTGAGAATGCTTCTGTCTAGTTTTTATGGGAAGATATTTCCTTTTTCATCATAGGCCTCAAAGCGCTGCAAATGTCCACTTCCAGGTAGTGCAGAAAGAGTGTCTCAAACCTGGTATATAACAGGGAACATTCTACTCTGTGACTTGAATGAAAACATCACAAAGCAGTTTCTGAGAATGCTTCCGTCTAGATTTTATATGAAGATATTCCCGTTTCCAACGAAACCTTCAAAGATATCCGAATATCCACCTGCAGATTCTAAAAAAAGAGTGTTTCCAAAATGCCGTATCAAAACAAAGGTTCAACTCTGTTAGTTGAGAACACTCATGGCAAATAAGTTTCTGAGAATGCTTCTGTCTAGTTTTTACTTGAAGATATTTCCTTTCTCACCATAGGCCTGAAAGCGCTTGAAACGTCAGCTTGCAGATACTACAGAAAGAGTGTTTCAAACCTGCTCTATGAAAGGGAATGTTCAGTTCTGTGACTTGAATGCAAACATCACAAAGAAGTTCCTGAGAATGCTTCTCTCTAGGTTTTATATGGAATCCCGTTTCCAACGAAATCCTCAAAGCTATCCAAATATCCACTTTCAGATTCCAGAAAAAGAGTGTTTCAAAACTGCTCTGTAAAAAGAAAGGTTCATCTCTGTTAGTTGAATACACACATCACAAACAAGTTTCTGAGAATGCTTCTGTCTAGTTTTTATGGGAAGATATTTCCTTTTTCAACATAGGCCTCAAAGCGCTCCAAACGTCCACTTCCAGGTAGTGCAGAAAGAGTGTCTCAAACCTGGTATATAACAGGGAACATTCTACTCTGTGACTTGAATGAAAACATCACAAAGCAGTTTCTGAGAATGCTTCCGTCTAGATTTTATATGAAGATATTCCCGTTTCCAACGAAACCTTCAAAGCTATCCGAATATCCACCTGCAGATTCTACAAAAAGAGTGTTTCCAAAATGCCGTATCAAAACAAAGGTTCAACTCTGTTAGTTGAGAACACACATGGCAAATAAGTTTCTGAGAATGCTTCTGTCTAGTTTTTACTTGAAGATATTTCCTTTCTCACCATAGGCCTGAAAGCGCTTGAAACGTCAGCTTTCAGATACTACAGAAAGAGTGTTTCAAACCTGCTCTATGAAAGGGAATGTTCAGTTCTGTGACTTGAATGAAAACATCACAAAGAAGTTCCTGAGAATGCTTCTCCCTAGATTTTATATGTAATCCCGTTTCCAACGAAATCCGCAAAGCTATCCAAATATCCACTTTCAGATTCCACAAAAAGAGTGTTTCAAAACTGCTCTGTAAAAAGAAAGGTTCATCTCTGTTAGTTGAATACACACATCACAAACAACTTTCTGAGAATGCTTCTGTCTAGTTTTTATGGGAAGATATTACCTTTTTCATCATAGGCCTCAAAGCGCTGCAAATGTCCACTTCCAAATATTACAAAAAGAGTGTTTCAAACCTGCTGTATGAAGGGAAGTGTTCAACTCTATGAGTTGAATGCAAACATCACAGAGAAGTTTCTGAGAATGCTTCTGTCTTGATTTTATATGAAGATATTCCCGTTTCCAACGAAATCTTCAAAGCTATCCAAATATCCACTTGCAGATTCCACAAAAAGAGTGTTTCCAAAATGTTGTATCAAAAGAAAGGTTCAAGTCTGTTAGTTGAGGACACACATCGCAAATAAGTTTCTGAGAATGCTTCTGTCTAGTTTTTATTTGAAGATATTTCCTTTCTCACCATAGGCCTGAAAGCGTTTGAAATGTCCGTTTGCAGATACTACAGAAAGAGTGTTTCAAACATGCTCTATGAAAGGGAATGTTCAGTTCTGTGACGTGAATGCAAACATCACAAAGAAGTTCCTGAGAATGCTTCTCTCTAGATTTTATATGTAATCCCGTTTCCAACGAAATCCTCAAAGCTATCCAAATATCCACTTTCAGATTCCACAAAAAGAGTGTTTCAAAACTGCTCTGTAAAAAGAAAGGTTCATCTCTGTTAGTTGAATACACACATCACAAACAAGTTTCTGAGAATGCTTCTGTCTAGTTTTTATGGGAAGATATTTCGTTTTTCAACATAGGCCTCAAAGCGCTCCAAATGTCCACTTCCAGGTAGTGCAGAAAGAGTGTTTCAAACCTGCTCTATAAAAGGGAATATTCAACTCTGTGACTTGAATGCAAACATCACAAAGCACTTTCTGCGAATGCTTCTGTCTTGATTTTATATGAAGATATTCCCGTTTCCAACGAAACCTTCAAAGCTATTCAAATATCCACTTGCAGATTCTACAAAAAGAGTGTTTCCAAAATGTTGTACCAAAAGAAAGGTTTAACTCTGTTAGTTGAGGACACACATCGCAAATAAGTTTCTGAGAATGCTTCTGTCTAGTTTTTATTTGAAGATATTCCCGTTTCCAACGAAACCTTCAAAGCTATTCAAATATCCACTTGCAGATTCTACAAAAAGAGTGTTTCCAAAATGTTGTATCAAAAGAAAGGTTCAACTCTGTTAGTTGAGGACACACATCGCAAATAAGTTTCTGAGAATGCTTCTGTCTAGTTTTTATTTGAAGATATTTCCTTTCTCACCATAGGCCTGAAAGCGTTTGAAATGTCCGTTTGCAGATACTACAGAAAGAGTGTTTCAAACATGCTCTATGAAAGGGAATGTTCAGTTCTGAGACGTGAATGCAAACATCACAAAGAAGTTCCTGAGAATGCTTCTCTCTAGATTTTATATGTAATCCCGTTTCCAACGAAATCCTCAAAGCTATCCAAATATCCACTTTCAGATTCCACAAAAAGACTCTTTCAAAACTGCTCTGTAAAAAGAAAGGTTCATCTCTGTTAGTTGAATACACACATCACAAACAAGTTTCTGAGAATGCTTCTGTCTAGTTTTTATGGGAAGATATTTCCTTTTTCATCATAGGCCTCAAAGCGCTGCAAATGTCCACTTCCAGGTAGTGCAGAAAGAGTGTCTCAAACCTGGTATATAACAGGGAACATTCTACTCTGTGACTTGAATGAAAACATCACAAAGCAGTTTCTGAGAATGCTTCCGTCTAGATTTTATATGAAGATATTCCCGTTTCCAACGAAACCTTCAAAGCTATCCGAATATCCACCTGCAGATTCTACAAAAAGAGTGTTTCCAAAATGCCGTATCCAAACAAAGGTTCAACTCTGTTAGTTGAGAACACACATGGCAAATAAGTTTCTGAGAATGCTTCTGTCTAGTTTTTACTTGAAGATATTTCCTTTCTCACCATAGGCCTGAAAGCGCTTGAAACGTCCGCTTGCAGATACTACAGAAAGAGTGTTTCAAACATGCTCTATGAAAGGGAATGTTCAGTTCTGTGACTTGAATGCAAACATCACAAAGAAGTTCCTGAGAATGCTTCTCTCTAGATTTTATATGTAATCCCGTTTCCAACGAAATCCTCAAAGCTATCCAAATATCCACTTTCAGATTCCACAAAAAGAGTGTTTCAAAACTGCTCTGTAAAAAGAAAGGTTCATCTCTGTTAGTTGAATACACACATCACAAACAAGTTTCTGAGAATGCTTCTGTCTAGTTTTTATGGGAAGATATTTCCTTTTTCAACATACGCCTCAAAGCGCTCCAAACGTCCACTTCCGGGTAGTGCAGAAAGAGTGTCTCAAACCTGGTATATAACAGGGAACATTCTACTCTGTGACTTGAATGAAAACATCACAAAGCAGTTTCTGAGAATGCTTCCGTCTAGATTTTATATGAAGATATTCCCGTTTCCAACGAAACCTTCAAAGCTATCCGAATATCCACCTGCAGATTCTACAAAAAGAGTGTTTCCAAAATGCCGTATCAAAACAAAGGTTCAACTCTGTTAGTTGAGAACACACATGGCAAATAAGTTTCTGAGAATGCTTCTGTCTAGTTTTTACTTGAAGATATTTCCTTTCTCACCATAGGCCTGAAAGCGCTTGAAACGTCAGCTTGCAGATACTACAGAAAGAGTGTTTCAAACCTGCTCTATGAAAGGGAATGTTCAGTCCTGTGACTTGAAGGCAAACATCACAAAGAAGTTCCTGAGAATGCTTCTCTCTAGGTTTTATATGTAATCCCGTTTCCAACGAAATCCTCAAAGCTATCCAAATATCCACTTTCAGATTCCACAAAAAGAGTGTTTCAAAACTGCTCTGTAAAAAGAAAGGTTCATCTCTGTTAGTTGAATACACACATCACAAACAAGTTTCTGAGAATGCTTCTGTCTAGTTTTTATGGGAAGATATTACCTTTTTCATCATAGGCCTCAAAGCGCTGCAAATGTCCACTTCCAAAGATTACAAAAAGAGTGTTTCAAACCTGCTGTATGAAGGGAAGTGTTCAACTCTATGAGTTGAATGCAAACATCACAGAGAAGTTTCTGAGAATGCTTCTGTCTTGATTTTATATGAAGATATTCCCGTTTCCAACGAAACCTTCAAAGCTATCCAAATATCCACTTGCAGATTCCACAAAAAGAGTGTTTCCAAAATGTTGTATCAAAAGAAAGGTTCAACTCTGTTAGTTGAGGACACACATCGCAAATAAGTTTCTGAGAATGCTTCTGTCTAGTTTTCATTTGAAGATATTTCCTTTCTCACCATAGGCCTGAAAGCGTTTGAAATGTCCGTTTGCAGATACTACAGAAAGAGTGTTTCAAACATGCTCTATGAAAGGGAATGTTCAGTTCTGTGACGTGAATGCAAACATCACAAAGAAGTTCCTGAGAATGCTTCTCTCTAGATTTTATATGTAATCCCGTTTCCAACGAAATCCTCAAAGCTATCCAAATATCCACTTTCAGATTCCACAAAAAGAGTGTTTCAAAACTGCTCTGTAAAAAGAAAGGTTCATCTCTGTTAGTTGAATACACACATCACAAACAAGTTTCTGAGAATGCTTCCTGTCTAGTTTTTATGGGAAGATATTTCCTTTTTCATCATAGGCCTCAAAGCGCTGCAAATGTCCACTTCCAAATATTACAAAAAGAGTGTTTCAAACCTGCTGTATGAAGGGAAGTGTTCAACTCTATGAGTTGAATGCAAACATCACAGAGAAGTTTCTGAGAATGCTTCTGTCTTGATTTTATATGAAGATATTCCCGTTTCCAACGAAACCTTCAAAGCTATCCAAATATCCACTTGCAGATTCTACAAAAAGAGTGTTTCCAAAATGTTGTATCAAAACAAAGGTTCAACTCTGTTAGTTGAGGACACACATCGCAAATAAGTTTCTGAGAATGCTTCTGTCTAGTTTTTATTTGAAGATATTTCCTTTCTTACCATAGGCCTGAAAGCGCTTGAAATGTCCGTTTGCAGATACTACAGAAAGAGTGTTTCAAACATGCTCTATGAAAGGGAATGTTCAGTTCTGTGAGGTGAATGCAAACATCACAAAGAAGTTCCTGAGAATGCTTCTCTCTAGATTTTATATGTAATCCCGTTTCCAACGAAATCCTCAAAGCTATCCAAATATCCACTTTCAGATTCCACAAAAAGAGTGTTTCAAAACTGCTCTGTAAAAAGAAAGGTTCATCTCTGTTAGTTGAATACACACATCACAAACAAGTTTCTGAGAATGCTTCTGTCTAGTTTTTATGGGAAGATATTACCTTTTTCATCATAGGCCTCAAAGCGCTGCAAATGTCCACTTCCAAATATTACAAAAAGAGTGTTTCAAACCTGCTGTATGAAGGGAAGTGTTCAACTCTATGAGTTGAATGCAAACATCACAGAGAAGTTTCTGAGAATGCTTCCGTCTAGATTTTATATGAAGATATTCCCGTTTCCAACGAAACCTTCAAAGCTATCCGAATATCCACCTGCAGATTCTACAAAAAGAGTGTTTCCAAAATGCCATATCAAAACAAATGTTCAACTCTGTTAGTTGAGAACACACATCGCAAATAAGTTTCTGAGAATGCTTCTGTCTAGTTTTTACTTGAAGATATTTCCTTTCTCACCATAGGCCTGAAAGCGCTTGAAACGTCAGCTTGCAGATACTACAGAAAGAGTGTTTCAAACCTGCTCTATGAAAGGGAATGTTCAGTTCTGTGACTTGAATGCAAACATCACAAAGAAGTTCCTGAGAATGCTTCTCTCTAGGTTTTATATGTAATCCCGTTTCCAACGAAATCCTCAAAGCTATCCAAATATCCACTTTCAGATTCCACAAAAAGAGTGTTTCAAAACTGCTCTGTAAAAAGAAAGGTTCATCTCTGTTAGTTGAATACACACATCACAAACAAGTTTCTGAGAATGCTTCTGTCTGGTTTTTAGGAGAAGATATTTCCTTTTTCAACATAGGCCTCAAAGCGCTGCAAATGTCCACTTCCAAATATTAGAAAAAGAGTGTTTCAAACCTGCTGTATGAAGGGAAGTGTTCAACTCTATGAGTTGAATGCAAACATCACAGAGAAGTTTCTGAGAATGCATCTGTCTTGATTTCATATGAAGATATTCCCGTTTCCAACGAAACCTTCAAAGCTATCCAAATATCCACTTGCAGATTCTACAAAAAGAGTGTTTCCAAAATGTTGTATCAAAAGAAAGGTTCAACTCTGTTAGTTGAGGACACACATCGCAAATAAGTTTCTGAGAATGCTTCTGTCTAGTTTTTATTTGAAGATATTTCCTTTCTCACCATAGGCCTGAAAGCGTTTGAAATGTCCGTTTGCAGATACTACAGAAAGAGTGTTTCAAACATGCTCTATGAAAGGGAATGTTCAGTTCTGTGACGTGAATGCAAACATCACAAAGAAGTTCCTGAGAATGCTTCTCTCTAGATTTTATATGTAATCCCGTTTCCAACGAAATCCTCAAAGCTATCCAAATATCCACTTTCAGATTCCACAAAAAGAGTGTTTCAAAACTGCTCTGTAAAAAGAAAGGTTCATCTCTGTTAGTTGAATACACACATCACAAACAAGTTTCTGAGAATGCTTCTGTCTAGTTTTTATGGGAAGATATTTCCTTTTTCAACATAGGCCTCAAAGCGCTCCAAACGTCCACTTCCAGGTAGTGCAGAAAGAGTGTCTCAAACCTGGTATATAACAGGGAACATTCTACTCTGTGACTTGAATGAAAACATCACAAAGCAGTTTCTGAGAATGCTTCTGTCTTGATTTTATATGAAGATATTCCCGTTTCCAACGAAACCTTCAAAGCTATCCAAATATCCACTTGCAGATTCTACAAAAAGAGTGGTTCCAAAATGTTGTATCAAAAGAAAGGTTCAACTCTGTTAGTTGAGGACACACATCGCAAATAAGTTTCTGAGAATGCTTCTGTCTAGTTTTTATTTGAAGATATTTCCTTTCTCACCATAGGCCTGAAAGCGTTTGAAATGTCCGTTTGCAGATACTACAGAAAGAGTGTTTCAAACATGCTCTATGAAAGGGAATGTTCAGTTCTGTGACGTGAATGCAAACATCACAAAGAAGTTCCTGAGAATGCTTCTCCCTAGATTTTATATGTAATCCCGTTTCCAACGAAATCCGCAAAGCTATCCAAATATCCACTTTCAGATTCCACAAAAAGAGTGTTTCAAAACTGCTCTGTAAAAAGAAAGGTTCATCTCTGTTAGTTGAATACACACATCACAAACAAGTTTCTGAGAACGCTTCTGTCTAGTTTTTATGGGAAGATATTACCTTTTTCATCATAGGCCTCAAAGCGCTGCAAATGTCCACTTCCAAATATTACAAAAAGAGTGTTTCAAACCTGCTGTATGAAGGGAAGCGTTCAACTCTATGAGTTGAATGCAAACATCACAGAGAAGTTTCTGAGAATGCTTCTGTCTAGTTTTTATGGGAAGATATTTCCTTTTTCATCATAGGCCTCAAAGCGCTCCAAATGTCCACTTCCAGGTAGTGCAGAAATAGTGTCTCAAACCTGGTATATAACAGGGAAGATTCTACTCTGTGACTTGAATGAAAACATCACAAAGCAGTTTCTCAGAATGCTTCCGTCTAGATTTTATATGAAGATATTCCCGTTTCCAACGAAACCTTCAAAGCTATCCGAATATCCACCTGCAGATTCTACAAAAAGAGTGTTTCCAAAATGCCGTATCAAAACAAAGGTTCAACTCTGTTAGTTGAGAACACACATCGCAAATAAGTTTCTGAGAATGCTTCTGTCTAGTTTTTACTTGAAGATATTTCCTTTCTCACCATAGGCCTGAAAGCGCTTGAAACGTCCGCTTGCAGATACTACAGAAAGAGTGTTTCAAGCATGCTCTATGAAAGGGAATGTTCAGTTCTGTGACTTGAATGCAAACATCACAAAGAAGTTCCTGAGAATGCTTCTCTCTAGATTTTATATGTAATCCCGTTTCCAACGAAATCCTCAAAGCTATCCAAATATCCACTTTCAGATTCCACAAAAAGAGTGTTCCAAAACTGCTCTGTAAAAAGAAAGGTTCATCTCTGTTAGTTGAATACACACATCACAAACAAGTTTCTGAGAATGCTTCTGTCTAGTTTTTAAGGGAAGATATTTCCTTTTTCATCATAGGCCTCAAAGCGCTCCAAATGTCCACTTCCAGGTAGTGCAGAAATAGTGTCTCAAACCTGGTATATAACAGGGAACATTCTACTCTGTGACTTGAATGAAAACATCACAAAGCAGTTTCTGAGAATGCTTCCGTCTAGATTTTATATGAAGATATTCCCGTTTCCAAGGAAGTCTTCCTAGCTATCTAAATATCAACTTGCAGATTCTACTAAAGGAATGTTTCCAAAATGCTGTATCCACACAAAGGTTCAACTCTGTTAATTGAGGACATACAGCACAAAGAAGTTTCTGAGAATGCTTCTGTCTAGATTTTGTATGAAGATATCCCGTGTCTAACGAAATCCTCAAAGGTATCAAAATATCCACTTGCAGATTCTACAAAAAGAGTGCTTCAAAACTGCTCTGTCAAAATGAAGGTTCACCTCTGTTACTTGAGTACACACATCACAAGAAAGATTCTGAGAATGCTTCTCTCTAGGTTTTATATGTAATCCCGTTTCCAACGAAATCCTCAAATCTATCCAAATATCCACTTTCAGATTCCACAAAAAGAGTGTTTCAAAACTGCTCTGTAAAAAGAAAGGTTCATCTCTGTTAGTTGAATACACACATCACAAACAAGTTTCTGAGAATGCTTCTGTCTAGTTTTTATGGGAAGATATTTCCTTTTTCAACATAGGCCTCAAAGCGCTGCAAATGTCCACTTCCAGGTAGTGCAGAAACAGTGTCTCAAACCTGGTATATAACAGGGAAGATTCTACTCTGTGACTTGAATGAAAACATCACAAAGCAGTTTCTGAGAATGCTTCCGTCTAGATTTTATATGAAGATATTCCCGTTTCCAACGAAACCTTCAAAGCTATCCGAATATCCACCTGCAGATTCTACAAAAAGAGTGTTTCCAAAATGCCATATCAAAACAAAGGTTCAACTCTGTTAGTTGAGAACACACATCGCAAATAAGTTTCTGAGAATGCTTCTGTCTAGTTTTTACTTGAAGATATTTCCTTTCTCACCATAGGCCTGAAAGCGCTTGAAACGTCAGCTTGCAGATACTACAGAAAGAGTGTTTCAAACCTGCTCTATGAAAGGGAATGTTCAGTTCTGTGACTTGAATGCAAACATCACAAAGAAGTTCCTGAGAATGCTTCTCTCTAGGTTTTATATGTAATCCCGTTTCCAACGAAATCCTCAAAGCTATCCAAATATCCACTTTCAGATTCCACAAAAAGAGTGTTTCAAAACTGCTCTGTAAAAAGAAAGGTTCATCTCTGTTAGTTGAATACACACATCACAAACAAGTTTCTGAGAATGCTTCTGTCTAGTTTTTATGGGAAGATATTTCCTTTTTCAACATAGGCCTCAAAGCACTCAAAACGTCCACTTCCAGGTAGTGCAGAAAGAGTGTCTCAAACCTGGTATATAACAGGGAACATTCTACTCTGTGACTTGAATGAAAACATCACAAAGCAGTTTCTGAGAATGCTTCCGTCTAGATTTTATATGAAGATATTCCCGTTTCCAACGAAACCTTCAAAGCTATCCGAATATCCACCTGCAGATTCTACAAAAAGAGTGTTTCCAAAATGCCGTATCAAAACAAAGGTTCAACTCTGTTAGTTGAGAACACACATGGCAAATAAGTTTCTGAGAATGCTTCTGTCTAGTTTTTACTTGAAGATATTTCCTTTCTCACCATAGGCCTGAAAGCGCTTGAAACGTCAGCTTGCAGATACTACAGAAAGAGTGTTTCAAACCTGCTCTATGAAAGGGAATGTTCAGTTCTGTGACTTGAATGCAAACATCACAAAGCAGTTCCTGAGAATGCTTCTCTCTAGGTTTTATATGTAATCCCGTTTCCAACGAAATCCTCAAAGCTATCCAAATATCCACTTTCAGATTCCACAAAAAGAGTGTTTCAAAACTGCTCTGTAAAAAGAAAGGTTCATCTCTGTTAGTTGAATACACACATCACAAACAAGTTTCTGAGAATGCTTCTGTCTAGTTTTTATGGGAAGATATTTCCTTTTTCAACATAGGCCTCAAAGCGCTCCAAACGTCCACTTCCGGGTAGTGCAGAAAGAGTGTCTCAAACCTGGTATATAACAGGGAACATTCTACTGCTGTGACTTGAATGAAAACATCACAAAGCAGTTTCTGAGAATGCTTCCGTCTAGATTTTATATGAAGATATTCCCGTTTCCAAGGAAACTCTTCCTAGCTATCTAAATATCAACTTGCAGATTCTACTAAAGGAATGTTTCCAAAATGCTGTATCCACACAAAGGTTCAACTCTGTTAATTGAGGACATACAGCACAAAGAAGTTTCTGAGAATGCTTCTGTCTAGTTTTTATTTGAAGATATTTCCTTTTTCACCACAGGCCTGAAAGCGCTTGAAACGTCCGCTTGTAGATACTACAGAAAGAGTGTTTCAAACCTGCTCTATGAAAGGGAATGTTCAGTTCTGTGACTTGAATGCAAACATCACAAAGAAGTTCCTGAGAATGCTTCTCCCTAGATTTTATATGTAATCCCGTTTCCAACGAAATCCGCAAAGCTATCCAAATATCCACTTTCAGATTCCACAAAAAGAGTGTTTCAAAACTGCTCTGTAAAAAGAAAGGTTCATCTCTGTTAGTTGAATACACACATCACAAACAAGTTTCTGAGAATGCTTCTGTCTAGTTTTTATGGGAAGATATTACCTTTTTCATCATAGGCCTCAAAGCGCTGCAAATGTCCACTTCCAAATATTACAAAAAGAGTGTTTCAAACCTGCTGTATGAAGGGAAGTGTTCAACTCTATGAGTTGAATGCAAACATCACAGAGAAGTTTCTGAGAATGCTTCTGTCTTGATTTTATATGAAGATATTCCCGTTTCCAACGAAACCTTCAAAGCTATTCAAATATCCACTTGCAGATTCTACAAAAAGAGTGTTTCCAAAATGTTGTATCAAAAGAAAGGTTCAACTCTGTTAGTTGAGGACACACATCGCAAATAAGTTTCTGAGAATGCTTCTGTCTAGTTTTTACTTGAAGATATTTCCTTTCTCACCATAGGCCTGAAAGCGTTTGAAATGTCCGTTTGCAGATACTACAGAAAGAGTGTTTCAAACATGCTCTATGAAAGGGAATGTTCAGTTCTGTGACGTGAATGCAAACATCACAAAGAAGTTCCTGAGAATGCTTCTCTCTAGATTTTATATGTAATCCCGTTTCCAACGAAATCCTCAAAGCTATCCAAATATCCACTTTCAGATTCCACAAAAAGAGTGTTTCAAAACTGCTCTGTAAAAAGAAAGGTTCATCTCTGTTAGTTGAATACACACATCACAAACAAGTTTCTGAGAATGCTTCTGTCTAGCTTTTATGGGAAGATATTTCCTTTTTCAACATAGGCCTCAAAGCGCTCCAAACGTCCACTTCCAGGTAGTGCAGAAAGAGTGTCTCAAACCTGGTATATAACAGGGAACATTCTACTCTGTGACTTGAATGAAAACATCACAAAGCAGTTTCTGAGAATGCTTCCGTCTAGATTTTATATGAAGATATTCCCGTTTCCAACGAAACCTTCAAAGCTATCCGAATATCCACCTGCAGATTCTACAAAAAGAGTGTTTCCAAAATGCCATATCAAAACAAAGGTTCAACTCTGTTAGTTGAGAACACACATCGCAAATAAGTTTCTGAGAATGCTTCTGTCTAGTTTTTACTTGAAGATATTTCCTTTCGCACCATAGGCCTGAAAGCGCTTGAAACGTCCGCTTGCAGATACTACAGAAAGAGTGTTTCAAACATGCTCTATGAAAGGGAATGTTCAGTTCTGTGACTTGAATGCAAACATCACAAAGAAGTTCCTGAGAATGCTTCTCTCTAGATTTTATATGTAATCCCGTTTCCAACGAAATCCTCAAAGCTATCCAAATATCCACTTTCAGATTCCACAAAAAGAGTGTTTCAAAACTGCTCTGTAAAAAGAAAGGTTCATCTCTGTTAGTTGAATACACACATCACAAACAAATTTCTGAGAATGCTTCTGTCTAGTTTTTATGGGAAGATATTTCCTTTTTCAACATAGGCCTCAAAGCGCTCCAAATGTCCACTTCCAGGTAGTGCAGAAAGAGTGTTTCAAACCTGCTCTATAAAAGGGAATATTCAACTCTGTGACTTGAATGCAAACATCACAAAGCACTTTCTGAGAATGCTTCTGTCTTGATTTTATATGAAGATATTCCCGTTTCCAACGAAACCTTCAAAGCTTTTCAAATATCCACTTGCAGATTCTACAAAAAGAGTGTTTCCAAAATGTTGTATCAAAAGAAAGGTTCAACTCTGTTAGTTGAGGACACACATCGCAAATAAGTTTCTGAGAATGCTTCTGTCTAGTTTTTATTTGAAGATATTTCCTTTCTCACCATAGGCCTGAAAGCGTTTGAAATGTCCGTTTGCAGATACTACAGAAAGAGTGTTTCAAACATGCTCTATGAAAGGGAATGTTCAGTTCTGTGACGTGAATGCAAACATCACAAAGAAGTTCCTGAGAATGCTTCTCTCTAGGTTTTATATGTAATCCCGTTTCCAACGAAATCCTCAAAGCTATCCAAATATCCACTTTCAGATTCCACAAAAAGAGTGTTTCAAAACTGCTCTGTAAAAAGAAAGGTTCATCTCTGTTAGTTGAATACACACATCACAAACAAGTTTCTGAGAATGCTTCTGTCTAGTTTTTATGGGAAGATATTTCCTTTTTCAACATAGGCCTCAAAGCGCTCCAAACGTCCACTTCCGGGTAGTGCAGAAAGAGTGTCTCAAACCTGGTATATAACAGGGAACATTCTACTCTGTGACTTGAATGAAAACATCACAAAGCAGTTTCTGAGAATGCTTCTGTCTTGATTTCATATGAAGATATTCCCGTTTACAACGAAACCTTCAAAGCTATCCAAATATCCACTTGCAGATTCTACAAAAAGAGTGTTTCCAAAATGTTGTATCAAAAGAAAGGTTCAACTCTGTTAGTTGAGGACACACATCGCAAATAAGTTTCTGAGAATGCTTCTGTCTAGTTTTTATTTGAAGATATTTCCTTTCTCACCACAGGCCTGAAAGCGCTTAAAACGTCCGCTTGCAGATACTACAGAAAGAGTGTTTCAAACCTGCTCTATGAAAGGGAATGTTCAGTTCTGTGACTTGAATGCAAACATCACAAAGAAGTTCCTGAGAATGCTTCTCTCTAGATTTTATATGTAATCCCGTTTCCAACGAAATCCTCAAAGCTATCCAAATATCCACTTTCAGATTCCACAAAAAGAGTGTTTCAAAACTACTCTGTAAAAAGAAAGGTTCATCTCTGTTAGTTGAATACACACATCACAAACAAGTTTCTGAGAATGCTTCTGTCTAGTTTTTATGGGAAGATATTTCCTTTTTCAACATAGGCCTCAAAGCGCTCCAAACGTCCACTTCCAGGTAGTGCAGAAAGAGTGTCTCAAACCTGGTATATAACAGGGAACATTCTACTCTGTGACTTGAATGAAAACATCACAAAGCAGTTTCTGAGAATGCTTCCGTCTAGATTTTATATGAAGATATTCCCGTTTCCAACGAAACCTTCAAAGCTATCCGAATATCCACCTGCAGATTCTACAAAAAGAGTGTTTCCAAAATGCCGTATCAAAACAAAGGTTCAACTCTGTTAGTTGAGAACACACATGGCAAATAAGTTTCTGAGAATGCTTCTGTCTAGTTTTTACTTGAAGATATTTCCTTTCTCACCATAGGCCTGAAAGCGCTTGAAACGTCAGCTTGCAGATACTACAGAAAGAGTGTTTCAAACCTGCTCTATGAAAGGGAATGTTCAGTCCTGTGACTTGAAGGCAAACATCACAAAGAAGTTCCTGAGAATGCTTCTGTCTAGATTTTATATGAAGATATCCCGTGTCCAACGAAATCCTCAAAGGTATCAAAATATCCACTTGCAGATTCTACAAAAAGAGTGCTTCAAAACTGCTCTGTCAAAAGGAAGGTTCAACTCTGTTACTTGAGTACACACATCACAAGGAAGTTTCTGAGAATGCTTCTGTCTGGTTTTTAGGAGAAGATATTTCCTTTTTCAACATAGGCCTCAAAGCGCTGCAAATGTCCACTTCCAAATATTAGAAAAAGAGTGTTTCAAACCTGCTGTATGAAGGGAAGTGTTCAACTCTATGAGTTGAATGCAAACATCACAGAGAAGTTTCTGAGAATGCTTCTGTCTTGATTTCATATGAAGATATTCCCGTTTCCAACGAAACCTTCAAAGTTATCCAAATATCCACTTGCAGATTCTACAAAAAGAGTGTTTCCAAAATGTTGTATCAAAAGAAAGGTTCAACTCTGTTAGTTGAGGACACACATCGCAAATAAGTTTCTGAGAATGCTTCTGTCTAGTTTTTATTTGAAGATATTTCCTTTCTCACCACAGGCCTGAAAGCGCTTAAAACGTCCGCTTGCAGATACTACAGAAAGAGTGTTTCAAACCTGCTCTATGAAAGGGAATGTTCAGTTCTGTGACTTGAATGCAAACATCACAAAGAAGTTCCTGAGAATGCTTCTGTCTAGATTTTATATGAAGATATCCCGTGTCCAACGAAATCCTCAATGGTATCAAAATATCCACTTGCAGATTCTACAAAAAGAGTGCTTCAAAACTGCTCAATCAAAAGGAAGGTTCAACTCTGTTACTTGAGTACATACATCACAAGAAAGATTCTGAGAATGCTTCTGTCTGGTTTTTAGGAGAAGATATTTCCTTTTTCAACATAGGCCTCAAAGCGCTGCAAATGTCCACTTCCAAATATTACAAAAAGAGTGTTTCAAACCTGCTGTATGAAGGGAAGTGTTCAACTCTATGAGTTGAATGCAAACATCACAGAGAAGTTTCTGAGAATGCTTCTGTCTTGATTTCATATGAAGATATTCCCGTTTCCAACGAAACCTTCAAAGCTATCCAAATATCCACTTGCAGATTCTACAAAAAGAGTGTTTCCAAAATGTTGTATCAAAAGAAAGGTTCAACTCTGTTAGTTGAGGACACACATCGCAAATAAGTTTCTGAGAATGCTTCCTGTCTAGTTTTTACTTGAAGATATTTCCTTTCTCACCATAGGCCTGAAAGCGCTTGAAACGTCAGCTTGCAGATACTACAGAAAGAGTGTTTCAAACCTGCTCTATGAAAGGGAATGTTCAGTCCTGTGACTTGAAGGCAAACATCACAAAGAAGTTCCTGAGAATGCTTCTCTCTAGATTTTATATGTAATCCCGTTTCCTACGAAATCCTCAAAGCTATCCAAATATGCACTTTCAGATTCCACAAAAAGAGTGTTTCAAAACTGCTCTGTAAAAAGAAAGGTTCATCTCTGTTAGTTGAATACACACATCACAAACAAGTTTCTGAGAATGCTTCTGTCTAGTTTTTATGGGAAGATATTTCCATTTTCATCATAGGCCTCAAAGCGCTGCAAATGTCCACTTCCAAATATTACAAAAAGAGTGTTTCAAACCTGCTGTATGAAGGGAAGTGTTCAACTCTATGAGTTGAATGCAAACATCACAGAGAAGTTTCTGAGAATGCTTCTGTCTTGATTTTATATGAAGATATTCCCCTTTCCAACGAAACCTTCAAAGCTATTCAAATATCCACTTGCAGATTCTACAAAAAGAGTGGTTCCAAAATGTTGAATCAAAAGAAAGGTTCAACTCTGATAGTTGAGGACACACATCGCAAATAAGTTTCTGAGAATGCTTCTGTCTAGTTTTTATTTGAAGATATTTCCTTTCTCACCATAGGCCTGAAAGCGTTTGAAATGTCCGTTTGCAGATACTACAGAAAGAGTGTTTCAAACATGCTCTATGAAAGGGAATGTTCAGTTCTGTGACGTGAATGCAAACATCACAAAGAAGTTCCTGAGAATGCTTCTCTCTAGATTTTATATGTAATCCCGTTTCCAACGAAATCCTCAAAGCTATCCAAATATCCACTTTCAGATTCCACAAAAAGAGTGTTTCAAAACTGCTCTGTAAAAAGAAAGGTTCATCTCTGTTAGTTGAGTACACACATCACAAACAAGTTTCTGAGAATGCTTCTGTCTAGTTTTTATGGGAAGATATTTCCTTTTTCAACATAGGCCTCAAAGCGCTCCAAATGTCCACTTCCAGGTAGTGCAGAAAGAGTGTTTCAAACCTGCTCTATAAAAGGGAATATTCAACTCTGTGACTTGAATGCAAACATCACAAAGCACTTTCTGAGAATGCTTCTGTCTTGATTTTATATGAAGATATTCCCGTTTCCAACGAAACCTTCAAAGCTATCCAAATATCCACTTGCAGATTCTACAAAAAGAGTGGTTCCAAAATGTTGTATCAAAAGAAAGGTTCAACTCTGTTAGTTGAGGACACACATCGCAAATAAGTTTCTGAGAATGCTTCTGTCTAGTTTTTACTTGAAGATATTTCCTTTCTCACCATAGGCCTGAAAGCGCTTGAAACGTCCGCTTGCAGATACTACAGAAAGAGTGTTTCAAACCTGCTCTATGAAAGGGAATGTTCAGTTCTGTGACTTGAATGCAAACATCACAAAGAAGTTTCCTGAGAATGCTTCTGTCTAGATTTTATATGAAGATATCCCGTGTCCAACGAAATCCTCAAAGGTATCAAAATATCCACTTGCAGATTCTACAAAAAGACTGCTTCAAAACTGCTCCGTCAAAAGGAAGGTTCAACTCTGTTACTTGAGTACACACATCACAAGGAAGTTTCTGAGAATGCTTCTGTCTGGTTTTTAGGAGAAGATATTTCCTTTTTCAACATAGGCCTCAAAGCGCTGCAAATGTCCACTTCCAAATATTAGAAAAAGAGTGTTTCAAACCTGCTGTATGAAGGGAAGTGTTCAACTCTATGAGTTGAATGCAAACATCACAGAGAAGTTTCTGAGAATGCTTCTGTCTTGATTTCATATGAAGATATTCCCGTTTCCAACGAAACCTTCAAAGCTATCCAAATATCCACTTGCAGATTCTACAAAAAGAGTGTTTCCAAAATGTTGTATCAAAAGAAAGGTTCAACTCTGTTAGTTGAGGACACACATCGCAAATAAGTTTCTGAGAATGCTTCTGTCTGGTTTTTAGGAGAAGATATCTCCTTTTTCACCATAGGCTTCAAAGCGCTGCCAATGTCCACTTCCAAATATTACAAAAAGAGTATTTCAAACCAGCTCTATGAAAGGAAGTGTTCAACTCTATGAGTTGAATGCAAACATCACAGAGAAGTTTCTGAGAATGCTTCTGTCTTGATTTTATATGAAGATATTCCCGTTTCCAAAGAAACCTTCAAAGCTATCCAAATATCCACCTGCAGATCCTACAAAAAGAGTGTTTCCAAAATGCTGTATCAAAACAAAGGTTCAACTCTGTTAGCTGAGAACACACATCGCAAATAAGTTTCTGAGAATGCTTCTGTCTAGTTTTTATTTGAAGATATTTCCTTTTTCACCACAGGCCTGAAAGCGCTTGAAACGTTCACTTGCAGATACTACAGAAAGAGTGTTTCAAACCTGCTCTATGAAAGGGAATGTTCAGTTCTGTGACTTGAATGCAAACATCACAAAGAAGTTCCTGAGAATGCTTCTCCCTAGGTTTTATATGTAATCCCGTTTCCAACGAAATCCTCAAAGCTATCCAAATATCCACTTTCAGATTCCACAAAAAGAGTGTTTCAAAACTGCTCTGTAAAAAGAAAGGTTCATCCTCTGTTAGTTGAATACACACATCACAAACAAGTTTCTGAGAATGCTTCTGTCTAGTTTTTATGGGAAGATATTTCCTTTTTCAACATAGGCCTCAAAGCGCTCCAAACGTCCACTTCCAGGTAGTGCAGAAAGAGTGTCTCAAACCTGGTGTATAACAGGGAACATTCTACTCTGTGACTTGAATGAAAACATCACAAAGCAGTTTCTGAGAATGCTTCCGTCTAGATTTTATATGAAGATATTCCCGTTTCCAACGAAACCTTCAAAGCTATCCGAATATCCACCTGCAGATTCTACAAAAAGAGTGTTTCCAAAATGCCGTATCAAAACAAAGGTTCAACTCTGTTAGTTGAGAACACACATGGCAAATAAGTTTCTGAGAATGCTTTTGTCTAGTTTTTACTTGAAGATATTTCCTTTCTCACCATAGGCCTGAAAGCGCTTGAAACGTCCGCTTGCAGATACTACAGAAAGAGTGTTTCAAACATGCTCTATGAAAGGGAATGTTCAGTTCTGTGACTTGAATGCAAACATCACAAAGAAGTTCCTGAGAATGCTTCTGTCTAGATTTTATATGAAGATATCCCGTGTCCAACGAAATCCTCAAAGGTATCAAAATATCCACTTGCAGATTCTACAAAAAGAGTGCTTCAAAACTGCTCTGTCAAAAGGAAGGTTCAACTCTGTTACTTGAGTACACACATCACAAGGAAGTTTCTGAGAATGCTTCTGTCTGGTTTTTAGGAGAAGATATTTCCTTTTTCAACATAGGCCTCAAAGCGCTGCAAATGTCCACTTCCAAATATTACAAAAAGAGTGTTTCAAACCTGCTGTATGAAGGGAAGTGTTCAACTCTATGAGTTGAATGCAAACATCACAGAGAAGTTTCTGAGAATGCTTCTGTCTTGATTTCATATGAAGATATTCCCGTTTCCAACGAAACCTTCAAAGCTATCCAAATATCCACTTGCAGATTCTACAAAAAGAGTGTTTCCAAAATGTTGTATCAAAAGAAAGGTTCAACTCTGTTAGTTGAGGACACACATCGCAAATAAGTTTCTGAGAATGCTTCTGTCTAGTTTTTATTTGAAGATATTTCCTTTCTCACCACAGGCCTGAAAGCGCTTAAAACGTCCGCTTGCAGATACTACAGAAAGAGTGTTTCAAACCTGCTCTATGAAAGGGAATGTTCAGTTCTGTGACTTGAATGCAAACATCACAAAGAAGTTCCTGAGAATGCTTCTCCCTAGATTTTATATGTAATCCCGTTTCCAACGAAATCCGCAAAGCAATCCAAATATCCACTTTCAGATTCCACAAAAAGAGTGTTTCAAAACTGCTCTGTAAAAAGAAAGGTTCATCTCTGTTAGTTGAATACACACATCACAAACAAGTTTCTGAGAATGCTTCTGTCTAGTTTTTATGGGAAGATATTACCTTTTTCATCATAGGCCTCAAAGCGCTGCAAATGTCCACTTCCAAATATTACAAAAAGAGTGTTTCAAACCTGCTGTATGAAGGGAAGTGTTCAACTCTATGAGTTGAATGCAAACATCACAGAGAAGTTTCTGAGAATGCTTCTGTCTTGATTTTATATGAAGATATTCCCGTTTCCAACGAAACCTTCAAAGCTATTCAAATATCCACTTGCAGATTCTACAAAAAGAGTGTTTCCAAAATGTTGTATCAAAAGAAAGGTTCAACTCTGTTAGTTGAGGACACACATCGCAAATAAGTTTCTGAGAATGTTTCTGTCTAGTTTTTATTTGAAGATATTTCCTTTCTCACCACAGGCCTGAAAGCGCTTAAAACGTCCGCTTGCAGATACTACAGAAAGAGTGTTTCAAACCTGCTCTATGAAAGGGAATGTTCAGTTCTGTGACTTGAATGCAAACATCACAAAGATGTTCCTGAGAATGCTTCTCCCTAGATTTTATATGTAATCCCGTTTCCAACGAAATCCGCAAAGCTATCCAAATATCCACTTTCAGATTCCACAAAAAGAGTGTTTCAAAACTGCTCTGTAAAAAGAAAGGTTCATCTCTGTTAGTTGAATACACACATCACAAACAAGTTTCTGAGAATGCTTCTGTCTGGTTTTTAGGAGAAGATATTTCCTTTTTCAACATAGGCCTCAAAGCGCTGCAAAAGTCCACTTCCAAATATTAGAAAAAGAGTGTTTCAAACCTGCTGTATGAAGGGAAGTGTTCAACTCTATGAGTTGAATGCAAACATCACAGAGAAGTTTCTGAGAATGCTTCTGTCTTGATTTCATATGAAGATATTCCCGTTTCCAACGAAACCTTCAAAGCTATCCAAATATCCACTTGCAGATTCTACAAAAAGAGTGTTTCCAAAATGTTGTATCAAAAGAAAGGTTCAACTCTGTTAGTTGAGGACACACATCGCAAATAAGTTTCTGAGAATGCTTCTGTCTAGTTTTTATTTGAAGATATTTCCTTTCTCACCACAGGCCTGAAAGCGCTTAAAACGTCCGCTTGCAGATACTACAGAAAGAGTGTTTCAAACCTGCTCTATGAAAGGGAATGTTCAGTTCTGTGACTTGAATGCAAACATCACAAAGAAGTTCCTGAGAATGCTTCTCTCTAGGTTTTATATGTAATCCCGTTTCCAACGAAATCCTCAAAGCTATCCAAATATCCACTTTCAGATTCCACAAAAAGAGTGTTTCAAAACTGCTCTGTAAAAAGAAAGGTTCATCTCTGTTAGTTGAATACACACATCACAAACAAGTTTCTGAGAATGCTTCTGTCTGGTTTTTAGGAGAAGATATTTCCTTTTTCAACATAGGCCTCAAAGCGCTGCAAATGTCCACTTCCAAATATTACAAAAAGAGTGTTTCAAACCTGCTGTATGAAGGGAAGTGTTCAACTCTATGAGTTGAATGCAAACATCACAGAGAAGTTTCTGAGAATGCTTCTGTCTTGATTTTATATGAAGATATTCCCGTTTCCAACGAAACCTTCAAAGCTATTCAAATATCCACTTGCAGATTCTACAAAAAGAGTGGTTCCAAAATGTTGTATCAAAAGAAAGGTTCAACTCTGATAGTTGAGGACACACATCGCAAATAAGTTTCTGAGAATGCTTCTGTCTAGTTTTTATTTGAAGATATTTCCTTTTTCACCACAGGCCTGAAAGCGCTTGAAACGTCAGCTGGCAGATACTACAGAAAGAGTGTTTCAAACCTGCACTATGAAAGGGAATGTTCAGTTCTGTGACTTGAATGCAAACATCACAAAGAAGTTCCTGAGAATGCTTCTCCCTAGATTTTATATGTAATCCCGTTTCCAACGAAATCCTCAAAGCTATCCAAATATCCACTTTCAGATTCCACAAAAAGAGTGTTTCAAAACTGCTCTGTAAAAAGAAAGGTTCATCTCTGTTAGTTGAATACACACATCACAAACAAGTTTCTGAGAACGCTTCAGTCTAGTTTCTATGGGAAGATATTTCCTTTTTCAACAAAGGCGTCAAAGCGCTCCAAATGTCCACTTCCAGGTAGTGCACTGAGTGTTTCAAACCTGCTCTATAAAAGGGAACATTCTACTCTGTGACTTCAATGAAGACATCACAAAGCAGTTTCTGAGAATGCTTCTGTCTTGATTTCATATGAAGATATTCCCGTTTCCAACGAAACCTTCAAAGCTATCCAAATATCCACTTGCAGATTCTACAAAAAGAGTGTTTCCAAAATGTTGTATCAAAACAAAGGTTCAACTCTGTTAGTTGAGGACACACATCGCAAATAAGTTTCTGAGAATGCTTCTGTCTAGTTTTTATTTGAAGATATTTCCTTTCTCACCACAGGCCTGAAAGCGTTTGAAATGTCCGTTTGCAGATACTACAGAAAGAGTGTTTCAAACATGCTCTATGAAAGGGAATGTTCAGTTCTGTGACGTGAATGCAAACATCACAAAGAAGTTCCTGAGAATGCTTCTCTCTAGGTTTTATATGTAATCCCGTTTCCAACGAAATCCTCAAAGCTATCCAAATATCCACTTTCAGATTCCACAAAAAGAGTGTTTCAAAACTGCTCTGTAAAAAGAAAGGTTCATCTCTGTTAGTTGAATACACACATCACAAACAAGTTTCTGAGAATGCTTCTGTCTAGTTTTTATGGGAAGATATTTCCTTTTTCATCATAGGCCTCAAAGCGCTGCAAATGTCCACTTCCAGGTAGTGCAGAAAGAGTGTCTCAAACCTGGTATATAACAGGGAACATTCTACTCTGTGACTTGAATGAAAACATCACAAAGCAGTTTCTGAGAATGCTTCCGTCTAGATTTTATATGAAGATATTCCCGTTTCCAACGAAACCTTCAAAGCTATCCGAATATCCACCTGCAGATTCTACAAAAAGAGTGTTTCCACAATGCCATATCAAAACAAAGGTTCAACTCTGTTAGTTGAGAACACACATCGCAAATAAGTTTCTGAGAATGCTTCTGTCTAGTTTTTACTTGAAGATATTTCCTTTCTCACCATAGGCCTGAAAGCGCTTGAAACGTCAGCTTGCAGATACTACAGAAAGAGTGTTTCAAACCTGCTCTATGAAAGGGAATGTTCAGTCCTGTGACTTGAAGGCAAACATCACAAAGAAGTTCCTGAGAATGCTTCTCTCTAGGTTTTATATGTAATCCCGTTTCCAACGAAATCCGCAAAGCTATCCAAATATCCACTTTCAGATTCCACAAAAAGAGTGTTTCAAAACTGCTCTGTAAAAAGAAAGGTTCATCTGTGTTAGTTGAATACACACATCACAAACATGTTTCTGAGAATGCTTCTGTCTGGTTTTTAGGAGAAGATATTTCCTTTTTCAACATAGGCCTCAAAGCGCTGCAAATGTCCACTTCCAAATATTACAAAAAGAGTGTTTCAAACCTGCTGTATGAAGGGAAGGGTTCAACTCTATGAGTTGAATGCAAACATCACAGAGAAGTTTCTGAGAATGCTTCTGTCTTGATTTTATATGAAGATATTCCCGTTTCCAACGAAACCTTCAAAGCTATCCAAATATCCACTTGCAGATTCTACAAAAAGAGTGTTTCCAAAATGTTGTATCAAAAGAAAGGTTCAACTCTGTTAGTTGAGGACACACATCGCAAATAAGTTTCTGAGAATGCTTCTGTCTAGTTTTTACTTGAAGATATTTCCTTTCTCACCATAGGCCTGAAAGCGTTTGAAATGTCCGTTTGCAGATACTACAGAAAGAGTGTTTCAAACATGCTCTATGAAAGGGAATGTTCAGTTCTGTGACGTGATTGCAAACATCACAAAGAAGTTCCTGAGAATGCTTCTCTCTAGATTTTATATGTAATTCCGTTTCCAACGAAATCCTCAAAGCTATCCAAATATCCACTTTCAGATTCCACAAAAAGAGTGTTTCAAAACTGCTCTGTAAAAAGAAAGGTTCATCTCTGTTAGTTGAATACACACATCACAAACAAGTTTCTGAGAATGCTTCTGTCTAGTTTTTATGGGAAGATATTTCCTTTTTCAACATACGCCTCAAAGCGCTCCAAACGTCCACTTCCGGGTAGTGCAGAAAGAGTGTCTCAAACCTGGTATATAACAGGGAACATTCTACTCTGTGACTTGAATGAAAACATCACAAAGCAGTTTCTGAGAATGCTTCCGTCTAGATTTTATATGAAGATATTCCCGTTTCCAACGAAACCTTCAAAGCTATCCGAATATCCACCTGCAGATTCTACAAAAAGAGTGTTTCCAAAATGCCGTATCAAAACAAAGGTTCAACTCTGTTAGTTGAGAACACACATGGCAAATAAGTTTCTGAGAATGCTTCTGTCTAGTTTTTACTTGAAGATATTTCCTTTGTCACCATAGGCCTGAAAGCGCTTGAAACGTCAGCTTGCAGATACTACAGAAAGAGTGTTTCAAACCTGCTCTATGAAAGGGAATGTTCAGTCCTGTGACTTGAAGGCAAACATCACAAAGAAGTTCCTGAGAATGCTTTCTCTCTAGGTTTTATATGTAATCCCGTTTCCAACGAAATCCTCAAAGCTATCCAAATATCCACTTTCAGATTCCACAAAAAGAGTGTTTCAAAACTGCTCTGTAAAAAGAAAGGTTCATCTCTGTTAGTTGAATACACACATCACAAACAAGTTTCTGAGAATGCTTCCTGTCTAGTTTTTATGGGAAGATATTTCCTTTTTCATCATAGGCCTCAAAGCGCTGCAAATGTCCACTTCCAAATATTACAAAAAGAGTGTTTCAAACCTGCTGTATGAAGGGAAGTGTTCAACTCTATGAGTTGAATGCAAACATCACAGAGAAGTTTCTGAGAATGCTTCTGTCTTGATTTCATATGAAGATATTCCCGTTTCCAACGAAACCTTCAAAGTTATCCAAATATCCACTTGCAGATTCTACAAAAAGAGTGTTTCCAAAATGTTGTATCAAAAGAAAGGTTCAACTCTGTTAGTTGAGAACACACATCTCAAATAAGTTTCTGAGAATGCTTCTGTCTAGTTTTTATTTGAAGATATTTCCTTTCTCACCACAGGCCTGAAAGCGCTTAAAACGTCCGCTTGCAGATACTACAGAAAGAGTGTTTCAAACCTGCTCTATGAAAGGGAATGTTCAGTTCTGTGACTTGAATGCAAACATCACAAAGAAGTTCCTGAGAATGCTTCTCCCTAGATTTTATATGTAATCCCGTTTCCAACGAAATCCGCAAAGCTATCCAAATATCCACTTTCAGATTCCACAAAAAGAGTGTTTCAAAACTGCTCTGTAAAAAGAAAGGTTCATCTCTGTTAGTTGAATACACACATCACAAACAAGTTTCTGAGAATGCTTCTGTCTAGTTTTTATGGGAAGATATTACCTTTTTCATCATAGGCCTCAAAGCGCTGCAAATGTCCACTTCCAAATATTACAAAAAGAGTGTTTCAAGCCTGCTGTATGAAGGGAAGTGTTCAACTCTATGAGTTGAATGCAAACATCACAGAGAAGTTTCTGAGAATGCTTCTGTCTTGATTTTATATGAAGATATTCCCGTTTCCAACGAAACCTTCAAAGCTATTCAAATATCCACTTGCAGATTCTACAAAAAGAGTGTTTCAAAATGTTGTATCAAAAGAAAGGTTCAACTCTGTTAGTTGAGGACACACATCGCAAATAAGTTTCTGAGAATGCTTCTGTCTAGTTTTTATTTGAAGATATTTCCTTTCTCACCATAGGCCTGAAAGCGTTTGAAATGTCCGTTTGCAGATACTACAGAAAGAGTGTTTCAAACATGCTCTATGAAAGGGAATGTTCAGTTCTGTGACGTGAATGCAAACATCACAAAGAAGTTCCTGAGAAATGCTTCTCTCTAGGTTTTATATGTAATCCCGTTTCCAACGAAATCCTCAAAGCTATCCAAATATCCACTTTCAGATTCCACAAAAAGAGTGTTTCAAAACTGCTCTGTAAAAAGAAAGGTTCATCTCTGTTAGTTGAATACACACATCACAAACAAGTTTCTGAGAATGCTTCTGTCTAGTTTTTATGGGAAGATATTACCTTTTTCATCATAGGCCTCAAAGCGCTGCAAATGTCCACTTCCAAATATTACAAAAAGAGTGTTTCAAACCTGCTGTATGAAGGGAAGTGTTCAACTCTATGAGTTGAATGCAAACATCACAGAGAAGTTTCTGAGAATGCTTCTGTCTTGATTTTATATGAAGATATTCCCGTTTCCAAAGAAACCTTCAAAGCTATCCAAATATCCACTTGCAGATTCTACAAAAAGAGTGTTTCCAAAATGTTGTATCAAAAGAAAGGTTCAACTCTGTTAGTTGAGGAAACACATCGCAAACAAGTTTCTGAGAATGCTTCTGTCTAGTTTTTATTTGAAGATATTTCCTTTCTCACCATAGGCCTGAAAGCGTTTGAAATGTCCGTTTGCAGATACTACAGAAAGAGTGTTTCAAACATGCTCTATGAAAGGGAATGTTCAGTTCTGTGACTTGAATGCAAACATCACAAAGAAGTTCCTGAGAATGCTTCTCTCTAGGTTTTATATGTAATCCCGTTTCCAACGAAATCCTCAAAGCTATCCAAATATCCACTTTCAGATTCCACAAAAAGAGTGTTTCAAAACTGCTCTGTAAAAAGAAAGGTTCATCTCTGTTAGTTGAATACACACATCACAAACAAGTTTCTGAGAATGCTTGTGTCTGCTTTTTAGGAGAAGATATTTCCTTTTTCAACATAGGCCTCAAAGCGCTGCAAATGTCCACTTCCAAATATTACAAAAAGAGTGTTTCAAACCTGCTCTATGAAGGGAAGTGTTCAACTCTATGAGTTGAATGCAAACATCACAGAGAAGTTTCTGAGAATGCTTCTGTCTTGATTTTATATGAAGATATTCCCGTTTCCAACGAAACCTTCAAAGCTATCCAAATATCCACTTGCAGATTCTACAAAAAGAGTGTTTCCAAAATGTTGTATCAAAACAAAGGTTCAACTCTGTTAGTTGAGGACACACATCGCAAATAAGTTTCTGAGAATGCTTCTGTCTAGTTTTTATTTGAAGATTTTTCCTTTCTTACCATAGGCCTGAAAGCGCTTGAAATGTCCGTTTGCAGATACTACAGAAAGAGTGTTTCAAACATGCTCTATGAAAGGGAATGTTCAGTTCTGTGACGTGAATGCAAACGTCACAAAGAAGTTCCTGAGAATGCTTCTCTCTAGATTTTATATGTAATCCCGTTTCCAACGAAATCCTCAAAGCTATCCAAATATCCACTTTCAGATTCCACAAAAAGAGTGTTTCAAAACTGCTCTGTAAAAAGAAAGGTTCATCTCTGTTAGTTGAATACACACATCACAAACAAGTTTCTGAGAATGCTTCTGTCTAGTTTTTATGGGAAGATATTTCCTTTTTCATCATAGGCCTCAAAGCGCTCCAAATGTCCACTTCCATGTAGTGCAGAAAGAGTGTCTCAAACCTGGTATATAAAAGGGAACATTCTACTCTGTGACTTGAATGAAAACATTACAAAGCAGTTTCTGAGAATGCTTCCGTCTAGATTTTATATGAAGATATTCCCGTTTCCAACGAAACCTTCAAAGCTATTCGAATATCCACCTGCAGATTCTACAAAAAGAGTGTTTCCAAAATGCCGTATCAAAACAAAGGTTCAACTCTGTTAGTTGAGAACACACATGGCAAATAAGTTTCTGAGAATGTTTCTGTCTAGTTTTTACTTGAAGATATTTCCTTTCTCACCATAGGCCTGAAAGCGCTTGAAACGTCAGCTTGCAGATACTACAGAAAGAGTGTTTCACACCTGCTCTATGAAAGGGAATGTTCAGTTCTGTGACTTGAATGCAAACATTACAAAGAAGTTCCTGAGAATGCTTCTCCCTAGATTTTATATGTAATCCCGTTTCCAACGAAATCCTCAAAGCTATCCAAATATCCACTTTCAGATTCCACAAAAAGAGTGTTTCAAAACTGCTCTGTAAAAAGAAAGGTTCATCTCAGTTGAATAACCACATCACAAACAAGTTTCTGAGAATGCTTCTGTCTAGTTTCTATGGGAAGATATTTCCTTTTTCAACATAGGCCTCAAAGCGCTCCAAATGTCCACTTCCAGGTAGTGCACTGAGTGTTTCAAACCTGCTCTATAAAAGGGAACATTCTGCTCTGTGACTTGAATGAAGACATCACAAAGCAGTTTCTGAGAATGCTTCTGTCTTGATTTTATATGAAGATATTCCCGTTTCCAACGAAACCTTCAAAGCTATCCAAATATCCACTTGCAGATTCTACAAAAAGAGTGGTTCCAAAATGTTGTATCAAAAGAAAGGTTCAACTCTGTTAGTTGAGGACACACATCGCAAATAAGTTTCTGAGAATGCTTCTGTCTAGTTTTTATTTGAAGATATTTCCTTTCTCAACATAGGCCTGAAAGCGTTTGAAATGTCCGTTTGCAGATACTACAGAAAGAGTGTTTCAAACATGCTCTATGAAAGGGAATGTTCAGTTCTGTGACGTGAATGCAAACATCACAAAGAAGTTCCTGAGAATGCTTCTCTCTAGATTTTATATGTAATCCCGTTTCCAACGAAATCCTCAAAGCTATCCAAATATCCACTTTCAGATTCCACAAAAAGAGTGTTTCAAAACTGCTCTGTAAAAAGAAAGGTTCATCTCTGTTAGTTGAATACACACATCACAAACAAGTTTCTGAGAATGCTTCTGTCTAGTTTTTATGGGAAGATATTTCCTTTTTCATCATAGGCCTCAAAGCGCTCCAAATGTCCACTTCCAGATAGTGCAGAAAGAGTGTCTCAAACCTGGTATATAAAAGGGAACATTCTACTCTGTGACTTGAATGAAAACATCACAAAGCAGTTTCTGAGAATGCTTCTGTCTTGATTTTATATGAAGATATTCCCGTTTCCAACGAAACCTTCAAAGCTATTCAAATATCCACTTGCAGATTCTACAAAAAGAGTGTTTCCAAAATGTTGTACCAAAAGAAAGGTTTAACTCTGTTAGTTGAGGACACACATCGCAAATAAGTTTCTGAGAATGCTTCTGTCTAGTTTTTATTTGAAGATATTCCCGTTTCCAACGAAACCTTCAAAGCTATTCAAATATCCACTTGCAGATTCTACAAAAAGAGTGTTTCCAAAATGTTGTATCAAAAGAAAGGTTCAACTCTGTTAGTTGAGGACACACATCGCAAATAAGTTTCTGAGAATGCTTCTGTCTAGTTTTTATTTGAAGATATTTCCTTTCTCACCATAGGCCTGAAAGCGTTTGAAATGTCCGTTTGCAGATACTACAGAAAGAGTGTTTCAAACATGCTCTATGAAAGGGAATGTTCAGTTCTGTGACGTGAATGCAAAAATCACAAAGAAGTTCCTGAGAATGCTTCTCTCTAGATTTTATATGTAATCCCGTTTCCAACGAAATCCTCAAAGCTATCCAAATATCCACTTTCAGATTCCACAAAAAGAGTGATTCAAAACTGCTCTGTAAAAAGAAAGGTTCATCTCTGTTAGTTGAATACACACATCACAAACAAGTTTCTGAGAATGCTTCTGTCTAGTTTTTATGGGAAGATATTTCCTTTTTCATCATAGGCCTCAAAGCGCTGCAAATGTCCACTTCCAGGTAGTGCAGAAAGAGTGTCTCAAACCTGGTATATAACAGGGAACATTCTACTCTGTGACTTGAATGAAAACATCACAAAGCAGTTTCTGAGAATGCTTCCGTCTAGATTTTATATGAAGATATTCCCGTTTCCAACGAAACCTTCAAAGCTATCCGAATATCCACCTGCAGATTCTACAAAAAGAGTGTTTCCAAAATGCCATATCAAAACAAAGGTTCAACTCTGTTAGTTGAGAACACACATCGCAAATAAGTTTCTGAGAATGCTTCTGTCTAGTTTTTACTTGCAGAAATTTCCTTTCTCACCATAGGCCTGAAAGCGCTTGAAACGTCAGCTTGCAGATACTACAGAAAGAGTGTTTCAAACCTGATCTATGAAAGGGAATGTTCAGTTCTGTGACTTGAATGCAAACATCGCAAAGTAGTTCCTGAGAATGCTTCTCTCTAGGTTTTATATGTAATCCCGTTTCCAACGAAATCCGCAAAGCTATCCAAATATCCACTTTCAGATTCCACAAAAAGAGTGTTTCAAAACTGCTCTGTAAAAAGAAAGGTTCATCTCTGTTAGTTGAATACACACATCACAAACAAGTTTCTGAGAATGCTTCTGTCTAGTTTTTATGGGAAGATATTACCTTTTTCATCATAGGCCTCAAAGCGCTGCAAATGTCCACTTCCAAATATTACAAAAAGAGTGTTTCAAACCTGCTGTATGAAGGGAAGTGTTCAACTCTATGAGTTGAATGCAAACATCACAGAGAAGTTTCTGAGAATGCTTCTGTCTTGATTTTATATGAAGATATTCCCGTTTCCAACGAAACCTTCAAAGCTATCCAAATATCCACTTGCAGATTCCACAAAAAGAGTGTTTCCAAAATGTTGTATCAAAAGAAAGGTTCAACTCTGTTAGTTGAGGACACACATCGCAAATAAGTTTCTGAGAATGCTTCTGTCTAGTTTTTATTTGAAGATATTCCCGTTTCCAACGAAACCTTCAAAGCTATTCAAATATCCACTTGCAGATTCTACAAAAAGAGTGTTTCCAAAATGTTGTATCAAAAGAAAGGTTCAACTCTGTTAGTTGAGGACACACATCGCAAATAAGTTTCTGAGAATGCTTCTGTCTAGTTTTTATTTGAAGATATTTCCTTTCTCACCATAGGCCTGAAAGCGTTTGAAATGTCCGTTTGCAGATACTACAGAAAGAGTGTTTCAAACATGCTCTATGAAAGGGAATGTTCAGTTCTGTGACGTGAATGCAAACATCACAAAGAAGTTCCTGAGAATGCTTCTCTCTAGATTTTATATGTAATCCCGTTTCCAACGAAATCCTCAAAGCTATCCAAATATCCACTTTCAGATTCCACAAAAAGAGTGTTTCAAAACTGCTCTGTAAAAAGAAAGGTTCATCTCTGTTAGTTGAATACACACATCACAAACAAGTTTCCGAGAATGCTTCTGTCTAGTTTTTATGGGAAGATATTACCTTTTTCATCATAGGCCTCAAAGCGCTGCAAATGTCCACTTCCAAATATTACAAAAAGAGTGTTTCAAACCTGCTGTATGAAGGGAAGTGTTCAACTCTATGAGTTGAATGCAAACATCACAGAGAAGTTTCTGAGAATGCTTCTGTCTTGATTTTATAAGAAGATATTCCCGTTTCCAACGAAACCTTCAAAGCTATTCAAATATCCACTTGCAGATTCTACAAAAAGAGTGTTTCCAAAATGTTATATCAAAAGAAAGGTTCAACTCTGTTAGTTGAGGACACACATCGCAAATAAGTTTCTGAGAATGCTTCTGTCTAGTTTTTATTTGAAGATATTTCCTTTCTCACCATAGGCCTGAAAGCGTTTGAAATGTCCGTTTGCAGATACTACAGAAAGAGTGTTTCAAACATGCTCTATGAAAGGGAATGTTCAGTTCTGTGACGTGAATGCAAACATCACAAAGAAGTTCCTGAGAATGCTTCTGTCTAGATTTTATATGAAGATATCCCGTGTCCAACGAAATCCTCAAAGGTATCAAAATATCCACTTGCAGATTCTACAAAAAGAGTGCTTCAAAACTGCTCTGTCAAAAGGAAGGTTCAACTCTGTTACTTGAGTACACACATCACAAGGAAGTTTCTGAGAATGCTTCTGTCTGGTTTTTAGGAGAAGATATTTCCTTTTTCAACATAGGCCTCAAAGCGCTGCAAATGTCCACTTCCAAATATTAGAAAAAGAGTGTTTCAAACCTGCTGTATGAAGGGAAGTGTTCAACTCTATGAGTTGAATGCAAACATCACAGAGAAGTTTCTGAGAATGCTTCTGTCTTGATTTCATATGAAGATATTCCCGTTTCCAACGAAACCTTCAAAGCTATCCAAATATCCACTTGCAGATTCTACAAAAAGAGTGTTTCCAAAATGTTGTATCAAAAGAAAGGTTCAACTCTGTTAGTTGAGGACACACATCGCAAATAAGTTTCTGAGAATGCTTCTGTCTAGTTTTTATTTGAAGATATTTCCTTTCTCACCACAGGCCTGAAAGCGCTTAAAACGTCCGCTTGCAGATACTACAGAAAGAGTGTTTCAAACCTGCTCTATGAAAGGGAATGTTCAGTTCTGTGACTTGAATGCAAACATCACAAAGAAGTTCCTGAGAGTGCTTCCGTCTAGATTTTATATGAAGATATTCCCGTTTCCAACGAAACCTTCAAAGCTATCCAAATATCCACTTTCAGATTCCACAAAAAGAGTGTTTCAAAACTGCTCTGTAAAAAGAAAGGTTCATCTCTGTTAGTTGAATACACACATCAAAAACAAGTTTCTGAGAATGCTTCTGTCTAGTTTTTATGGGAAGATATTTCCTTTTTCATCATAGGCCTCAAAGCGCTGCAAATGTCCACTTCCAAATATTAGAAAAAGAGTGTTTCAAACCTGCTGTATGAAGGGAAGTGTTCAACTCTATGAGTTGAATGCAAACATCACAGAGAAGTTTCTGAGAATGCTTCTGTCTTGATTTCATATGAAGATATTCCCGTTTCCAACGAAACCTTCAAAGCTATCCAAATATCCACTTGCAGATTCTACAAAAAGAGTGTTTCCAAAATGTTGTATCAAAAGAAAGGTTCAACTCTGTTAGTTGAGGACACACATCGCAAATAAGTTTCTGAGAATGCTTCTGTCTAGTTTTTATTTGAAGATATTTCCTTTCTCACCACAGGCCTGAAAGCGCTTAAAACGTCCGCTTGCAGATACTACAGAAAGAGTGTTTCAAACCTGCTCTATGAAAGGGAATGTTCAGTTCTGTGACTTGAATGCAAACATCACAAAGAAGTTCCTGAGAATGCTTCTGTCTAGATTTTATATGAAGATATCCCGTGTCTAACGAAATCCTCAAAGGTATCAAAATATCCACTTGCAGATTCTACAAAAAGAGTGCTTCAAAACTGCTCTGTCAAAATGAAGGTTCAACTCTGTTACTTGAGTACACACATCACAAGGAAGTTTCTGAGAATGCTTCTGTCTGGTTTTTAGGAGAAGATATTTCCTTTTTCAACATAGGCCTCAAAGCGCTGCAAATGTCCACTTCCAAATATTAGAAAAAGAGTGTTTCAAACCTGCTGTATGAAGGGAAGTGTTCAACTCTATGAGTTGAATGCAAACATCACAGAGAAGTTTCTGAGAATGCTTCTGTCTTGATTTCATATGAAGATATTCCCGTTTCCAACGAAACCTTCAAAGCTATCCAAATATCCACTTGCAGATTCTACAAAAGGAGTGTTTCCAAAATGTTGTATCAAAAGAAAGGTTCAACTCTGTTAGTTGAGGACACACATCGCAAATAAGTTTCTGAGAATGTTTCTGTCTAGTTTTTATTTGAAGATATTTCCTTTCTCACCACAGGCCTGAAAGCGCTTAAAACGTCCGCTTGCAGATACTACAGAAAGAGTGTTTCAAACCTGCTCTATGAAAGGGAATGTTCAGTTCTGTGACTTGAATGCAAACATCACAAAGAAGTTCCTGAGAATGCTTCTCCCTAGATTTTATATGTAATCCCGTTTCCAACGAAATCCGCAAAGCTATCCAAATATCCACTTTCAGATTCCACAAAAAGAGTGTTTCAAAACTGCTCTGTCAAAAGAAAGGTTCATCTCTGTTAGTTGAATACACACATCACAAACAAGTTTCTGAGAATGCTTCTGTCTAGTTTTTATGGGAAGATATTACCTTTTTCATCATAGGCCTCAAAGCGCTGCAAATGTCCACTTCCAAATATTACAAAAAGAGTGTTTCAAACCTGCTGTATGAAGGGAAGTGTTCAACTCTATGAGTTGAATGCAAACATCACAGAGAAGTTTCTGAGAATGCTTCTGTCTTGATTTTATATGAAGATATTCCCGTTTCCAACGAAACCTTCAAAGCTATTCAAATATCCACTTGCAGATTCTACAAAAAGAGTGTTTCCAAAATGTTGTATCAAAAGAAAGGTTCAACTCTGTTAGTTGAGGACACACATCGCAAATAAGTTTCTGAGAATGCTTCTGTCTAGTTTTTACTTGAAGATATTTCCTTTCTCACCATAGGCCTGAAAGCGTTTGAAATGTCCGTTTGCAGATACTACAGAAAGAGTGTTTCAAACATGCTCTATGAAAGGGAATGTTCAGTTCTGTGACGTGAATGCAAACATCACAAAGAAGTTCCTGAGAATGCTTCTCTCTAGGTTTTATATGTAATCCCGTTTCCAACGAAATCCTCAAAGCTATCCAAATATCCACTTTCAGATTCCACAAAAAGAGTGTTTCAAAACTGCTCTGTAAAAAGAAAGGTTCATCTCTGTTAGTTGAATACACACATCACAAACAAGTTTCTGAGAATGCTTCTGTCTAGTTTTTATGGGAAGATATTTCCTTTTTCAACATAGGCCTCAAAGCGCTCCAAACGTCCACTTCCGGGTAGTGCAGAAAGAGTGTCTCAAACCTGGTATATAACAGGGAACATTCTACTCTGTGACTTGAATGAAAACATCACAAAGCAGTTTCTGAGAATGCTTCCGTCTAGATTTTATATGAAGATATTCCCGTTTCCAACGAAACCTTCAAAGCTATCCGAATATCCACCTGCGGATTCTACAAAAAGAGTGTTTCCAAAATGCCGTATCAAAACAAAGGTTCAACTCTGTTAGTTGAGAACACACATGGCAAATAAGTTTCTGAGAATGCTTCTGTCTAGTTTTTACTTGAAGATATTTCCTTTCTCACCATAGGCCTGAAAGCGCTTGAAACGTCCGCTTGCAGATACTACAGAAAGAGTGTTTCAAACATGCTCTATGAAAGGGAATGTTCAGTTCTGTGACTTGAATGCAAACATCACAAAGAAGTTCCTGAGAATGCTTCCATCTAGATTTTATATGAAGATATCCCGTTTCCAAAGAAATCCTCAATTGTATCCAAATATCTACTTCCAGATTCTACAAAAATACTGTTTCAAAACGGCTCTGTCAAAAGTAAGGTTCAACTCTGTTACTTGAGTACACACATCACAAGGAAGTTTCTGAGAATGCTTCTGTCTGGTTTTTAGGAGAAGATATTTCCTTTTTCAACATAGGCCTCAAAGCGCTGCAAATGTCCACTTCCAAATATTACAAAAAGAGTTTTTCAAACCTGCTCTATGAAGGGAAGTGTTCAATTCTATGAGTTGAATGCAAACATCACAGAGAAGTTTCTGAGAATGCTTCCGTCTTGATTTTATATGAAGATATTCTCGTTTCCAACGAAACCTTCAAAGCTATCCAAATATCCACTTGCAGATTCTACAAAAAGAGTGTTTCCAAAATGTTGTATCAAAACAAAGGTTCAACTCTGTTAGTTGAGAACACACATCGCAAATAAGTTTCTGAGAATGCTTCTGTCTAGTTTTTATTTGAAGATATTTCCTTTCTCACCACAGGCCTGAAAGCGCTTAAAACGTCCGCTTGCAGATACTACAGAAAGAGTGTTTCAAACCTGCTCTATGAAAGGGAATGTTCAGTTCTGTGACTTGAATGCAACCATCACAAAGAAGTTCCTGAGAATGCTTCTCTCTAGGTTTTATATGTAATCCCGTTTCCAACGAAATCCTCAAAGCTATCCAAATATCCACTTTCAGATTCCACAAAAAGAGTGTTTCAAAACTGCTCTGTAAAAAGAAATGTTCATCTCTGTTAGTTGAATACACACATCACAAACAAGTTTCTGAGAATTCTTCTGTCTAGTTTTTGTGGGAAGATATTTCCTTTTTCATCATAGGCCTCAAAGCGCTGCAAATGTCCACTTCCAAATATTACAAAAAGAGTGTTTCAAACCTGCTGTATGAAGGGAAGTGTTCAACTCTATGAGTTGAATGCAAACATCACAGAGAAGTTTCTGAGAATGCTTCTGTCTTGATTTTATATGAAGATATTCCCGTTTCCAACGAAACCTTCAAAGCTATTCAAATATCCACTTGCAGATTCTACAAAAAGAGTGTTTCCAAAATGTTGTATCAAAAGAAAGGTTCAACTCTGTTAGTTGAGGACACACATCGCAAATAAGTTTCTGAGAATGCTTCTGTCTAGTTTTTATTTGAAGATATTCCCGTTTCCAACGAAACCTTCAAAGCTATTCAAATATCCACTTGCAGATTCTACAAAAAGAGTGTTTCCAAAATGTTGTATCAAAAGAAAGGTTCAACTCTGTTAGTTGAGGACACACATCGCAAATAAAGTTTCTGAGAATGCTTCTGTCTAGTTTTTATTTGAAGATATTTCCTTTCTCACCATAGGCCTGAAAGCGTTTGAAATGTCCGTTTGCAGATACTACAGAAAGAGTGTTTCAAACATGCTCTATGAAAGGGAATGTTCAGTTCTGTGACGTGAATGCAAACATCACAAAGAAGTTCCTGAAAATGCTTCTGTCTAGTTTTTATGGGAAGATATTTCCTTTTTCAACATAGGCCTCAAAGCGCTCCAAATGTCCACTTCCAGGTAGTGGAGAAAGAGTGTTTCAAACCTGCTCTATAAAAGGGAATATTCAACTCTGTGACTTGAATGCAAACATCACAAAGCACTTTCTGAGAATGCTTCCGTCTAGATTTTATATGAAGATATTCCCGTTTCCAACGAAACCTTCAAAGCTATCCGGAATATCCACCTGCAGATTCTACAAAAAGAGTGTTTCCAAAATGCCATATCAAAACAAAGGTTCAACTCTGTTAGTTGAGAACACACATCGCAAATAAGTTTCTGAGAATGCTTCTGTCTAGTTTTTACTTGAAGATATTTCCTTTCTCACCATAGGCCTGAAAGCGCTTGAAACGTCAGCTTGCAGATACTACAGAAAGAGTGTTTCAAACCTGCTCTATGAAAGGGAATGTTCAGTTCTGTGACTTGAATGCAAACATCACAAAGAAGTTCCTGAGAATGCTTCTCTCTAGGTTTTATATGTAATCCCGTTTCCAACGAAATCCTCAAAGCTATCCAAATATCCACTTTCAGATTCCACAAAAAGAGTGTTTCAAAACTGCTCTGTAAAAAGAAAGGTTCATCTCTGTTAGTTGAATACACACATCACAAACAAGTTTCTGAGAATGCTTCTGTCTAGTTTTTATGGGAAGATATTTCCTTTTTCAACAAAGGCCTCAAAGCGCTCCAAACGTCCACTTCCAGGTAGTGCAGAAAGAGTGTCTCAAACCTGGTATATAACAGGGAACATTCTACTCTGTGACTTGAATGAAAACATCACAAAGCAGTTTCTGAGAATGCTTCCGTCTAGATTTTATATGAAGATATTCCCGTTTCCAACGAAACCTTCAAAGCTATCCGAATATCCACCTGCAGATTCTACAAAAAGAGTGTTTCCAAAATGCCGTATCAAAACAAAGGTTCAACTCTGTTAGTTGAGAACACACATGGCAAATAAGTTTCTGAGAATGCTTCTGTCTAGTTTTTACTTGAAGATATTTCCTTTCTCACCATAGGCCTGAAAGCGCTTGAAACGTCAGCTTGCAGATACTACAGAAAGAGTGTTTCAAACCTGCTCTATGAAAGGGAATGTTCAGTTCTGTGACTTGAATGCAAACATCACAAAGAAGTTCCTGAGAATGCTTCTCTCTAGGTTTTATATGTAATCCCGTTTCCAACGAAATCCTCAAAGCTATCCAAATATCCACTTTCAGATTCCACAAAAAGAGTGTTTCAAAACTGCTCTGTAAAAAGAAAGGTTCATCTCTGTTAGTTGAATACACACATCACAAACAAGTTTCTGAGAATGCTTCTGTCTAGTTTTTATGGGAAGATATTTCCTTTTTCATCATAGGCCTCAAAGCGCTCCAAATGTCCACTTCCAGGTAGTGCAGAAAGAGTGTCTCAAACCTGCTCTATAAAAGGGAACATTCTACTCTGTGACTTGAATGAAAACATCACAAAGCAGTTTCTGAGAATGCTTCCGTCTAGATTTTATATGAAGATATTCCCGTTTCCAAGGTAATCTTCCTAGCTATCTAAATATCAACTTGCAGATTCTACTAAAGGAATGTTTCCAAAATGCTGTATCCACACAAAGGTTCAACTCTGTTAATTGAGGACATACAGCACAAAGAAGTTTCTGAGAATGCTTCTGTCTAGATTTTATATGAAGATATCCCGTGTCCAACAAAATCCTCAAAGGTATCAAAATATCCACTTGCAGATTCTACAAAAAGAGTGCTTCAAAACTGCTCTGTCAAAAGGAAGGTTCAACTCTGTTACTTGAGTACACACATCACAAGGAAGTTTCTGAGAATGCTTCTGTCTGGTTTTTAGGAGAAGATATTTCCTTTTTCAACATAGGCCTCAAAGCGCTGCAAATGTCCACTTCCAAATATTAGAAAAAGAGTGTTTCAAACCTGCTGTATGAAGGGAAGTGTTCAACTCTATGAGTTGAATGCAAACATCACAGAGAAGTTTCTGAGAATGCTTCTGTCTTGATTTCATATGAAGATATTCCCGTTTCCAACGAAACCTTCAAAGCTATCCAAATATCCACTTGCAGATTCTACAAAAAGAGTGTTTCCAAAATGTTGTATCAAAAGAAAGGTTCAACTCTGTTAGTTGAGGACACACATCGCAAATAAGTTTCTGAGAATGCTTCTGTCTAGTTTTTATTTGAAGATATTTCCTTTCTCACCACAGGCCTGAAAGCGCTTAAAACGTCCGCTTGCAGATACTACAGAAAGAGTGTTTCAAACCTGATCTATGAAAGGGAATGTTCAGTTCTGTGACTTGAATGCAAACATCACAAAGAATTTCCTGAGAATGCTTCTCCCTAGATTTTATATGTAATCCCGTTTCCAACGAAATCCGCAAAGCTATCCAAATATCCACTTTCAGATTCCACAAAAAGAGTGCTTCAAAACTGCTCTCTAAAAAGAAAGGTTCATCTCTCTTAGTTGAATACACACATCACAAACAAGTTTCTGAGAATGCTTCTGTCTAGTTTTTATGGGAAGATATTACCTTTTTCATCATAGGCCTCAAAGCGCTGCAAATGTCCACTTCCAAATATTACAAAAAGAGTGTTTCAAACCTGCTGTATGAAGGGAAGTGTTCAACTCTATGAGTTGAATGCAAACATCACAGAGAAGTTTCTGAGAATGCTTCTGTCTTGATTTTATATGAAGATATTCCCGTTTCCAACGAAACCTTCAAAGCTATTCAAATATCCACTTGCAGATTCTACAAAAAGAGTGTTTCCAAAATGTTGTATCAAAAGAAAGGTTCAACTCTGTTAGTTGAGGACACACATCGCAAATAAGTTTCTGAGAATGCTTCTGTCTAGTTTTTACTTGAAGATATTTCCTTTCTCACCATAGGCCTGAAAGCGTTTGAAATGTCCGTTTGCAGATACTACAGAAAGAGTGTTTCAAACATGCTCTATGAAAGGGAATGTTCAGTTCTGTGACGTGAATGCAAACATCACAAAGAAGTTCCTGAGAATGCTTCTCTCTAGGTTTTATATGTAATCCCGTTTCCAACGAAATGCTCAAAGCTATCCAAATATCCACTTTCAGATTCCACAAAAAGAGTGTTTCAAAACTGCTCTGTAAAAAGAAAGGTTCATCTCTGTTAGTTGAATACACACATCACAAACAAGTTTCTGAGAATGCTTCTGTCTAGTTTTTATGGGAAGATATTTCCTTTTTCAACATAGGCCTCAAAGCGCTCCAAACGTCCACTTCCAGGTAGTGCAGAAAGAGTGTCTCAAACCTGGTATATAACAGGGAACATTCTACTCTGTGACTTGAATGAAAACATCACAAAGCAGTTTCTGAGAATGCTTCCTGTCTAGATTTTATATGAAGATATTCCCGTTTCCAACGAAACCTTCAAAGCTATCCGAATATCCACCTGCAGATTCTACAAAAAGAGTGTTTCCAAAATGCCGTATCAAAACAAAGGTTCAACTCTGTTAGTTGAGAACACACATGGCAAATAAGTTTCTGAGAATGCTTCTGTCTAGTTTTTACTTGAAGATATTTCCTTTCTCACCATAGGCCTGAAAGCGCTTGAAACGTCAGCTTGCAGATACTACAGAGTGTTTCAAACCTGCTCTATGAAAGGGAATGTTCAGTCCTGTGACTTGAATGCAAACATCACAAAGAAGTTCCTGAGAATGCTTCTCTCTAGGTTTTATATGTAATCCCGTTTCCAACGAAATCCTCAAAGCTATCCAAATATCCACTTTCAGATTCCACAAAAAGAGTGTTTCAAAACTGCTCTGTAAAAAGAAAGGTTCATCTCTGTTAGTTGAATACACACATCACAAACAAGTTTCTGAGAATGCTTCTGTCTAGTTTTTATGGGAAGATATTTCCTTTTTCATCATAGGCCTCAAAGCGCTGCAAATGTCCACTTCCAGGTAGTGCAGAAAGAGTGTCTCAAACCTGGTATATAACAGGGAACATTCTACTCTGTGACTTGAATGAAAACATCACAAAGCAGTTTCTGAGAATGCTTCCGTCTACATTTTATATGAAGATATTCCCGTTTCCAAGGAAATCTTCCTAGCTATCTAAATATCAACTTGCATATCCTACTAAAGGAGTGTTTCCAAAATGCCGTATCCACACAAAGGTTCAACTCTGTTAATTGAGGACATACAGCACAAAGAAGTTTCTGAGAATGCTTCTGTCTAGTTTTTACTTGAAGATATTTCCTTTCTCACCATAGGCCTGAAAGTGCTTGAAACGTCCGCTTGCAGATACTACAGAAAGAGTGTTTCAAACCTGCTCTATGAAAGGGAATGTTCACTTCTGTGACTTGAATGCAAACATCACAAAGAAGTTCCTGAGAATGCTTCTGTCTAGATTTTATATGAAGATATCCCGTGTCCAACGAAATCCTCAAAGGTATCAAAATATCCACTTGCAGATTCTACAAAAAGAGTGCTTCAAAACTGCTCTGTCAAAAGGAAGGTTCAACTGTGTTACTTGAGTACACACATCACAAGGAAGTTTCTGAGAATGCTTCTGTCTGGTTTTTAGGAGAAGATATTTCCTTTTTCAACATAGGCCTCAAAGCGCTGCAAATGTCCACTTCCAAATATTAGAAAAAGAGTGTTTCAAACCTGCTGTATGAAGGGAAGTGTTCAACTCTATGAGTTGAATGCAAACATCACAGAGAAGTTTCTGAGAATGCTTCTGTCTTGATTTCATATGAAGATATTCCCGTTTCCAACGAAACCTTCAAAGCTATCCAAATATCCACTTGCAGATTCTACAAAAAGAGTGTTTCCAAAATGTTGTATCAAAAGAAAGGTTCAACTCTGTTAGTTGAGGACACACATCGCAAATAAGTTTCTGAGAATGCTTCTGTCTAGTTTTTATTTGAAGATATTTCCTTTCTCACCACAGGCCTGAAAGCGCTTAAAACGTCCGCTTGCAGATACTACAGAAAGAGTGTTTCAAACCTGCTCTATGAAAGGGAATGTTCAGTTCTGTGACTTGAATGCAAACATCACAAAGAAGTTCCTGAGAATGCTTCTCCCTAGATTTTATATGTAATCCCGTTTCCAACGAAATCCGCAAAGCTATCCAAATATCCACTTTCAGATTCCACAAAAAGAGTGTTTCAAAACTGCTCTGTAAAAAGAAAGGTTCATCTCTGTTAGTTGAATACACACATCACAAACAAGTTTCTGAGAATGCTTCTGTCTAGTTTTTATGGGAAGATATTACCTTTTTCATCATAGGCCTCAAAGCGCTGCAAATGTCCACTTCCAAATATTACAAAAAGAGTGTTTCAAACCTGCTGTATGAAGGGAAGTGTTCAACTCTATGAGTTGAATGCAAACATCACAGAGAAGTTTCTGAGAATGCTTCTGTCTTGATTTTATATGAAGATATTCCCGTTTCCAACGAAACCTTCAAAGCTATCCAAATATCCACTTGCAGATTCCACAAAAAGAGTGTTTCCAAAATGTTGTATCAAAAGAAAGGTTCAACTCTGTTAGTTGAGGACACACATCGCAAATAAGTTTCTGAGAATGCTTCTGTCTAGTTTTTACTTGAAGATATTTCCTTTCTCACCATAGGCCTGAAAGCGCTTGAAACGTCAGCTTGCAGATACTACAGAAAGAGTGTTTCAAACCTGCTCTATGAAAGGGAATGTTCAGTCCTGTGACTTGAAGGCAAACATCACAAAGAAGTTCCTGAGAATGCTTCTGTCTAGATTTTATATGAAGATATCCCGTTTCCAAAGAAATCCTCAAAGGTATCCAAATATCTACTTCCAGATTCTACAAAAAGACTGTTTCAAAACGGCTCTGTCAAAAGCAAGGTTCATCTCTGTTACTTGAGTACACACATCACAAGGAAGTTTCTGAGAATGCTTCTGTCTGGTTTTTAGGAGAAGATATTTCCTTTTTCAACATAGGCCTCAAAGCGCTGCAAATGTCCACTTCCAAATATTACAAAAAGAGTGTTTCAAACCTGCTGTATGAAGGGAAGTGTTCAACTCTATGAGTTGAATGCAAACATCACAGAGAAGTTTCTGAGAATGCTTCTGTCTTGATTTTATATGAAGATATTCCCGTTTCCAACGAAACCTTCAAAGCTATCCAAATATCCACTTGCAGATTCTACAAAAAGAGTGTTTCCAAAATGTTGTATCAAAACAAAGGTTCAACTCTGTTAGTTGAGGACACACATCGCAAATAAGTTTCTGAGAATGCTTCTGTCTAGTTTTTATTTGAAGATATTTCCTTTCTTACCATAGGCCTCAAAACGCTTGAAATGTCCGTTTGCAGATACTACAGAAAGAGTGTTTCAAACATGCTCTATGAAAGGGAATGTTCAGTTCTGTGACGTGAATGCAAACATCACAAAGAAGTTCCTGAGAATGTTTCTGTCTAGATTTTATATGAAGATATCCCGTGTCCAACGAAATCCTCAAAGGTATCAAAATATCCACTTGCAGATTCTACAAAAAGAGTGCTTCAAAACTGCTCTGTCAAAATGAAGGTTCAACTCTGTTACTTGAGTACACACATCACAAGGAAGTTTCTGAGAATGCTTCTGTCTGGTTTTTAGGAGAAGATATTTCCTTTTTCAACATAGGCCTCAAAGCGCTGCAAATCTCCACTTCCAAATATTACAAAAAGAGTGTTTCAAACCTGCTGTATGAAGGGAAGCGTTCAACTCTATGAGTTGAATGCAAACATCACAGAGAAGTTTCTGAGAATGCTTCTGTCTTGATTTCATATGAAGATATTCCCGTTTCCAACGAAACCTTCAAAGCTATCCAAATATCCACTTGCAGATTCTACAAAAAGAGTGTTTCCAAAATGTTGTATCAAAAGAAAGGTTCAACTCTGTTAGTTGAGGACACACATCGCAAATAAGTTTCTGAGAATGCTTCTGTCTAGTTTTTATTTGAAGATATTTCTTTTCTCACCACAGGCCTGAAAGCGCTTAAAACGTCCGCTTGCAGATACTACAGAAAGAGTGTTTCAAACCTGCTCTATGAAAGGGAATGTTCAGTTCTGTGACTTGAATGCAAACATCACAAAGAAGTTCGTGATAATGCTTCTGTCTAGATTTTATATGAAGATATCCCGTTTCCAAAGAAATCCTCAAAGGTATCCAAATATCTACTTCCAGATTCTACAAAAAGACTGTTTCAAAACGGCTCTGTCAAAAGGAAGGTTCAACTCTGTTACTTGAGTACACACATCACAAGGAAGTTTCTGAGAATGCTTCTGTCTGGTTTTTAGGAGAAGATATTTCCTTTTTCAACATAGGCCTCAAAGCGCTGCAAATGTCCACTTCCAAATATTACAAAAAGAGTGTTTCAAACCTGCTCTATGAAGGGAAGTGTTCAACTCTATGAGTTGAATGCAAACATCACAGAGAAGTTTCTGAGAATGCTTCTGTCTTGATTTTATATGAAGATATTCCCTTTTCCAACGAAACCTTCAAAGCTATCCAAATATCCACTTGCAGATTCTACAAAAAGAGTGTTTCCAAAATGTTGTATCAAAACAAAGGTTCAACTCTGTTAGTTGAGGACACACATCGCAAATAAGTTTCTGAGAATGCTTCTGTCTAGTTTTTATTTGAAGATATTTCCTCTCTTACCATAGGCCTGAAAGCGCTTGAAATGTCCGTTTGCAGATACTACAGAAAGAGTGTTTCAAACCTGCTCTATGAAAGGGAATGTTCAGTTCTGTGACTTGAATGCAAACATCACAAAGAAGTTCCTGAGAATGCTTCTCTCTAGATTTTATATGTAATCCCGTTTTCAACGAAATCCTCAAAGCTATCCAAATATCCACTTTCAGATTCCACAAAAAGAGTGTTTCAAAACTGCTCTGTAAAAAGAAAGGTTCATCTCTGTTAGTTGAATACACACATCACAAACAAGTTTCTGAGAATGCTTCTGTCTAGTTTTTATGGGAAGATATTTCCTTTTTCATCATAGGCCTCAAAGCGCTCCAAATGTCCACTTCCAGGTAGTGCAGAAAGAGTGTTTCAAACCTGCTCTATAAAAGGGAATATTCTACTCTCTGACTTCAATGGAAACATCACAAAGCAGTTTCTGAGAATGCTTCTGTCTTGATTTTATATGAAGATATTCCTGTTTCCAACGAAACCTTCAAAGCTATCCAAATATCCACTTGCAGATTCTACACAAAGAGTGTTTCCAAAATGTTGTATCAAAACAAAGGTTCAACTCTGTTAGTTGAGGACACACATCGCAAATAAGTTTCTGAGAATGCTTCTGTCTAGTTTTTACTTGAAGATATTTCCTTTCTCACCATAGGCCTGAAAGCGCTTGAAACGTCCGCTTGCAGATACTACAGAAAGAGTGTTTCAAACATGCTCTATGAAAGGGAATGTTCAGTTCTGTGACTTGAATGCAAACATCACAAAGAAGTTCCTGAGAATGCTTCTCTCTAGATTTTATATGTAATCCCGTTTCCAACGAAATCCTCGAAGCTATCCAAATATCCACTTTCAGATTCCACAAAAAGAGTGTTTCAAAACTGCTCTGTAAAAAGAAAGGTTCATCTCTGTTAGTTGAATACACACATCACAAACAAGTTTCTGAGAATGCTTCTGTCTAGTTTTTATGGGAAGATATTTCCTTTTTCAACATAGGCCTCAAAGCGCTCCAAATGTCCACTTCCAGGTAGTGCAGAAAGAGTGTTTCAAACCTGCTCTATAAAAGGGAATATTCAACTCTGTGACTTGAATGCAAACATCACAAAGCACTTTCTGAGAATGCTTCTGTCTTGATTTTATATGAAGATATTCCCGTTTCTAACGAAACCTTCAAAGCTATTCAAATATCCACTTGCTGATTCTACAAAAAGAGTGTTTCCAAAATGTTGTATCAAAAGAAAGGTTCAACTCTGTTAGTTGAGGACACACATCGCAAATAAGTTTCTGAGAATGCTTCTGTCTAGTTTTTACTTGAAGATATTTCCTTTCTCACCATAGGCCTGAAAGCGTTTGAAATGTCCGTTTGCAGATACTACAGAAAGAGTGTTTCAAACATGCTCTATGAAAGGGAATGTTCAGTTCTGTGACGTGAATGCAAACATCACAAAGAAGTTCCTGAGAATGCTTCTCTCTAGATTTTATATGTAATCCCGTTTCCAACGAAATCCTCAAAGCTATCCAAATATCCACTTTCAGATTCCACAAAAAGAGTGTTTCAAAACTGCTCTGTAAAAAGAAAGGTTCATCTCTGTTAGTTGAATACACACATCACAAACAAGTTTCTGAGAATGCTTCTGTCTAGTTTTTATGGGAAGATATTTCCTTTTTCAACATAGGCCTCAAAGCGCTCCAAACGTCCACTTCCGGGTAGTGCAGAAAGAGTGTCTCAAACCTGGTATATAACAGGGAACATTCTACTCTGTGACTTGAATGAAAACATCACAAAGCAGTTTCTGAGAATGCTTCCGTCTAGATTTTATATGAAGATATTCCCGTTTCCAACGAAACCTTCAAAGCTATCCGAATATCCACCTGCAGATTCTACAAAAAGAGTGTTTCCAAAATGCCATATCAAAACAAAGGTTCAACTCTGTTAGTTGAGAACACACATCGCAAATAAGTTTCTGAGAATGCTTCTGTCTAGTTTTTACTTGAAGATATTTCCTTTCTCACCATAGGCCTGAAAGCGCTTGAAACGTCAGCTTGCAGATACTACAGAAAGAGTGTTTCAAACCTGCTCTATGAAAGGGAATGTTCAGTCCTGTGACTTGAAGGCCAACATCACAAAGAAGTTCCTGAGAATGCTTCTCTCTAGGTTTTATATGTAATCCCGTTTCCAACGAAATCCTCAGAGGTATCAAAATATCCACTTGCAGATTCTACAAAAAGAGTGCTTCAAAACTGCTCTGTCAAAAGGAAGGTTCAACTCTGTTACTTGAGTACACACATCACAAGGAAGTTTCTGAGAATGCTTCTGTCTGGTTTTTAGGAGAAGATATTTCCTTTTTCAACATAGGCCTCAAAGCGCTGCAAATGTCCACTTCCAAATATTAGAAAAAGAGTGTTTCAAACCTGCTGTATGAAGGGAAGTGTTCAACTCTATGAGTTGAATGCAAACATCACAGAGAAGTTTCTGAGAATGCTTCTGTCTTGATTTTATATGAAGATATTCCCGTTTCCAACGAAACCTTCAAAGCTATCCGAATATCCACCTGCAGATTCTACAAAAAGAGTGTTTCCAAAATGCCATATCAAAACAAAGGTTCAACTCTGTTAGTTGAGAACACACATCTCAAATAAGTTTCTGAGAATGCTTCTGTCTAGTTTTTACTTGAAGATATTTCCTTTCTCACCATAGGCCTGAAAGCGCTTGAAACGTCAGCTTGCAGATACTACAGAAAGAGTGTTTCAAACCTGCTCTATGAAAGGGAATGTTCAGTCCTGTGACTTGAAGGCAAACATCACAAAGAAGTTCCTGAGAATGCTTCTGTCTAGATTTTATATGAAGATATCCCGTGTCCAACGAAATCCTCAAAGGTATCAAAATATCCACTTGCAGATTCTACAAAAAGAGTGCTTCAAAACTGCTCTGTCAAAAGGAAGGTTCAACTCTGTTACTGGAGTACACACATCACAAGGAAGTTTCTGAGAATGCTTCTGTCTGGTTTTTAGGAGAAGATATTTCCTTTTTCAACATAGGCCTCAAAGCGCTGCAAATGTCCACTTCCAAATGTTACAAAAAGAGTGTTTCAAACCTGCTGTATGAAGGGAAGTGTTCAACTCTATGAGTTGAATGCAAACATCACAGAGAAGTTTCTGAGAATGCTTCTGTCTTGATTTTATATGAAGATATTCCCGTTTCCAACGAAACCTTCAAAGCTATTCAAATATCCACTTGCAGATTCTACAAAAAGAGTGTTTCCAAAATGTTGTATCAAAAGAAAGGTTCAACTCTGTTAGTTGAGGACACACATCGCAAATAAGTTTCTGAGAATGCTTCTGTCTAGTTTTTATTTGAAGATATTTCCTTTCTCACCATAGGCCTGAAAGCGTTTGAAATGTCCGTTTGTAGATACTACAGAAAGAGTGTTTCAAACATGCTCTATGAAAGGGAATGTTCAGTTCTGTGACGTGAATGCAAACATCACAAAGAAGTTCCTGAGAATGCTTCTGTCTAGATTTTATATGAAGATATCCCGTGTCCAACGAAATCCTCAAAGGTATCAAAATATCCACTTGCAGATTCTACAAAAAGAGTGCTTCAAAACTGCTCTGTCAAAAGGAAGGTTCAACTCTGTTACTTGAGTACACACATCACAAGGAAGTTTCTGAGAATGCTTCCTGTCTAGTTTTTATGGGAAGATATTTCCTTTTTCATCATAGGCCTCAAAGCGCTGCAAATGTCCACTTCCAAATATTACAAAAAGAGTGTTTCAAACCTGCTGTATGAAGGGAAGTGTTCAACTCTATGAGTTGAATGCAAACATCACAGAGAAGTTTCTGAGAATGCTTCTGTCTTGATTTTATATGAAGATATTCCCGTTAACAACGAAACCTTCAAAGCTATCCAAATATCCACTTGCAGATTCTACAAAAAGAGTGTTTCCAAAATGTTGTATCCAAACAAAGGTTCAACTCTGTTAGTTGAGAACACACATCGCAAATAAGTTTCTGAGAGTGCTTCTGTCTAGTTTTTATTTGAAGATATTTCCTTTTTCACCACAGGCCTGAAAGCGCTTGAAACGTCAGCTTGCAGATACTACAGAAAGAGTGTTTCAAACCTGCACTATGAAAGGGAATGTTCAGTTCTGTGACTTGAATGCAAACATCACAAAGAAGTTCCTGAGAATGCTTCTCCCTAGATTTTATATGTAATACCGTTTCCAACGAAATCCTCAAAGCTATCCAAATATCCACTTTCAGATTCCACAAAAAGAGTGTTTCAAAACTGCTCTGTAAAAAGAAAGGTTCATCTCTGTTAGTTGAAGACACACATCACAAACAAGTTTCTGAGAATGCTTCTGTCTGGTTTTTAGGAGAAGATATTTCCTTTTTCAACATAGGCCTCAAAGCGCTGCAAATGTCCACTTCCAAATATTAGAAAAAGAGTGTTTCAAACCTGCTGTATGAAGGGAAGTGTTCAACTCTATGAGTTGAATGCAAACATCACAGAGAAGTTTCTGAGAATGCTTCTGTCTTGATTTCATATGAAGATATTCCCGTTTCCAACGAAACCTTCAAAGCTATCCAAATATCCACTTGCAGATTCTACAAAAAGAGTGTTTCCAAAATGTTGTATCAAAAGAAAGGTTCAACTCTGTTAGTTGAGGACACACATCGCAAATACGTTTCTGAGAATGCTTCTGTCTAGTTTTTATTTGAAGATATTTCCTTTCTCACCACAGGCCTGAAAGCGCTTAAAACGTCCGCTTGCAGATACTACAGAAAGAGTGTTTCAAACCTGCTCTATGAAAGGGAATGTTCAGTTCTGTGACTTGAATGCAAACATCACAAAGAAGTTCCTGAGAATGCTTCTCCCTAGATTTTATATGTAATCCCGTTTCCAACGAAATCCGCAAAGCTATCCAAATATCCACTTTCAGATTCCACAAAAAGAGTGTTTCAAAACTGCTCTGTAAAAAGAAAGGTTCATCTCTGTTAGTTGAATACACACATCACAAACAAGTTTCTGAGAATGCTTCTGTCTAGATTTTATGGGAAGATATTACCTTTTTCATCATAGGCCTCAAAGCGCTGCAAATGTCCACTTCCAAATATTACAAAAAGAGTGTTTCAAACCTGCTGTATGAAGGGAAGTGTTCAACTGTATGAGTTGAATGCAAACATCGCAGAGAAGTTTCTGAGAATGCTTCTGTCTTGATTTTATATGAAGATATTCCCGTTTCCAACGAAACCTTCAAAGCTATTCAAATATCCCCTTGCAGATTCTACAAAAAGAGTGTTTCCAAAATGTTGTATCAAAAGAAAGGTTCAACTCTGATAGTTGAGGACACACATCGCAAATAAGTTTCTGAGAATGCTTCTGTCTAGTTTTTACTTGAAGATATTTCCTTTCTCACCATAGGCCTGAAAGCGTTTGAAATGTCCGTTTGCAGATACTACAGAAAGAGTGTTTCAAACATGCTCTATGAAAGGGAATGTTCAGTTCTGTGACGTGAATGCAAACATCACAAAGAAGTTCCTGAGAATGCTTCTCTCTAGATTTTATATGTAATCCCGTTTCCAACGAAATCCTCAAAGCTATCCAAATATCCACTTTCAGATTCCACAAAAAGAGTGTTTCAAAACTGCTCTGTAAAAAGAAAGGTTCATCTCTGTTAGTTGAATACACACATCACAAACAAGTTTCTGAGAATGCTTCTGTCTAGTTTTTATGGGAAGATATTTCCTTTTTCAACATAGGCCTCAAAGCGCTCCAAACGTCCACTTCCGGGTAGTGCAGAAAGAGTGTCTCAAACCTGGTATATAACAGGGAACATTCTACTCTGTGACTTGAATGAAAACATCACAAAGCAGTTTCTGAGAATGCTTCCGTCTAGATTTTATATGAAGATATTCCCGTTTCCAACGAAACCTTCAAAGCTATCCGAATATCCACCTGCAGATTCTACAAAAAGAGTGTTTCCAAAATGCCGTATCAAAACAAAGGTTCAACTCTGTTAGTTGAGAACACACATGGCAAATAAGTTTCTGAGAATGCTTCTGTCTAGTTTTTACTTGAAGATATTTCCTTTCTCACCATAGGCCTGAAAGCGCTTGAAACGTCAGCTTGCAGATACTACAGAAAGAGTGTTTCAAACCTGCTCTATGAAAGGGAATGTTCAGTCCTGTGACTTGAAGGCAAACATCACAAAGAAGTTCCTGAGAATGCTTCTCACTAGATTTTATATGTAATCCCGTTTCCAACGAAATCCTCAAAGCTATCCAAATATCCACTTTCAGATTCCACAAAAAGAGTGTTTCAAAACTGCTCTGTAAAAAGAAAGGTTCATCTCTGTTAGTTGAATACACACATCAAAAACAAGTTTCTGAGAATGCTTCTGTCTAGTTTTTATGGGAAGATATTTCCTTTTTCATCATAGGCCTCAAAGCGCTGCAAATGTCCACTTCCAGGTAGTGCAGAAAGAGTGTCTCAAACCTGGTATATAACAGGGAAACATTCTACTCTGTGACTTGAATGAAAACATCACAAAGCAGTTTCTGAGAATGCTTCTGTCTTGATTTTATATGAAGATATTCCCGTTTCCAACGAAACCTTCAAAGCTATCCGAATATCCACCTGCAGATTCTACAAAAAGAGTGTTTCCAAAATGCTGTATCAAAACAAAGGTTCAACTCTGTTAGTTGAGAACACACATGGCAAATATGTTTCTGAGAATGCTTCTGTCTAGTTTTTATTTGAAGATATTTCCTTTCTCACCATAGGCCTGAAAGCTCTTGAAACGTCAGCTTGCAGATACTACAGAAAGAGTGTTTCAAACCTGCTCTATGAAAGGGAATGTTCAGTTCTGTGACTTGAATGCAAACATCACAAAGAAGTTCCTGAGAATGCTTCTGTCTAGATTTTATATGAAGATATCCCGTGTCCAACGAAATCCACAAAGGTATCAAAATATCCACTTGCAGATTCTACAAAAAGAGTGCTTCAAAACTGCTCTGTCAAAAGGAAGGTTCAACTCTGTTACTTGAGTACACACATCACAAGGAAGTTTCTGAGAATGCTTCTGTCTGGTTTTTAGGAGAAGATATTTCCTTTTTCAACATAGGCCTCAAATTGCTGCAAATGTCCACTTCCAAATATTAGAAAAAGAGTGTTTCAAACCTGCTGTATGAAGGGAAGTGTTCAACTCTATGAGTTGAATGCAAACATCACAGAGAAGTTTCTGAGAATGCTTCTGTCTTGATTTTATATGAAGATATTCCCGTTTCCAACGAAACCTTAAAAGCTATCCTAATATCCACTTGCAGATTCTACAAAAAGAGTGTTTCCAAAATGCCGTATCAAAACAAAGGTTCAACTCTGTTAGTTGAGAACACACATGGCAAATAAGTTTCTGAGAATGTTTCTGTCTAGTTTTTATTTGAAGATATTTCCTTTCTCACCACAGGCCTGAAAGCGCTTAAAACGTCCGCTTGCAGATACTACAGAAAGAGTGTTTCAAACCTGCTCTATGAAAGGGAATGTTCAGTTCTGTGACTTGAATGCAAACATCACAAAGAAGTTCCTGAGAATGCTTCTCCCTAGATTTTATATGTAATCCCGTTTCCAACGAAATCCGCAAAGCTATCCAAATATCCACTTTCAGATTCCACAAAAAGAGTGTTTCAAAACTGCTCTGTAAAAAGAAAGGTTCATCTCTGTTAGTTGAATACACACATCACAAACAAGTTTCTGAGAATGCTTCTGTCTAGTTTTTATGGGAAGATATTACCTTTTTCATCATAGGCCTCAAAGCGCTGCAAATGTCCACTTCCAAATATTACAAAAAGAGTGTTTCAAACCTGCTGTATGAAGGGAAGTGTTCAACTCTATGAGTTGAATGCAAACATCACATAGAAGTTTCTGAGAATGCTTCTGTCTTGATTTTATATGAAGATATTCCCGTTTCCAACGAAACCTTCAAAGCTATTCAAATATCCACTTGCAGATTCTACAAAAAGAGTGTTTCCAAAATGTTGTATCAAAAGAAAGGTTCAACTCTGTTAGTTGAGGACACACATCGCAAATAAGTTTCTGAGAATGCTTCTGTCTAGTTTTTATTTGAAGATATTTCCTTTCTCACCACAGGCCTGAAAGCGCTTAAAACGTCCGCTTGCAGATACTACAGAAAGAGTGTTTCAAACCTGCTCTATGAAAGGGAATGTTCAGTTCTGTGACTTGAATGCAAACATCACAAAGAAGATCTTGAGAATGCTTCTGTCTAGATTTTATATGAAGATATCCCGTGTCCAACGAAATCCTCAAAGGTATCAAAATATCCACTTGCAGATTCTACAAAAAGAGTGCTTCAAAACTGCTCTGTCAAAAGGAAGGTTCAACTCTGTTACTTGAGTACACACATCACAAGGAAGTTTCTGAGAATGCTTCTGTCTGGTTTTTAGGAGAAGATATTTCCTTTTTCAACATAGGCCTCAAAGCGCTGCAAATGTCCACTTCCAAATATTAGAAAAAGAGTGTTTCAAACCTGCTGTATGAAGGGAAGTGTTCAACTCTATGAGTTGAATGCAAACATCACAGAGAAGTTTCTGAGAATGCTTCTGTCTTGATTTCATATGAAGATATTCCCGTTTCCAACGAAACCTTCAAAGCTATCCAAATATCCACTTGCAGATTCTACAAAAAGAGTGTTTCCAAAATGTTGTATCAAAAGAAAGGTTCAACTCTGTTAGTTGAGGACACACATCGCAAATAAGTTTCTGAGAATGCTTCTGTCTAGTTTTTATTTGAAGATATTTCCTTTCTCACCACAGGCCTGAAAGCGCTTAAAACGTCCGCTTGCAGATACTACAGAAAGAGTGTTTCAAACCTGCTCTATGAAAGGGAATGTTCAGTTCTGTGACTTGAATGCAAACATCACAAAGAAGTTCCTGAGAATGCTTCTGTCTAGATTTTATATGAAGATATCCCGTGTCCAACGAAATCCTCAAAGGTATCAAAATATCAACTTGCAGATTCTACAAAAAGAGTGCTTCAAAACTGCTCTGTCAAAAGGAAGGTTCAACTCTGTTACTTGAGTACACACATCACAAGGAAGTTTCTGAGAATGCTTCTGTCTGGTTTTTAGGAGAAGATATTTCCTTTTTCAACATAGGCCTCAAAGCGCTGCAAATGTCCACTTCCAAATATTACAAAAAGAGTGTTTCAAACCTGCTGTATGAAGGGAAGTGTTCAACTCTATGAGTTGAATGCAAACATCACAGAGAAGTTTCTGAGAATGCTTCTGTCTTGATTTCATATGAAGATATTCCCGTTTCCAACGAAACCTTCAAAGCTATCCAAATATCCACTTGCAGATTCTACAAAAAGAGTGTTTCCAAAATGTTGTATCAAAAGAAAGGTTCACCTCTGTTAGTTGAGGACACACATCGCAAATAAGTTTCTGAGAATGCTTCTGTCTAGTTTTTATTTGAAGATATTTCCTTTCTCACCACAGGCCTGAAAGCGCTTAAAACGTCCGCTTGCAGATACTACAGAAAGAGTGTTTCAAACCTGCTCTATGAAAGGGAATGTTCAGTTCTGTGACTTGAATGCAAACATCACAAAGAAGTTCCTGAGAATGCTTCTCCCTAGATTTTATATGTAATCCCGTTTCCAACGAAATCCGCAAAGCTATCCAAATATCCACTTTCAGATTCCACAAAAAGAGTGTTTCAAAACTGCTCTGTAAAAAGAAAGGTTCATCTCTGTTAGTTGAATACACACATCACAAACAAGTTTCTGAGAATGCTTCTGTCTAGTTTTTATGGGAAGATATTTCCTTTTTCATCATAGGCCTCAAAGCGCTGCAAATGTCCACTTCCAAATATTACAAAAAGAGTGTTTCAAACCTGCTGTATGAAGGGAAGTGTTCAACTCTATGAGTTGAATGCAAACATCACAGAGAAGTTTCTGAGAATGCTTCTGTCTTGATTTTATATGAAGATATTCCCGTTTCCAACGAAACCTTCAAAGCTATTCAAATATCCACTTGCAGATTCTACAAAAAGAGTGTTTCCAAAATGTTGTATCAAAAGAAAGGTTCAACTCTGTTAGTTGAGGACACACATCGCAAATAAGTTTCTGAGAATGCTTCTGTCTAGTTTTTATTTGAAGATATTTCCTTTCTCACCATAGGCCTGAAAGCGTTTGAAATGTCCGTTTGCAGATACTACAGAAAGAGTGTTTCAAACATGCTCTATGAAAGGGAATGTTCAGTTCTGTGACGTGAATGCAAACATCACAAAGAAGTTCCTGAGAATGCTTCTCTCTAGGTTTTATATGTAATCCCGTTTCCAACGAAATCCTCAAAGCTATCCAAATATCCACTTTCAGATTCCACAAAAAGAGTGTTTCAAAACTGCTCTGTAAAAAGAAAGGTTCATCTCTGTTAGTTGAATACACACATCACAAACAAGTTTCTGAGAATGCTTCTGTCTAGTTTTTATGGGAAGATATTTCCTTTTTCATCATAGGCCTCAAAGCGCTGCAAATGTCCACTTCCAGGTAGTGCAGAAAGAGTGTCTCAAACCTGGTATATAACAGGGAACATTCTACTCTGTGACTTGAATGAAAACATCACAAAGCAGTTTCTGAGAATGCTTCCGTCTAGATTTTATATGAAGATATTCCCGTTTCCAACGAATCCTTCAAAGCTATCCGAATATCCACCTGCAGATTCTACAAAAAGAGTGTTTCCAAAATGCCGTATCAAAACAAAGGTTCAACTCTGTTAGTTGAGGACACACATGGCAAATAAGTTTCTGAGAATGCTTCTGTCTAGTTTTTACTTGAAGATATTTCCTTTCTCACCATAGGCCTGAAAGCGCTTGAAACGTCCGCTTGCAGATACTACAGAAAGAGTGTTTCAAACATGCTCTATGAAAGGGAATGTTCAGTTCTGTGACTTGAATGCAAACATCACAAAGAAGTTCCTGAGAATGCTTCTCTCTAGGTTTTATATGTAATCCCGTTTCCAACGAAATCCGCAAAGCTATCCAAATATCACCTTTCAGATTCCACAAAAAGAGTGTTTCAAAACTGCTCTGTAAAAAGAAAGGTTCATCTCTGTTAGTTGAATACACACATCACAAACAAGTTTCTGAGAATGCTTCTGTCTAGTTTTTATGGGAAGATATTACCTTTTTCATCATAGGCCTCAAAGCGCTGCAAATGTCCACTTCCAAATATTACAAAAAGAGTGTTTCAAACCTGCTGTATGAAGGGAAGTGTTCAACTCTATGAGTTGAATGCAAACATCACAGAGAAGTTTCTGAGAATGCTTCTGTCTTGATTTTATATGAAGATATTCCCGTTTCCAACGAAATCTTCAAAGCTATCCAAATATCCACTTGCAGATTCCACAAAAAGAGTGTTTCCAAAATGTTGTATCAAAAGAAAGGTTCAACTCTGTTAGTTGAGGACACACATCGCAAATAAGTTTCTGAGAATGCTTTCTGTCTAGTTTTTATTTGAAGATATTTCCTTTCTCACCATAGGCCTGAAAGCGTTTGAAATGTCCGTTTGCAGATACTACAGAAAGAGTGTTTCAAACATGCTCTATGAAAGGGAATGTTCAGTTCTGTGACGTGAATGCAAACATCACAAAGAAGTTCCTGAGAATGCTTCTCTCTAGATTTTATATGTAATCCCGTTTCCAACGAAATCCTCAAAGCTATCCAAATATCCACTTTCAGATTCCACAAAAAGAGTGATTCAAAACTGCTCTGTAAAAAGAAAGGTTCATCTCTGTTAGTTGAATACACACATCACAAACAAGTTTCTGAGAATGCTTCTGTCTAGTTTTTATGGGAAGATATTTCCTTTTTCATCATAGGCCTCAAAGCGCTGCAAATGTCCACTTCCAGGTAGTGCAGAAAGAGTGTCTCAAACCTGGTATATAACAGGGAACATTCTACTCTGTGACTTGAATGAAAACATCACAAAGCAGTTTCTGAGAATGCTTCCGTCTAGATTTTATATGAAGATATTCCCGTTTCCAACGAAACCTTCAAAGCTATCCGAATATCCACCTGCAGATTCTACAAAAAGAGTGTTTCCAAAATGCCATATCAAAACAAAGGTTCAACTCTGTTAGTTGAGAACACACATCGCAAATAAGTTTCTGAGAATGCTTCTGTCTAGTTTTTACTTGAAGATATTTCCTTTCTCACCATAGGCCTGAAAGCGCTTGAAACGTCAGCTTGCAGATACTACAGAAAGAGTGTTTCAAACCTGCTCTATGAAAGGGAATGTTCAGTTCTGTGACTTGAATGCAAACATCACAAAGAAGTTCCTGAGAATGCTTCTCTCTAGGTTTTATATGTAATCCCGTTTCCAACGAAATCCTCAAAGCTATCCAAATATCCACTTTCAGATTCCACAAAAAGAGTGTTTCAAAACTGCTCTGTAAAAAGAAAGGTTCATCTCTGTTAGTTGAATACACACATCACAAACAAGTTTCTGAGAATGCTTCTGTCTAGTTTTTATGGGAAGATATTTCCTTTTTCAACATAGGCCTCAAAGCGCTCCAAACGTCCACTTCCAGGTAGTGCAGAAAGAGTGTCTCAAACCTGGTATATAACAGGGAAGATTCTACTCTGTGACTTGAATGAAAACATCACAAAGCAGTTTCTGAGAATGCTTCCGTCTAGATTTTATATGAAGATATTCCCGTTTCCAACGAAACCTTCAAAGCTATCCGAATATCCACCTGCAGATTCTTCAAAAAGAGTGTTTCCAAAATGCCATATCAAAACAAAGGTTCAACTCTGTTAGTTGAGAACACACATCGCAAATAAGTTTCTGAGAATGCTTCTGTCTAGTTTTTACTTGAAGATATTTCCTTTGTCACCATAGGCCTGAAAGCGCTTGAAACGTCAGCTTGCAGATACTACAGAAAGAGTGTTTCAAACCTGCTCTATGAAAGGGAATGTTCAGTCCTGTGACTTGAAGGCAAACATCACAAAGAAGTTCCTGAGAATGCTTCTCTCTAGGTTTTATATGTAATCCCGTTTCCAACGAAATCCTCAAAGCTATCCAAATATCCACTTTCAGATTCCACAAAAAGAGTGTTTCAAAACTGCTCTGTAAAAAGAAAGGTTCATCTCTGTTAGTTGAATACACACATCACAAACAAGTTTCTGAGAATGCTTCTGTCTAGTTTTTATGGGAAGATATTTCCTTTTTCAACATTGGCCTCAAAGCGCTCCAAACGTCCACTTCCGGGTAGTGCAGAAAGAGTGTCTCAAACCTGGTATATAACAGGGAACATTCAACTCTGTGACTTGAATGAAAACATCACAAAGCAGTTTCTGAGAATGCTTCCGTCTAGATTTTATATGAAGATATTCCCGTTTCCAACGAAACCTTCAAAGCTATCCGAATATCCACCTGCAGATTCTACAAAAAGAGTGTTTCCAAAATGCCGTATCAAAACAAAGGTTCAACTCTGTTAGTTGAGAACACACATGGCAAATAAGTTTCTGAGAATGCTTCTGTCTAGTTTTTACTTGAAGATATTTCCTTTCTCACCATAGGCCTGAAAGCGCATGAAACGTCAGCTTGCAGATACTACACAAAGAGTGTTTCAAACCTGCTCTATGAAAGGGAATGTTCAGTCCTGTGACTTGAAGGCAAACATCACAAAGAAGTTCCTGAGAATGCTTCTCTCTAGGTTTTATATGTAATCCCGTTTCCAACGAAATCCTCAAAGCTATCCAAATATCCACTTTCAGATTCCACAAAAAGAGTGTTTCAAAACTGCTCTGTAAAAAGAAAGGTTCATCTCTGTTAGTTGAATACACACATCACAAACAAGTTTCTGAGAATGCTTCTGTCTAGTTTTTATGGGAAGATATTTCCTTTTTCATCATAGGCCTCAAAGCGCTGCAAATGTCCACTTCCAAATATTACAAAAAGAGTGTTTCAAACCTGCTGTATGAAGGGAAGTGTTCAACTCTATGAGTTGAATGCAAACATCACAGAGAAGTTTCTGAGAATGCTTCTGTCTTGATTTTATATGAAGATATTCCCGTTTCCAACGAAACCTTCAAAGCTATCCAAATATCCACATGCAGATTCTACAAAAAGAGTGGTTCCAAAATGTTGTATCAAAAGAAAGGTTCAACTCTGTTAGTTGAGGACACACATCGCAAATAAGTTTCTGAGAATGCTTCTGTCTAGTTTTTATTTGAAGATATTTCCTTTCTCACCATAGGCCTGAAAGCGTTTGAAATGTCCGTTTGCAGATACTACAGAAAGAGTGTTTCAAACATGCTCTATGAAAGGGAATGTTCAGTTCTGTGACGTGAATGCAAACATCACAAAGACGTTCCTGAGAATGCTTCTCTCTAGATTTTATATGTAATCCCGTTTCCAACGAAATCCTCAAAGCTATCCAAATATCCACTTTCAGATTCCACAAAAAGAGTGTTTCAAAACTGCTCTGTAAAAAGAAAGGTTCATCTCTGTTAGTTGAATACACACATCACAAACAAGTTTCTGAGAATGCTTCTGTCTAGTTTTTATGGGAAGATATTTCCTTTTTCAACATAGGCCTCAAAGCGCTCCAAACGTCCACTTCCGGGTAGTGCAGAAAGAGTGTCTCAAACCTGGTATATAACAGGGAACATTCTACTGCTGTGACTTGAATGAAAACATCACAAAGCAGTTTCTGAGAATGCTTCCGTCTAGATTTTATATGAAGATATTCCCGTTTCCAACGAAACCTTCAAAGCTATCCGAATATCCACCTGCAGATTCTACAAAAAGAGTGTTTCCAAAATGCCGTATCAAAACAAAGGTTCAACTCTGTTAGTTGAGAACACACATGGCAAATAAGTTTCTGAGAATGCTTCTGTCTAGTTTTTACTTGAAGATATTTCCTTTCTCACCATAGGCCTGAAAGCGCTTGAAACGTCAGCTTGCAGATACTACAGAAAGAGTGTTTCAAACCTGCTCTATGAAAGGGAATTTTCAGTTCTGTGACTTGAATGCAAACATCACAAAGTAGTTCCTGAGAATGCTTCTCTCTAGGTTTTATATGTAATCCCGTTTCCAACGAAATCCTCAAAGCTATCCAAATATCCACTTTCAGATTCCACAAAAAGAGTGTTTCAAAACTGCTCTGTAAAAAGAAAGGTTCATCTCTGTTAGTTGAATACACACATCACAAACAAGTTTCTGAGAATGCTTCTGTCTAGTTTTTATGGGAAGATATTTCCTTTTTCAACATAGGCCTCAAAGCGCTCCAAACGTCCACTTCCAGGTAGTGCAGAAAGAGTGTCTCAAACCTGGTATATAACAGGGAACATTCTACTCTGTGACTTGAATGAAAACATCCCAAAGCAGTTTCTGAGAATGCTTCCGTCTAGATTTTATATGAAGATATTCCCGTTTCCAACGAAACCTTCAAAGCTATCCGAATATCCACCTGCAGATTCTACAAAAAGAGTGTTTCCAAAATGCCGTATCAAAACAAAGGTTCAACTCTGTTAGTTGAGAACACACATGGCAAATAAGTTTCTGAGAATGCTTCTGTCTAGTTTTTATGGGAAGATATTTCCTTTTTCATCATAGGCCTCAAAGTGCTGAAAATGTCCACTTCCAAATATTACAAAAAGAGTGTTTCAAACCTGCTGTATGAAGGGAAGTGTTCAACTCTATGAGTTGAATACAAACATCACAGAGAAGTTTCTGAGAATGCTTCTGTCTTGATTTTATATGAAGATATTCCCGTTTCCAACAAAACCTTCAAAGCTATCCAAATATCCACTTGCAGATTCCACAAAAAGAGTGTTTCCAAAATGTTGTATCAAAAGAAAGGTTCAACTCTGTTAGTTGAGGACACACATCACAAATAAGTTTCTGAGAATGCTTCTGTCTAGTTTTTATTTGAAGATATTTCCTTTCTCACCATAGGCCTGAAAGCGTTTGAAATGTCCGTTTGCAGATACTACAGAAAGAGTGTTTCAAACATGCTCTATGAAAGGGAATGTTCAGTTCTGTGACGTGAATGCAAACATCACAAAGAAGTTCCTGAGAATGCTTCTCTCTAGATTTTATATGTAATCCCGTTTGCAACGAAATCCTCAAAGCTATCCAAATATCCACTTTCAGATTCCACAAAAAGAGTGTTTCAAAACTGCTCTGTAAAAAGAAAGGTTCATCTCTGTTAGTTGAATACACACATCAAAAACAAGTTTCTGAGAATGCTTCTGTCTAGTTTTTATGGGAAGATATTTCCTTTTTCAACATAGGCCTCAAAGCGCTCCAAACGTCCACTTCCAGGTAGTGCAGAAAGAGTGTCTCAAACCTGGTATATAACAGGGAACATTCTACTCTGTGACTTGAATGAAAACATCACAAAGCAGTTTCTGAGAATGCTTCCGTCTAGATTTTATATGAAGATATTCCCGTTTCCAACGAAACCTTCAAAGCTATCCGAATATCCACCTGCAGATTCTACAAAAAGAGTGTTTCCAAAATGCCATATCAAAACAAAGGTTCAACTCTGTTAGTTGAGAACACACATCGCAAATAAGTTTCTGAGAATGCTTCTGTCTAGTTTTTATTGGAAGATATTTCCTTTTTCATCATAGGCCTCAAAGCGCTGCAAATGTCCACTTCCAAATATTACAAAAAGAGTGTTTCAAACCTGCTGTATGAAGGGAAGTGTTCAACTCTATGAGTTGAATGCAAACATCACAGAGAAGTTTCTGAGAATGCTTCTGTCTTGATTTTATATGAAGATATTCCCGTTTCCAAAGAAACCTTCAAAGCTATTCAAATATCCACTTGCAGATTCTACAAAAAGAGTGTTTCCAAAATGTTGTATCAAAAGAAAGGTTCAACTCTGTTAGTTGAGGACACACATCGCAAATAAGTTTCTGAGAATGCTTCTGTCTAGTTTTTATTTGAAGATATTTCCTTTCTCACCATAGGCCTGAAAGCGTTTGAAATGTCCGTTTGCAGATACTACAGAAAGAGTGTTTCAAACATGCTCTATGAAAGGGAATGTTCAGTTCTGTGACGTGAATGCAAACATCACAAAGAAGTTCCTGAGAATGCTTCTCTCTAGATTTTATATGTAATCCCGTTTCCAACGAAATCCTCAAAGCTATCCAAATATCCACTTTCAGATTCCACAAAAAGAGTGTTTCAAAACTGCTCTGTAAAAAGAAAGGTTCATCTCTGTTAGTTGAATACACACATCAGAAAGCAGTTTCTGAGAATGCTTCTGTCTAGTTTTTATGGGAAGATATTTCCTTTTTCAACAAAGGCCTCAAAGCGCTCCAAACGTCCACTTCCAGGTAGTGCAGAAAGAGTGTCTCAAACCTGGTATATAACAGGGAACATTCTACTCTGTGACTTGAATGAAAACATCACAAAGCAGTTTCTGAGAATGCTTCCGTCTAGATTTTATATGAAGATATTCCAGTTTCCAACGAAACCTTCAAAGCTATCCGAATATCCACCTGCAGATTCTACAAAAAGAGTGTTTCCAAAATGCCGCATCAAAACAAAGGTTCAACTCTGTTAGTTGAGAACACACATGGCAAATAAGTTTCTGAGAATGCTTCTGTCTAGTTTTTACTTGAAGATATTTCCTTTCTCACCATAGGCCTGAAAGCGCTTGAAACGTCAGCTTGCAGATACTACAGAAAGAGTGTTTCAAACCTGCTCTATGAAAGGGAATGTTCAGTTCTGTGACTTGAATGCAAACATCACAAAGAAGTTCCTGAGAATGCTTCTGTCTAGATTTTATATGAAGATATCCTGTGTCCAACGAAATCCTCAAAGGTATCAAAATATCCACTTGCAGATTCTACAAAAAGAGTGCTTCAAAACTGCTCTGTCAAAAGGAAGGTTCAACTCTGTTACTTGAGTACACACATCACAAGGAAGTTTCTGAGAATGCTTCTGTCTGGTTTTTAGGAGAAGATATTTCCTTTTTCAACATAGGCCTCAAAGCGCTGCAAATGTCCACTTCCAAATATTACAAAAAGAGTGTTTCAAACCTGCTGTATGAAGGGAAGTGTTCAACTCTATGAGTTGAATGCAAACATCACAGAGAAGTTTCTGAGAATGCTTCCGTCTAGATTTTATATGAAGATATTCCCGTTTCCAAAGAAACCTTCAAAGCTATCCGAATATCCACCTGCAGATTCTACAAAAAGAGTGTTTCCAAAATGCCGTATCAAAACAAAGGTTCAACTCTGTTAGTTGAGAACACACATCGCAAATAAGTTTCTGAGAATGTTTCTGTCTGGTTTTTACTTGAAGATATTTCCTTTCTCACCATAGGCCTGAAAGCGCTTGAAACGTCAGCTTGCAGATACTACAGAAAGAGTGTTTCAAACCTGCTCTATGAAAGGGAATGTTCAGTTCTGTGACTTGAATGCAAACATCACAAAGAAGTTCCTGAGAATGCTTCTCTCTAGGTTTTATATGTAATCCCGTTTCCAACGAAATCCTCAAAGCTATCCAAATATCCACTTTCAGATTCCACAAAAAGAGTGTTTCAAAACTGCTCTGTAAAAAGAAAGGTTCATCTCTGTTAGTTGAATACACACATCACAAACAAGTTTCTGAGAATGCTTCTGTCTAGTTTTTATGGGAAGATATTTCCTTTTTCAACATAGGCCTCAAAGCGCTCCAAATGTCCACTTCCAGGTAGTGCAGAAAGAGTGTTTCAAACCTGCTCTATAAAAGGGAATATTCAACTCTGTGACTTGAATGCAAACATCACAAAGCACTTTCTGAGAATGCTTCCGTCTAGATTTTATATGAAGATATTCCCGTTTCCAAGGAAATCTTCCTAGTTATCTAAATATCAACTTGCAGATTCTACTAAAGGAATGTTTCCAAAATGCCGTATCCACACAAAGGTTCAACTCTGTTAATTGAGGACATACAGCACAAAGAAGTTTCTGAGAATGCTTCTGTCTAGATTTTATATGAAGATATCCCGTTTCCAAAGAAATCCTCAAAGGTGTCCAAATATCTACTTCCAGATTCTACAAAAAGACTGTTTCAAAACGGCTCTGTCAAAAGTAAGGTTCAACTCTGTTACTTGAGTACACACATCACAAGGAAGTTTCTGAGAATGCTTCTGTCTGGTTTTTAGGAGAAGATATTTCCTTTTTCAAATAGGCCTCAAAGCGCTGCAAATGTCCACTTCCAAATATTACAAAAAGAGTGTTTCAAACCTGCTCTATGAAGGGAAGTGTTCAACTCTATGAGTTGAATGCAAACATCACAGAGAAGTTTCTGAGAATGCTTCTGTCTTGATTTTATATGAAGATATTCCCGTTAACAACGAAACCTTCAAAGCTATCCAAATATCCACTTGCAGATTCTACAAAAAGAGTGTTTCCAAAATGTTGTATCAAAACAAAGGTTCAACTCTGTTAGTTGAGGACACACATCGCAAATAAGCTTCTGAGAATGCTTCTGTCTAGTTTTTATTTGAAGATATTTCCTTTCTTACCATAGGCCTGAAAGCGCTTGAAATGTCCGTTTGCAGATACTACAGAAAGAGTGTTTCAAACATGCTCTATGAAAGGGAATGTTCAGTTCTGTGACGTGAATGCAAACATCACAAAGAAGTTCCTGAGAATGCTTCTCTCTAGATTTTATAGGTAATCCCGTTTCCAACGAAATCCTCAAAGCTATCCAAATATCCACTTTCAGATTCCACAAAAAGAGTGTTTCAAAACTGCTCTGTAAAAAGAAAGGTTCATCTCTGTTAGTTGAATACACACATCACAAACAAGTTTCTGAGAATGCTTCTGTCTAGTTTTTATGGGAAGATATTTCCTTTTTCAACATAGGCCTCAAAGCGCTCCAAATGTCCACTTCCAGGTAGTGCAGAAAGAGTGTTTCAAACCTGCTCTATAAAAGGGAATATTCAACTTTGTGACTTGAATGCAAACACCACAAAGCACTTTCTGAGAATGCTTCCGTCTAGATTTTATATGAAGATATTCCCGTTTCCAAGGAAATCTTCCTAGCTATCTAAATATCAACTTGCAGATTCTACTAAAGGAATGTTTCCAAAATGCAGTATCCACACAAAGTTTCCACTCTGTTAATTGAGGACATACAGCACAAAGAAGTTTCTGAGAATGCTTCTGTCTAGATTTTATATGAAGATATCCCGTTTCCAAAGAAATCCTCAAATGTATCCAAATATCTACTTCCAGATTCTACAAAAAGACTGTTTCAAAACTGCGCTGTAAAAAGAAAGGTTCATCTCTGTTAGTTGAATACACACATCACAAACAAGTTTCTGAGAATGCTTCTGTCTAGTTTTTATGGGAAGATATTTCCTTTTTCATCATAGGCCTCAAAGCGCTCCAAATGTCCACTTCCAGATAGTGCAGAAAGAGTGTCTCAAACCTGGTATATAAAAGGGAACATTCTACTCTGTGACTTCAACGAAAACATCACAAAGCAGTTTCTGAGAATGCTTCCGTCTAGATTTTATATGAAGATATTCCCGTTTCCAACGAAACCTTCAAAGCTATCCGAATATCCACCTGCAGATTCTACAAAAAGAGTGTTTCCAAAATGCCGTATAAAAACATAGGTTCAACTCTGTTAGTTGAGAACACACATGGCAAATAAGTTTCTGAGAATGCTTCTGTCTAGTTTTTATTTGAAGATATTTCCTTTTTCACCACAGGCCTGAAAGCGCTTGAAACGTCCGCTTGCAGATACTACAGAAAGAGTGTTTCAAACCTGCTCTATGAAAGGGAATGTTCAGTTCTGTGACTTGAATGCAAACATCACAAAGAAGTTCCTGAGAATGCTTCTGTCTAGATTTTATATGAAGATATCCCGTTTCCAAAGAAATCCTCAAAGGTATCCAAATATCTACTTCCAGATTCTACAAAAAGACTGTTTCAAAACGGCTCTGTCAAAAGGAAGGTTCAACTCTGTTACTTGAGTACACACATCACAAGGAAGTTTCTGAGAATGCTTCTGTCTGGTTTTTAGGAGAAGATATTTCCTTTTTCAACATAGGCCTCAAAGCGCTGCAAATGTCCACTTCCAAATATTACAAAAAGAGTGTTTCAAACCTGCTCTATGAAGGGAAGTGTTCAACTCTATGAGTTGAATGCAAACATCACAGAGAAGTTTCTGAGAATGCTTCTGTCTTGATTTTATATGAAGATATTCCCGTTTCCAACGAAACCTTCAAAGCTATCCAAATATCCACTTGCAGATTCTACAACAAGAGTGTTTCCAAAATGTTGTATCAAAACAAAGGTTCAACTCTGTTAGTTGAGGACACACATCGCAAATAAGTTTCTGAGAATGCTTCTGTCTAGTTTTTATTTGAAGATATTTCCTTTCTTACCATAGGCCTGAAAGCGCTTGAAATGTCCGTTTGCAGATACTACAGAAAGAGTGTTTCAAACATGCTCTATGAAAGGGAATGTTCAGTTCTGTGGCGTGAATGCAAACATCACAAAGAAGTTCCTGAGAATGCTTCTCTCTAGATTTTATATGTAATCCCGTTTCCAACGAAATCCTCAAAGCTATCCAAATATCCACTTTCAGATTCCACAAAAAGAGTGTTTCAAAACTGCTCTGTAAAAAGAAAGGTTCATCTCTGTTAGTTGAATACACACATCACAAACAAGTTTCTGAGAATGCTTCTGTCTAGTTTTTATGGGAAGATATTTCCTTTTTCATCATAGGCCTCAAAGCGCTGCAAATGTCCACTTCCAGGTAGTGCAGAAAGAGTGTCTCAAACCTGGTATATAAAAGGGAACATTCTACTCTGTGACTTGAATGAAAACATCACAAAGCAGTTTCTGAGAATGCTTCCGTCTAGATTTTATATGAAGATATTCCCGTTTCCAACGAAACCTTCAAAGCTTTCCGAATATCAACCTGCAGATTCTACAAAAAGAGTGTTTCCAAAATGCCGTATCAAAACAAAGGTTCAACTCTGTTAGTTGAGAACACACATGGCAAATAAGTTTCTGAGAATGCTTCTGTCTAGTTTTTACTTGAAGATATTTCCTTTCTCACCATAGGCCTGAAAGCGCTTGAAACGTCCGCTTGCAGATACTACAGAAAGAGTGTTTCAAACCGGCTCTATGAAAGGGAATGTTCAGTTCTGTTACTTGAATGCAAACATCACAAAGAAGTTCCTGAGAATGCTTCTCTCTAGATTTTATATGTAATCCCGTTTCCAACGAAATCCTCAAAGCTATCCAAATATCCACTTTCAGATTCCACAAAAAGAGTGTTTCAAAACTGCTCTGTAAAAAGAAAGGTTCATCTCTGTTAGTTGAAGACACACATCACAAAGAAGTTTCTGAGAATGCTTCTGTCTGGTTTTTAGGAGAAGATATTTCCTTTTTCAACATAGGCCTCAAAGCGCTGCAAATGTCCACTTCCAAATATTACAAAAAGAGTGTTTCAAACCTGCTGTATGAAGGGAAGTGTTCAACTCTATGAGTTGAATGCAAACATCACAGAGAAGTTTCTGAGAATGCTTCTGTCTTGATTTCATATGAAGATATTCCCGTTTCCAACGAAACCTTCAAAGCTATCCAAATATCCACTTGCAGATTCTACAAAAAGAGTGTTTCCAAAATGTTGTATCAAAAGAAAGGTTCAACTCTGTTAGTTGAGGACACACATCGCAAATAAGTTTCTGAGAATGCTTCTGTCTAGTTTTTATTTGAAGATATTTCCTTTCTCACCACAGGCCTGAAAGCGCTTAAAACGTCCGCTTGCAGATACTACAGAAAGAGTGTTTCAAACCTGATCTATGAAAGGGAATGTTCAGTTCTGTGACTTGAATGCAAACATCACAAAGAAGTTCCTGAGAATGCTTCTCCCTAGTTTTTATATGTAATCCCGTTTCCAACGAAATCCGCAAAGCTATCCAAATATCCACTTTCAGATTCCACAAAAAGAGTGTTTCAAAACTGCTCTGTAAAAAGAAAGGTTCATCTCTGTTAGTTGAATACACACATCTCAAACAAGTTTCTGAGAATGCTTCTGTCTAGTTTTTATGGGAAGATATTACCTTTTTCATCATAGGCCTCAAAGCGCTGCAAATGTCCACTTCCAAATATTACAAAAAGAGTGTTTCAAACCTGCTGTATGAAGGGAAGTGTTCAACTCTATGAGTTGAATGCAAACATCACAGAGAAGTTTCTGAGAATGCTTCTGTCTTGATTTTATATGAAGATATTCCCGTTTCCAACGAAATCTTCAAAGCTATCCAAATATCCACTTGCAGATTCCACAAAAAGAGTGTTTCCAAAATGTTGTATCAAAAGAAAGGTTCAACTCTGTTAGTTGAGGACACACATCGCAAATAAGTTTCTGAGAATGCTTCTGTCTAGTTTTTATTTGAAGATATTTCCTTTCTCACCATAGGCCTGAAAGCGTTTGAAATGTCCGTTTGCAGATACTACAGAAAGAGTGTTTCAAACATGCTCTATGAAAGGGAATGTTCAGTTCTGTGACGTGAATGCAAACATCACAAAGAAGTTCCTGAGAATGCTTCTCTCTAGATTTTATATGTAATCCCGTTTTCAACGAAATCCTCAAAGCTATCCAAATATCCACTTTCAGATTCCACAAAAAGAGTATTTCAAAACTGCTCTGTAAAAAGAAAGGTTCATCTCTGTTAGTTGAATACACACATCACAAACAAGTTTCTGAGAATGCTTCTGTCTAGTTTTTATGGGAAGATATTTCCTTTTTCATCATAGGCCTCAAAGCGCTGCAAATGTCCACTTCCAGGTAGTGTAGAAAGAGTGTCTGAAACCTGGTATATAACAGGGAAGATTCTACTCTGTGACTTGAATGAAAACATCACAAAGCAGTTTCTGAGAATGCTTCCGTCTAGATTTTATATGAAGATATTCCCGTTTCCAACGAAACCTTCAAAGCTATCCGAATATCCACCTGCAGATTCTACAAAAAGAGTGTTTCCAAAATGCCGTATCAAAACAAAGGTTCAACTCTGTTAGTTGAGAACACACATGGCAAATAAGTTTCTGAGAATGCTTCTGTCTAGTTTTTACTTGAAGATATTTCCTTTCTCACCATAGGCCTGAAAGCGCTTGAAACGTCAGCTTGCAGATACTACAGAAAGAGTGTTTCAAACCTGCTCTATGAAAGGGAATGTTCAGTCCTGTGACTTGAATGCAAACATCACAAAGGAGTTCCTGAGAATGCTTCTCTCTAGGTTTTATATGTAATCCCGTTTCCAACGAAATCCTCAAAGCTATCCATATATACACTTTCAGATTCCACAAAAAGAGTGTTTCAAAACTGCTCTGTAAAAAGAAAGGTTCATCTCTGTTAGTTGAATACACACATCACAAACAAGTTTCTGAGAATGCTTCTGTCTAGTTTTTATGGGAAGATATTACCTTTTTCATCATAGGCCTCAAAGCGCTGCAAATGTCCACTTCCAAATATTACAAAAAGAGTGTTTCAAACCTGCTGTATGAAGGGAAGTGTTCAACTCTATGAGTTGAATGCAAACATCACAGAGAAGTTTCTGAGAATGCTTCTGTCTTGATTTTATATGAAGATATTCCCGTTTCCAACGAAATCTTCAAAGCTATCCAAATATCCACTTGCAGATTCCACAAAAAGAGTGTTTCCAAAATGTTGTATCAAAAGAAAGGTTCAACTCTGTTAGTTGAGGACACACATCGCAAATAAGTTTCTGAGAATGCTTCTGTCTAGTTTTTATTTGAAGATATTTCCTTTCTCACCATAGGCCTGAAAGCGTTTGAAATGTCCGTTTGCAGATACTACAGAAAGAGTGTTTCAAACATGCTCTATGAAAGGGAATGTTCAGTTCTGTGACGTGAATGCAAACATCACAAAGAAGTTCCTGAGAATGCTTCTGTCTAGATTTTATATGAAGATATCCCGTGTCCAACGAAATCCTCAAAGGTATCAAAATATCCACTTGCAGATTCTACAAAAAGAGTGCTTCAAAACTGCTCTGTCAAAAGGAAGGTTCAACTCTGTTACTTGAGTACACACATCACAAGGAAGTTTCTGAGAATGCTTCTGTCTGGTTTTTAGGAGAAGATATTTCCTTTTTCAACATAGGCCTCAAAGCGCTGCAAATGTCCACTTCCAAATATTAGAAAAAGAGTGTTTCAAACCTGCTGTATGAAGGGAAGTGTTCAACTCTATGAGTTGAATGCAAACATCACAGAGAAGTTTCTGAGAATGCTTCGGTCTTGATTTCATATGAAGATATTCCCGTTTCCAACGAAACCTTCAAAGCTATCCAAATATCCACTTGCAGATTCTACAAAAAGAGTGTTTCCAAAATGTTGTATCAAAAGAAAGGTTCAACTCTGTTAGTTGAGGACACACATCGCAAATAAGTTTCTGAGAATGCTTCTGTCTAGTTTTTATTTGAAGATATTTCCTTTCTCACCACAGGCCTGAAAGCGCTTAAAACGTCCGCTTGCAGATACTACAGAAAGAGTGTTTCAAACCTGCTCTATGAAAGGGAATGTTCAGTTCTGTGACTTGAATGCAAACATCACAAAGAAGTTCCTGAGAATGCTTCTCCCTAGATTTTATATGTAATCCCGTTTCCAACGAAATCCGCAAAGCTATCCAAATATCCACTTTCAGATTCCACAAAAAGAGTGTTTCAAAACTGCTCTGTAAAAAGAAAGGTTCATCTCTGTTAGTTGAATACACACATCACAAACAAGTTTCTGAGAATGCTTCTGTCTAGTTTTTATGGGAAGATATTTCCTTTTTCATCATAGGCCTCAAAGCGCTGCAAATGTCCACTTCCAAATATTACAAAAAGAGTGTTTCAAACCTGCTGTATGAAGGGAAGTGTTCAACTCTATGAGTTGAATGCAAACATCACAGAGAAGTTTCTGAGAATGCTTCTGTCTTGATTTTATATGAAGATATTCCCGTTTCCAACGAAACCTTCAAAGCTTTTCAAATATCCACTTGCAGATTCTACAAAAAGAGTGTTTCCAAAATGTTGTATCAAAAGAAAGGTTCAACTCTGTTAGTTGAGGACACACATCGCAAATAAGTTTCTGAGAATGCTTCTGTCTAGTTTTTATTTGAAGATATTTCCTTTCTCACCATAGGCCTGAAAGCGTTTGAAATATCCGTTTGCAGATACTACAGAAAGAGTCTTTCAAACATGCTCTATGAAAGGGAATGTTCAGTTCTGTGACTTGAATGCAAACATCACAAAGAAGTTCCTGAGAATGCTTCTGTCTAGATTTTATATGAAGATATCCCGTGTCCAACGAAATCCTCAAAGGTATCAAAATATCCACTTGCAGATTCTACAAAAAGAGTGCTTCAAAACTGCTCTGTCAAAAGGAAGGTTCAACTCTGTTACTTGAGTACACACATCACAAGGAAGTTTCTGAGAATGCTTCTGTCTGGTTTTTAGGAGAAGATATTTCCTTTTTCAACATAGGCCTCAAAGCGCTGCAAATGTCCACTTCCAAATATTAGAAAAAGAGTGTTTCAAACCTGCTGTATGAAGGGAAGTGTTCAACTCTATGAGTTGAATGCAAACATCACAGAGAAGTTTCTGAGAATGCTTCTGTCTTGATTTCATATGAAGATATTCCCGTTTCCAACGAAACCTTCAAAGCTATCCAAATATCCACTTGCAGATTCTACAAAAAGAGTGTTTCCAAAATGTTGTATCAAAAGAAAGGTTCAACTCTGTTAGTTGAGGACACACATCGCAAATAAGTTTCTGAGAATGCTTCTGTCTAGTTTTTATTTGAAGATATTTCCTTTCTCACCACAGGCCTGAAAGCGCTTAAAACATCCGCTTGCAGATACTACAGAAAGAGTGTTTCAAACCTGCTCTATGAAAGGGAATGTTCAGTTCTGTGACTTGAATGCAAACATCACAAAGAAGTTCCTGAGAATGCTTCTCCCTAGATTTTATATGTAATCCCGTTTCCAACGAAATCCGCAAAGCTATCCAAATATCCACTTTCAAATTCCACAAAAAGAGTGTTTCAAAACTGCTCTGTAAAAAGAAAGGTTCATCTCTGTTAGTTGAATACACACATCACAAACAAGTTTCTGAGAATGCTTCTGTCTAGTTTTTATTGGAAGATATTACCTTTTTCATCATACGCCTCAAAGCGCTGCAAATGTCCACTTCCAAATATTACAAAAAGAGTGTTTCAAACCTGCTGTATGAAGGGAAGTGTTCAACTCTATGAGTTGAATGCAAACATCACAGAGAAGTTTCTGAGAATGCTTCTGTCTTGATTTTATATGAAGATATTCCCGTTTCCAACGAAACCTTCAAAGCTATCCAAATATCCACTTGCAGATTCCACAAAAAGAGTGTTTCCAAAATGTTGTATCAAAAGAAAGGTTCAACTCTGTTAGTTGAGGACACACATCGCAAATAAGTTTCTGAGAATGCTTCTGTCTAGTTTTTATTTGAAGATATTTCCTTTCTTACCATAGGCCTGAAAGCGCTTGAAATGTCCGTTTGCAGATACTACAGAAAGTGTTTCAAACATGCTCTATGAAAGGGAATGTTCAGTTCTGTGACGTGAATGCAAACATCACAAAGAAGTTCCTGAGAATGCTTCTCTCTAGATTTTATATGTAATCCCGTTTCCAACGAAATCCTCAAAGCTATCCAAATATCCACTTTCAGATTCCACAAAAAGAGTGTTTCAAAACTGCTCTGTAAAAAGAAAGGTTCATCTCTGTTAGTTGAATACACACATCACAAACAAGTTTCTGAGAATGCTTCTGTCTAGTTTTTATGGGAAGATATTACCTTTTTCATCATAGGCCTCAAAGCGCTGCAAAAGTCCACTTCCAAATATTACAAAAAGAGTGTTTCAAACCTGCTGTATGAAGGGAAGTGTTCAACTCTATGAGTTGAATGCAAACATCACATAGAAGTTTCTGAGAATGCTTCTGTCTTGATTTTATATGAAGATATTCCCGTTTCCAACGAAACCTTCAAAGCTATTCAAATATCCACTTGCAGATTCTACAAAAAGAGTGTTTCCAAAATGTTGTATCAAAAGAAAGGTTCAACTCTGTTAGTTGAGGACACACATCGCAAATAAGTTTCTGAGAATGCTTCTGTCTAGTTTTTACTTGAAGATATTTCCTTTCTCACCATAGGCCTGAAAGCGTTTGAAATGTCCGTTTGCAGATACTACAGAAAGAGTGTTTCAAACATGCTCTATGAAAGGGAATGTTCAGTTCTGTGACGTGATTGCAAACATCACAAAGAAGTTCCTGAGAATGCTTCTGTCTAGATTTTATATGAAGATATCCCGTGTCCAACGAAATCCTCAAAGGTATCAAAATATCCACTTGCAGATTCTACAAAAAGAGTGCTTCAAAACTGCTCTGTCAAAAGGAAGGTTCAACTCTGTTACTTGAGTACACACATCACAAGGAAGTTTCTGAGAATGCTTCTGTCTGGTTTTTAGGAGAAGATATTTCCTTTTTCAACATAGGCCTCAAAGCGCTGCAAATGTCCACTTCCAAATATTAGAAAAAGAGTGTTTCAAACCTGCTGTATGAAGGGAAGTGTTCAACTCTATGAGTTGAATGCAAACATCACAGAGAAGTTTCTGAGAATGCTTCTGTCTTGATTTCATATGAAGATATTCCCGTTTCCAACGAAACCTTCAAAGCTATCCAAATATCCACTTGCAGATTCTACAAAAAGAGTGTTTCCAAAATGTTGTATCAAAAGAAAGGTTCAACTCTGTTAGTTGAGGACACACATCGCAAATAAGTTTCTGAGAATGCTTCTGTCTAGTTTTTATTTGAAGATATTTCCTTTCTCACCACAGGCCTGAAAGCGCTTAAAACGTCCGCTTGCAGATACTACAGAAAGAGTGTTTCAAACCTGATCTATGAAAGGGAATGTTCAGTTCTGTGACTTGAATGCAAACATCACAAAGAAGTTCCTGAGAATGCTTCTCCCTAGATTTTATATGTAATCCCGTTTCCAACGAAATCCCCAAAGCTATCCAAATATCCACTTTCAGATTCCACAAAAAGAGTGTTTCAAAACTGCTCTGTAAAAAGAAAGGTTCATCTCTGTTAGTTGAATACACACATCTCAAACAAGTTTCTGAGAATGCTTCTGTCTAGTTTTTATGGGAAGATATTACCTTTTTCATCATAGGCCTCAAAGCGCTGCAAATGTCCACTTCCAAATATTACAAAAAGAGTGTTTCAAACCTGCTGTATGAAGGGAAGTGTTCAACTCTATGAGTTGAATGCAAACATCACAGAGAAGTTTCTGAGAATGCTTCTGTCTTGATTTTATATGAAGATATTCCCGTTTCCAACGAAACCTTCAAAGCTATTCAAATATCCACTTGCAGATTCTACAAAAAGAGTGTTTCCAAAATGTTGTATCAAAAGAAAGGTTCAACTCTGTTAGTTGAGGACACACATCGCAAATAAGTTTCTGAGAATGCTTCTGTCTGGTTTTTATTTGAAGATATTTCCTTTCTCACCACAGGCCTGAAAGCGCTTAAAACGTCCGCTTGCAGATACTACAGAAAGAGTGTTTCAAACCTGCTCTATGAAAGGGAATGTTCAGTTCTGTGACTTGAATGCAAACATCACAAAGAAGTTCCTGAGAATGCTTCTCCCTAGATTTTATATGTAATCCCGTTTCCAACGAAATCCGCAAAGCTATCCAAATATCCACTTTCAGATTCCACAAAAAGAGTGTTTCAAAACTGCTCTGTAAAAAGAAAGGTTCATCTCTGTTAGTTGAATACACACATCACAAACAAGTTTCTGAGAATGCTTCTGTCTAGTTTTTATGGGAAGATATTACCTTTTTCATCATAGGCCTCAAAGCGCTGCAAATGTCCACTTCCAAATATTAGAAAAAGAGTGTTTCAAACCTGCTGTATGAAGGGAAGTGTTCAACTCTATGAGTTGAATGCAAACATCACAGAGAAGTTTCTGAGAATGCTTCTGTCTTGATTTCATATGAAGATATTCCCGTTTCCAACGAAACCTTCAAAGTTATCCAAATATCCACTTGCAGATTCTACAAAAAGAGTGTTTCCAAAATGTTGTATCAAAAGAAAGGTTCAACTCTGTTAGTTGAGGACACACATCGCAAATAAGTTTCTGAGAATGCTTCTGTCTAGTTTTTAGTTGAAGATATTTCCTTTCTCACCATAGGCCTGAAAGCGTTTGAAATGTCCGTTTGCAGATACTACAGAAAGAGTGTTTCAAACATGCTCTATGAAAGGGAATGTTCAGTTCTGTGACGTGAATGCAAACATCACAAAGAAGTTCCTGAGAATGCTTCTCTCTAGATTTTATATGTAATCCCGTTTCCAACGAAATCCTCAAAGCTATCCAAATATCCACTTTCAGATTCCACAAAAAGAGTGTTTCAAAACTGCTCTGTAAAAAGAAAGGTTCATCTCTGTTAGTTGAATACACACATCACAAACAAGTTTCTGAGAATGCTTCTGTCTAGTTTTTATGGGAAGATATTTCCTTTTTCATCATAGGCCTCAAAGCGCTGCAAATGTCCACTTCCAGGTAGTGCAGAAAGAGTGTCTGAAACCTGGTATATAACAGGGAAGATTCTACTCTGTGACTTGAATGAAAACATCACAAAGCAGTTTCTGAGAATGCTTCCGTCAAGATTTTATATGAAGATATTCCCGTTTCCAACGAAACCTTCAGAGCTATCCGAATATCCACCTGCAGATTCTACAAAAAGAGTGTTTCCAAAATGCCGTATCAAAACAAAGGTTCAACTCTGTTAGTTGAGAACACACATGGCAAATAAGTTTCTGAGAATGCTTCTGTCTAGTTTTTACTTGAAGATATTTCCTTTCTCACCATAGGCCTGAAAGCGCTTGAAACGTCAGCTTGCAGATACTACAGAAAGAGTGTTTCAAACCTGCTCTATGAAAGGGAATGTTCAGTCCTGTGACTTGAAGGCAAACATCACAAAGAAGTTCCTGAGAATGCTTCTGTCTTGATTTTATATGAAGATATCCCGTGTCCAACGAAATCCTCAAAGGTATCAAAATATCCACTTGCAGATTCTACAAAAAGAGTGCTTCAAAACTGCTCTGTCAAAAGGAAGGTTCAACTCTGTTACTTGAGTACACACATCACAAGGAAGTTTCTGAGAATGCTTCTGTCTGGTATTTAGGAGAAGATATTTCCTTTTTCAACATAGGCCTCAAAGCGCTGCAAATGTCCACTTCCAAATATTAGAAAAAGAGTGTTTCAAACCTGCTGTATGAAGGGAAGTGTTCAACTCTATGAGTTGAATGCAAACATCACAGAGAAGTTTCTGAGAATGCTTCTGTCTTGATTTCATATGAAGATATTCCCGTTTCCAACGAAACCTTCAAAGCTATCCAAATATCCACTTGCAGATTCTACAAAAAGAGTGTTTCCAAAATGTTGTATCAAAAGAAAGGTTCAACTCTGTTAGTTGAGGACACACATCGCAAATAAGCTTCTGAGAATGCTTCTGTCTAGTTTTTATTTGAAGATATTTCCTTTCTCACCACAGGCCTGAAAGCGCTTAAAACGTCCGCTTGCAGATACTACAGAAAGAGTGTTTCAAACCTGCTCTATGAAAGGGAATGTTCAGTTCTGTGACTTGAATGCAAACATCACAAAGAAGTTCCTGAGAATGCTTCTCTCTAGATTTTATATGTAATCCCGTTTCCAACGAAATCCTCAAAGGTATCCAAATATCCACTTTCAGATTCCACAAAAAGAGTGTTTCAAAACTGCTCTGTAAAAAGAAAGGTTCATCTCTGTTAGTTGAATACACACATCACAAACAAGTTTCTGAGAATGCTTCTGTCTAGTTTTTATGGGAAGATATTACCTTTTTCATCATAGGCCTCAAAGCGCTGCAAATGTCCACTTCCAAATATTACAAAAAGAGTGTTTCAAACCTGCTGTATGAAGGGAGGTGTTCAACTCTATGAGTTGAATGCAAACATCACAGAGAAGTTTCTGAGAATGCTTCTGTCTTGATTTTATATGAAGATATTCCCGTTTCCAACGAAACCTTCAAAGCTATCCAAATATCCACTTGCAGATTCTACAAAAAGAGTGTTTCCAAAATGTTGTCTCAAAAGAAAGGTTCAACTCTGTTAGTTGAGGACACACATCGCAAATAAGTTTCTGAGAATGCTTCTGTCTAGCTTTTATTTGAAGATATTTCCTTTCTCACCATAGGCCTGAAAGCGTATGAAATGTCCGTTTGCAGATACTACAGAAAGAGTGTTTCAAACATGCTCTATGAAAGGGAATGTTCAGTTCTGTGACTTGAATGCAAACATCACAAAGAAGTTCCTGAGAATGCTTCTCTCTAGATTTTATATGTAATCCCGTTTCTAACGAAATCCTCAAAGCTATCCAAATATCCACTTTCAGATTCCACAAAAAGAGTGTTTCAAAACTGCTCTGTAAAAAGAAAGGTTCATCTCTGTTAGTTGAATACACACATCACAAACAAGTTTCTGAGAATGCTTCTGTCTAGTTTTTATGGGAAGATATTACCTTTTTCATCATAGGCCTCAAAGCGCTGCAAATGTCCACTTCCAAAGATTACAAAAAGAGTGTTTCAAACCTGCTGTATGAAGGGAAGTGTTCAACTCTATGAGTTGAATGCAAACATCACAGAGAAGTTTCTGAGAATGCTTCTGTCTTGATTTTATATGAAGATATTCCCGTTTCCAACGAAACCTTCAAAGCTATCCAAATATCCACTTGCAGATTCCACAAAAAGAGTGTTTCCAAAATGTTGTATCAAAAGAAAGGTTCAACTCTGTTAGTTGAGGACACACATCGCAAATAAGTTTCTGAGAATGCTTCTGTCTAGTTTTTATTTGAAGATATTTCCTTTCTCACCATAGGCCTGAAAGCGTTTGAAATGTCCGTTTGCAGATACTACAGAAAGAGTGTTTCAAACATGCTCTATGAAAGGGAATGTTCAGTTCTGTGACGTGAATGCAAACATCACAAAGAAGTTCCTGAGAATGCTTCTGTCTAGATTTTATATGAAGATATCCCGTGTCCAACGAAATCCTCAAAGGTATCAAAATATCCACTTGCAGATTCTACAAAAAGAGTGGTTCAAAACTGCTCTGTCAAAAGGAAGGTTCAACTCTGTTACTTGAGTACACACATCACAAGGAAGTTTCTGAGAATGCTTCTGTCTGGTTTTTAGGAGAAGATATTTCCTTTTTCAACATAGGCCTCAAAGCGCTGCAAATGTCCACTTCCAAATATTAGAAAAAGAGTGTTTCAAACCTGCTGTATGAAGGGAAGTGTTCAACTCTATGAGTTGAATGCAAACATCACAGAGAAGTTTCTGAGAATGCTTCTGTCTTGATTTCATATGAAGATATTCCCGTTTCCAACGAAACCTTCAAAGCTATCCAAATATCCACTTGCAGATTCTACAAAAAGAGTGTTTCCAAAATGTTGTATCAAAAGAAAGGTTCAACTCTGTTAGTTGAGGACACACATCGCAAATAAGTTTCTGAGAATGCTTCTGTCTAGTTTTTATTTGAAGATATTTCCTTTCTCACCACAGGCCTGAAAGCGCTTAAAACGTCCGCTTGCAGATAATACAGAAAGAGTGTTTCAAACCTGCTCTATGAAAGGGAATGTTCAGTTCTGTGACTTGAATGCAAACATCACAAAGAAGTTCCTGAGAGTGCTTCTCCCTAGATTTTATATGTAATCCCGTTTCCAACGAAATCCGCAAAGCTATCCAAATATCCACTTTCAGATTCCACAAAAAGAGTGTTTCAAAACTGCTCTGTAAAAAGAAAGGTTCATCTCTGTTAGTTGAATACACACATCACAAACAAGTTTCTGAGAATGCTTCTGTCTAGTTTTTATGGGAAGATATTACCTTTTTCATCATAGGCCTCAAAGCGCTGCAAATGTCCACTTCCAAATATTACAAAAAGAGTGTTTCAAACCTGCTGTATGAAGGGAAGTGTTCAACTCTATGAGTTGAATGCAAACATCACAGAGAAGTTTCTGAGAATGCTTCCGTCTAGATTTTATATGAAGATATTCCCGTTTCCAACGAAACCTTCAAAGCTATCCGAATATCCACCTGCAGATTCTACAAAAAGAGTGTTTCCAAAATGCCGTATCAAAACAAAGGTTCAATTCTGTTAGTTGAGAACACACATGGCAAATAAGTTTCTGAGAATGCTTCTGTCTAGTTTTTACTTGAAGATATTTCCTTTCGCACCATAGGCCTGAAAGCGCTTGAAACGTCCGCTTGCAGATACTACAGAAAGAGTGTTTCAAACATGCTCTATGAAAGGGAATGTTCAGTTCTGTGACTTGAATGCAAACATCACAAAGAAGTTCCTGAGAATGCTTCTCTCTAGATTTTATATGTAATCCCGTTTCCAACGAAATCCTCAAAGCTATCCAAATATCCACTTTCAGATTCCACAAAAAGAGTGTTTCAAAACTGCTCTGTAAAAAGAAAGGTTCATCTCTGTTAGTTGAATACACACATCACAAACAAGTTTCTGAGAATGCTTCTGTCTAGTTTTTATGGGAAGATATTTCCTTTTTCATCATAGGCCTCAAAGCGCTGCAAATGTCCACTTCCAGGTAGTGCAGAAAGAGTGTCTCAAACCTGGTATATAACAGGGAACATTCTACTCTGTGACTTGAATGAAAACATCACAAAGCAGTTTCTGAGAATGCTTCCGTCTAGATTTTATATGAAGATATTCCCGTTTCCAACGAAACCTTCAAAGCTATCCGAATATCCACCTGCAGATTCTACAAAAAGAGTGTTTCCAAAATGCCATATCAAAACAAAGGTTCAACTCTGTTAGTTGAGAACACACATCGCAAATAAGTTTCTGAGAATGCTTCTGTCTAGTTTTTACTTGAAGATATTTCCTTTCTCACCATAGGCCTGAAAGCGCTTGAAACGTCAGCTTGCAGATACTACAGAAAGACTGTTTCAAACCTGCTCTATGAAAGGGAATGTTCAGTTCTGTGACTTGAATGCAAACATCACAAAGAAGTTCCTGAGAATGCTTCTCTCTAGGTTTTATATGTAATCCCGTTTCCAACAAAATCCTCAAAGCTATCCAAATATCCACTTTCAGAATCCACAAAAAGAGTGTTTCAAAACTGCTCTGTAAAAAGAAAGGTTCATCTCTGTTAGTTGAATACACACATCACAAACAAATTTCTGAGAATGCTTCTGTCTAGTTTTTATGGGAAGATATTTCCTTTTTCAACATAGGCCTCAAAGCGCTCCCAATGTCCACTTCCAGGTAGTGCAGAAAGAGTGTTTCAAACCTGCTCTATAAAAGGGAATATTCAACTCTGTGACTTGAATGCAAACATCACAAAGCACTTTCTGAGAATGCTTCCGTCTAGATTTTATATGAAGATATTCCCGTTTCCAAGGAAATCTTCCTAGCTATCTAAATATCAACTTGCAGATTCTACTAAAGGAATGTTTCCAAAATGCTGTATCCACACAAAGGTTCAACTCTGTTAATTGAGGACATACAGCACAAAGAAGTTTCTGAGAATGCTTCTGTCTAGTTTTTACTTGAAGATATTTCCTTTCTCACCATAGGCCTGAAAGCGCTTGAAACGTCAGCTTGCAGATACTACAGAAAGAGTGTTTCAAACCTGCTCTATGAAAGGGAATGTTCAGTTCTGTGACTTGAATGCAAACATCACAAAGCAGTTCCTGAGAATGCTTCTCCCTAGATTTTATATGTAATCCCGTTTCCAACGAAATCCTCAAAGCTATCCAAATATCCACTTTCAGATTCCACAAAAAGAGTGTTTCAAAACTGCTCTGTAAAAAGAAAAGTTCATCTCTGTTAGTTGAATACACACATCACAAACAAGTTTCTGAGAATGCTTCTGTCTAGTTTTTATGGGAAGATATTTCCTTTTTCAACATAGGCCTCAAAGCGCTCCAAATGTCCACTTCCAGGTAGTGCACAGACTGTTTCAAACCTGCTCTATGAAAGGAAGTGTTCAACTCCATGAGTTGAATGCAAACATCACAGAGAAGTTTCTGAGAATGCTTCCGTCTAGATTTTATATGAAGATATTCCCGTTTGAAGGAAATCTTCCTAGCTATCTAAATATCAACTTGCAGATTCTACTAAAGGTATGTTTCCAAAATGCTGTATCCACACAAAGGTTCAACTCTGTTAATTGAGGACATACAGCACAAAGAAGTTTCTGAGAATGCTTCTGTCTATATTTTATATGAAGATATCCCGTTTCCAAAGAAATCCTCAAAGGTATCCAAATATCTACTTCCAGATTCTACAACAAGACTGTTTCAAAACGGCTCTGTCAAAAGTAAGGTTCAACTGTGTTACTTGAGTACACACATCACAAGGAAGTTTCTGAGAATGCTTCCTGTCTGGTTTTTAGGAGAAGATATTTCCTTTTTCAACATAGGCCTCAAAGCGCTGCAAATGTCCACTTCCAAATATTACAAAAAGAGTGTTTCAAACCTGCTCTATGAAGGGAAGTGTTCAACTCTATGAGTTGAATGCAAACATCACAGAGAAGTTTCTGAGAATGCTTCTGTCTTGATTTTATATGAAGATATTCCTGTTTCCAACGAAACCTTCAAAGCTATCCAAATATCCACTTGCAGATTCTACAAAAAGAGTGTTTCCAAAATGTTGTATCAAAAGAAAGGTTCAACTCTGTTAGTTGAGGACACACATCGCAAATAAGTTTCTGAGAATGCTTCTGTCTAGTTTTTATTTGAAGATATTTCCTTTCTTACCATAGGCCTGAAAGCGCTTGAAATGTCCGTTTGCAGATACTACAGAAAGAGTGTTTCAAACATGCTCTATGAAAGGGAATGTTCAGTTCTGTGACGTGAATGCAAACATCACAAAGAAGTTCCTGAGAATGCTTCTGTCTAGATTTTATATGAAGATATCCCGTGTCCAACGAAATCCTCAAAGGTATCAAAATATCAACTTGCAGATTCTACAAAAAGAGTGCTTCAAAACTGCTCTGTCAAAAGGAAGGTTCAACTCTGTTACTTGAGTACACACATCACAAGGAAGTTTCTGAGAATGCTTCTGTCTGGTTTTTAGGAGAAGATATTTCCTTTTTCAACATAGGCCTCAAAGCGCTGCAAATGTCCACTTCCAAATATTACAAAAAGAGTGTTTCAAACCTGCTGTATGAAGGGAAGTGTTCAACTCTATGAGTTGAATGCAAACATCACAGAGAAGTTTCTGAGAATGCTTCTGTCTTGATTTTATATGAAGATATTCCCGTTTCCAACGAAATCTTCAAAGCTATCCAAATATCCACTTGCAGATTCTACAAAAAGAGTGTTTCCAAAATGTTGTATCAAAATAAAGGTTCAACTCTGTTAGTTGAGGACACACATCGCAAATAAGTTTCTGAGAATGCTTCTGTCTAGTTTTTATTTGAAGATATTTCCTTTCTCACCACAGGCCTGAAAGCGCTTAAAACGTCCGCTTGCAGATACTACAGAAAGAGTGTTTCAAACCTGCTCTATGAAAGGGAATGTTCAGTTCTGTGACTTGAATGCAAACATCACAAAGAAGTTCCTGAGAATGCTTCTGTCTAGATTTTATATGAAGATATCCCGTGTCCAACGAAATCCTCAAAGGTATCAAAATATCCACTTGCAGATTCTACAAAAAGAGTGCTTCAAAACTGCTCTGTCAAAAGGAAGGTTCAACTCTGTTACTTGAGTACACACATCACAAGGAAGTTTCTGAGAATGCTTCTGTCTGGTTTTTAGGAGAAGATATTTCCTTTTTCATCATAGGCCTCAAAGCGCTGCAAATGTCCACTTCCAAATATTAGAAAAAGAGTGTTTCAAACCTGCTGTATGAAGGGAAGTGTTCAACTCTATGAGTTGAATGCAAACATCACAGAGAAGTTTCTGAGAATGCTTCTGTCTTGATTTTATATGAAGATATTCCCGTTTCCAACGAAACCTTCAAAGCTATTCAAATATCCACTTGCAGATTCTACAAAAAGAGTGTTTCCAAAATGTTGTATCAAAAGAAAGGTTCAACTCTGTTAGTTGAGGACACACATCGCAAATAAGTTTCTGAGAATGCTTCTGTCTAGTTTTTATTTGAAGATATTTCCTTTCTCACCATAGGCCTGAAAGCGTTTGAAATGTCCGTTTGCAGATACTACAGAAAGAGTGTTTCAAACATGCTCTATGAAAGGGAATGTTCAGTTCTGTGACGTGAATGCAAACATCACAAAGAAGTTCCTGAGAATGCTTCTCTCTAGATTTTATATGTAATCCCGTTTCCAACGAAATCCTCAAAGCTATCCAAATATCCACTTTCAGATTCCACAAAAAGAGTGTTTCAAAACTGCTCTGTAAAAAGAAAGGTTCATCTCTGTTAGTTGAATACACACATCACAAACAAGTTTCTGAGAATGCTTCTGTCTAGTTTTTATGGGAAGATATTTCCTTTTTCAACATAGGCCTCAAAGCGCTCCAAACGTCCACTTCCGGGTAGTGCAGAAAGAGTGTCTCAAACCTGGTATATAACAGGGAACATTCTACTCTGTGACTTGAATGAAAACATCACAAAGCAGTTTCTGAGAATGCTTCCGTCTAGATTTTATATGAAGATATTCCCGTTTCCAACGAAACCTTCAAAGCTATCCGAATATCCACCTGCAGATTCTACAAAAAGAGTGTTTCCAAAATGCCGTATCAAAACAAAGGTTCAACTCTGTTAGTTGAGAACACACATGGCAAATAAGTTTCTGAGAATGCTTCTGTCTAGTTTTTACTTGAAGATATTTCCTTTCTCACCATAGGCCTGAAAGCGCTTGAAACGTCAGCTTGCAGATACTACAGAAAGAGTGTTTCAAACCTGCTCTATGAAAGGGAATGTTCAGTTCTGTGACTTGAATGCAAACATCACAAAGAAGTTCCTGAGAATGCTCTCTAGATTTTATATGTAATCCCGTTTCCAACGAAATCCTCAAAGCTATCCAAATATCCACTTTCAGATTCCACAAAAAGAGTGTTTCAAAACTGCTCTGTAAAAAGAAAGGTTCATCTCTGTTAGTTGAATACACACATCACAAACAAGTTTCTGAGAATGCTTCTGTCTAGTTTTTATGGGAAGATATTTCGTTTTTCAACATAGGCCTCAAAGCGCTCCAAACGTCCACTTCCGGGTAGTGCAGAAAGAGTGTCTCAAACCTGGTATATAACAGGGAACATTCTACTCTGTGACTTGAATGAAAACATCACAAAGCAGTTTCTGAGAATGCTTCCGTCTAGATTTTATATGAAGATATTCCCGTTTCCAACGAAACCTTCAAAGCTATCGGAATATCCACCTGCAGATTCTACAAAAAGAGTGTTTCCAAAATGCCGTATCAAAACAAAGGTTCAACTCTGTTAGTTGAGAACACACATGGCAAATAAGTTTCTGAGAATGCTTCTGTCTAGTTTTTACTTGAAGATATTTCCTTTCTCACCATAGGCCTGAAAGCGCTTGAAACGTCAGCTTGCAGATACTACAGAAAGAGTGTTTCAAACCTGCTCTATGAAAGGGAATGTTCAGTCCTGTGACTTGAAGGCAAACATCACAAAGAAGTTCCTGAGAATGCTTCTGTCTAGATTTTATATGAAGATATCCCGTGTCCAACGAAATCCTCAAAGGTATCAAAATATCCACTTGCAGATTCTACAAAAAGAGTGCTTCAAAACTGCTCCGTCAAAAGGAAGGTTCAACTCTGTTACTTGAGTACACACATCACCAGGAAGTTTCTGAGAATGCTTCTGTCTGGTTTTTAGGAGAAGATATTTCCTTTTTCAACATAGGCCTCAAAGCGCTGCAAATGTCCACTTCCAAATATTAGAAAAAGAGTGTTTCAAACCTGCTGTATGAAGGGAAGTGTTCAACTCTATGAGTTGAATGCAAACATCACAGAGAAGTTTCTGAGAATGCTGCTGTCTTGATTTTATATGAAGATATTCCCGTTTCCAACGAAACCTTCAAAGCTATCCAAATATCCACTTGCAGATTCTACAAAAAGAGTGTTTCCAAAATGTTGTATCAAAAGAAAGGTTCAACTCTGTTAGTTGAGGACACACATCGCAAATAAGTTTCTGAGAATGCTTCTGTCTAGTTTTTATTTGAAGATATTTCCTTTCTCACCACAGGCCTGAAAGCGCTTAAAACGTCCGCTTGCAGATACTACAGAAAGAGTGTTTCAAACCTGCTCTATGAAAGGGAATGTTCAGTTCTGTGACTTGAATGCAAACATCACAAAGAAGTTCCTGAGAATGCTTCTCTCTAGGTTTTATATGTAATCCCGTTTCCAACGAAATCCTCAAAGCTATCCAAATAGCCACTTTCAGATTCCACAAAAAGAGTGTTTCAAAACTGCTCTGTAAAAAGAAAGGTTCATCTCTGTTAGTTGAATACACACATCACAAACAAGTTTCTGAGAATGCTTCTGTCTGGTTTTTAGGAGAAGATATTTCCTTTTTCAACATAGGCCTCAAAGCGCTGCAAATGTCCACTTCCAAATATTAGAAAAAGAGTGTTTCAAACCTGCTGTATGAAGGGAAGTGTTCAACTCTATGAGTTGAATGCAAACATCACAGAGAAGTTTCTGAGAATGCATCTGTCTTGATTTCATATGAAGATATTCCCGTTTCCAACGAAACCTTCAAAGCTATCCAAATATCCACTTGCAGATTCTACAAAAAGAGTGTTTCCAAAATGTTGTATCAAAAGAAAGGTTCAACTCTGTTAGTTGAGGACACACATCGCAAATAAGTTTCTGAGAATGCTTCTGTCTAGTTTTTATTTGAAGATATTTCCTTTCTCACCATAGGCCTGAAAGCGTTTGAAATGTCCGTTTGCAGATACTACAGAAAGAGTGTTTCAAACATGCTCTATGAAAGGGAATGTTCAGTTCTGTGACGTGAATGCAAACATCACAAAGAAGTTCCTGAGAATGCTTCTCTCTAGATTTTATATGTAATCCCGTTTCCAACGAAATCCTCAAAGCTATCCTAATATCCTCTTTCAGATTCCACAAAAAGAGTGTTTCAAAACTGGTCTGTAAAAAGAAAGGTTCATCTCTGTTAGTTGAATACACACATCACAAACAAGTTTCTGAGAATGCTTCTGTCTAGTTTTTATGGGAAGATATTTCCTTTTTCATCATAGGCCTCAAAGCGCTGCAAATGTCCACTTCCAGGTAGTGCAGAAAGAGTGTCTGAAACCTGGTATATAACAGGGAAGATTCTACTCTGTGACTTGAATGAAAACATCACAAAGCAGTTTGCTGAGAATGCTTCCGTCAAGATTTTATATGAAGATATTCCCGTTTCCAACGAAACCTTCAAAGCTATCCGAATATCCACCTGCAGATTCTACAAAAAGAGTGTTTCCAAAATGCCGTATCAAAACAAAGGTTCAACTCTGTTAGTTGAGAACACACATGGCAAATAAGTTTCTGAGAATGCTTCTGTCTAGTTTTTACTTGAAGATATTTCCTTTCTCACCATAGGCCTGAAAGCGCTTGAAACGTCAGCTTGCAGATACTACAGAAAGAGTGTTTCAAACCTGCTCTATGAAAGGGAATGTTCAGTCCTGTGACTTGAAGGCAAACATCACAAAGAAGTTCCTGAGAATGCTTCTCTCTAGGTTTTATATGTAATCCCGTTTCCAACGAAATCCTCAAAGCTATCCAAATATCCACTTTCAGATTCCACAAAAAGAGTGTTTCAAAACTGCTCTGTAAAAAGAAAGGTTCATCTCTGTTAGTTGAATACACACATCACAAACAAGTTTCTGAGAATGCTTCTGTCTAGTTTTTATGGGAAGATATTTCCTTTTTCAACATAGGCCTCAAAGCGCTCCAAATGTCCACTTCCAGGTAGTGCAGAAAGAGTGTTTCAAACCTGCTCTATAAAAGGGAATATTCAACTCTGTGACTTGAATGCAAACATCACAAAGCACTTTCTGAGAATGCTTCTGTGTTGATTTTATATGAAGATATTCCCGTTTCCAACGAAAACTTCAAAGCTATCCAAATATCCACCTGCAGATCCTACAAAAAGAGTGTTTCCAAAATGCTGTATCAAAACAAATGTTCAACTCTGTTAGTTGAGAACACACATCGCAAATAAGTTTCTGAGAATGCTTCTGTCTAGTTTTTATTTGAAGATATTTCCTTTCTCACCACAGGCCTGAAAGCGCTTAAAACGTCCGCTTGCAGATACTACAGAAAGAGTGTTTCAAACCTGCTCTATGAAAGGGAATGTTCAGTTCTGTGACTTGAATGCAAACATCACAAAGAAGTTCTTGAGAATGCTTCTCTCTAGATTTTATATGTAATCCCGTTTCCAAAGAAATCCGCAAAGCTATCCAAATATCCACTTTCAGATTCCACAAAAAGAGTGTTTCAAAACTGCTCTGTAAAAAGAAAGGTTCATCTCTGTTAGTTGAATACACACATCACAAACAAGTTTCTGAGAATGCTTCTGTCTAGTTTTTATGGGAAGATATTACCTTTTTCATCATAGGCCTCAAAGCGCTGCAAATGTCCACTTCCAAATATTACAAAAAGAGTGTTTCAAACCTGCTTTATGAAGGGAAGTGTTCAACTCTATGAGTTGAATGCAAACATCACAGAGAAGTTTCTGAGAATGCTTCTGTCTTGATTTCATATGAAGATATTCCCGTTTCCAACGAAACCTTCAAAGCTATCCAAATATCCACTTGCAGATTCTACAAAAAGAGTGTTTCCAAAATGTTGTATCAAAAGAAAGGTTCAACTCTGTTAGTTGAGGACACACATCGCAAATAAGTTTCTGAGAATGCTTCTGTCTAGTTTTTATTTGAAGATATTTCCTTTCTCACCACAGGCCTGAAAGCGCTTAAAACGTCCGCTTGCAGATACTACAGAAAGAGTGTTTCAAACCTGCTCTATGAAAGGGAATGTTCAGTTCTGTGACTTGAATGCAAACATCACAAAGAAGTTCCTGAGAATGCTTCTCCCTAGATTTTATATGTAATCCCGTTTCCAACGAAATCCGCAAAGCTATCCAAATATCCACTTTCAGATTCCACAAAAAGAGTGTTTCAAAACTGCTCTGTAAAAAGAAAGGTTCATCTCTGTTAGTTGAATACACACATCACAAACAAGTTTCTGAGAATGCTTCTGTCTAGTTTTTATGGGAAGATATTACCTTTTTCATCATAGGCCTCAAAGCGCTGCAAATGTCCACTTCCAAATATTACAAAAAGAGTGTTTCAAACCTGCTGTATGAAGGGAAGTGTTCAACTCTATGAGTTGAATGCAAACATCACAGAGAAGTTTCTGAGAATGCTTCTGTCTTGATTTTATATGAAGATATTCCCGTTTCCAACGAAATCTTCAAAGCTATCCAAATATCCACTTGCAGATTCCACAAAAAGAGTGTTTCCAAAATGTTGTATCAAAAGAAAGGTTCAACTCTGTTAGTTGAGGACACACATCGCTAATAAGTTTCTGAGAATGCTTCTGTCTAGTTTTTAGTTGAAGATATTTCCTTTCTCACCATAGGCCTGAAAGCGTTTGAAATGTCCGTTTGCAGATACTACAGAAAGAGTGTTTCAAACATGCTCTATGAAAGGGAATGTTCAGTTCTGTGACGTGAATGCAAACATCACAAAGAAGTTCCTGAGAATGCTTCTCTCTAGGTTTTATATGTAATCCCGTTTCCAACGAAATCCTCAAAGCTATCCAAATATCCACTTTCAGATTCCACAAAAAGAGTGTTTCAAAACTGCTCTGTAAAAAGAAAGGTTCATCTCTGTTAGTTGAATACACACATCACAAACAAGTTTCTGAGAATGCTTCTGTCTAGTTTTTATGGGAAGATATTTCCTTTTTCATCATAGGCCTCAAAGCGCTGCAAATGTCCACTTCCAGGTAGTGCAGAAAGAGTGTCTGAAACCTGGTATATAACAGGGAAGATTCTACTCTGTGACTTGAATGAAAACATCACAAAGCAGTTTCTGAGAATGCTTCCGTCTAGATTTTATATGAAGATATTCCCGTTTCCAACGAAACCTTCAAAGCTATCCGAATATCCACCTGCAGATTCTACAAAAAGAGTGTTTCCAAAATGCCATATCAAAACAAAGGTTCAACTCTGTTAGTTGAGAACACACATCGCAAATAAGTTTCTGAGAATGCTTCTGTCTAGTTTTTACTTGAAGATATTTCCTTTCTCACCATAGGCCTGAAAGCGCTTGAAACGTCAGCTTGCAGATACTACAGAAAGAGTGTTTCAAACCTGCTCTATGAAAGGGAATGTTCAGTTCTGTGACTTGAATGAAAACATCACAAAGAAGTTCCTGAGAATGCTTCTCTCTAGGTTTTATATGTAATCCCGTTTCCAACGAAATCCTCAAAGCTATCCAAATATCCACTTTCAGATTCCACAAAAAGAGTGTTTCAAAACTGCTCTGTAAAAAGAAAGGTTCATCTCTGTTAGTTGAATACACACATCACAAACAAGTTTCTGAGAATGCTTCTGTCTAGTTTTTATGGGAAGATATTTCCTTTTTCACCATAGGCCTCAAAGCGCTCCAAATGTCCACTTCCAGGTAGTGCAGAAAGAGTGTTTCAAACCTGCTCTATAAAAGGGAATATTCAACTCTGTGACTTGAATGCAAACATCACAAAGCACTTTCTGAGAATGCTTCCGTCTAGATTTTATATGAAGATATTCCCGTTTCCAAGGAAATCTTCCTAGCTATCTAAATATCAACTTGCAGATTCTACTAAAGGAATGTTTCCAAAATGCTGTATCCACACAAAGGTTCAACTCTGTTAATTGAGGACATACAGCACAAAGAAGTTTCTGAGAATGCTTCTGTCTAGATTTTATATGAAGATATCCCGTGTCCAACGAAATCCTCAAAGGTATCAAAATATCCACTTGCAGATTCTACAAAAAGAGTGCTTCAAAACTGCTCTGTCAAAAGGAAGGTTCAACTCTGTTACTTGAGTACACACATCACAAGGAAGTTTCTGAGAATGCTTCTGTCTGGTTTTTAGGAGAAGATATTTCCTTTTTCAACATAGGCCTCAAAGCGCTGCAAATGTCCACTTCCAAATATTACAAAAAGAGTGTTTCAAACCTGCTGTATGAAGGGAAGTGTTCAACTCTATGAGTTGAATGCAAACATCACAGAGAAGTTTCTGAGAATGCTTCTGTCTTGATTTCATATGAAGATATTCCCGTTGCCAACGAAACCTTCAAAGCTATCCAAATATCCACTTGCAGATTCTACAAAAAGAGTGTTTCCAAAATGTTGTATCAAAAGAAAGGTTCAACTCTGTTAGTTGAGGACACACATCGCAAATAAGTTTCTGAGAATGCTTCTGTCTAGTTTTTATTTGAAGATATTTCCTTTCTCACCACAGGCCTGAAAGCGCTTAAAACGTCCGCTTGCAGATACTACAGAAAGAGTGTTTCAAACCTGCTCTATGAAAGGGAATGTTCAGTTCTGTGACTTGAATGCAAACATCACAAAGAAGTTCCTGAGAATGCTTCTCTCTAGATTTTATATGTAATCCCGTTTCCAAAGAAATCCGCAAAGCTATCCAAATATCCACTTTCAGATTCCACAAAAAGAGTGTTTCAAAACTGCTCTGTAAAAAGAAAGGTTCATCTCTGTTAGTTGAATACACACATCACAAACAAGTTTCTGAGAATGCTTCTGTCTAGTTTTTATGGGAAGATATTACCTTTTTCATCATAGGCCTCAAAGCGCTGCAAATGTCCACTTCCAAATATTACAAAAAGAGTGTTTCAAACCTGCTGTATGAAGGGAAGTGTTCAACTCTATGAGTTGAATGCAAACATCACAGAGAAGTTTCTGAGAATGCTTCTGTCTTGATTTTATATGAAGATATTCCCGTTTCCAACGAAACCTTCAAAGCTATCCAAATATCCACTTGCAGATTCTACAAAAAGAGTGTTTCCAAAATGTTGTATCAAAAGAAAGGTTCAACTCTGTTAGTTGAGGACACACATCGCAAATAAGTTTCTGAGAATGCTTCCTGTCTAGTTTTTATTTGAAGATATTTCCTTTCTTACCATAGTCCTGAAAGCGCTTGAAATGTCCGTTTGCAGATACTACAGAAAGAGTGTTTCAAACATGCTCTATGAAAGGGAATGTTCAGTTCTGTGACTTGAATGCAAACATCACAAAGAAGTTCCTGAGAATGCTTCTCTCTAGATTTTATATGTAATCCCGTTTCCAACGAAATCCTCAAAGCTATCCAAATATCCACTTTCAGATTCCACAAAAAGAGTGTTTCAAAACTGCTCTGTAAAAAGAAAGGTTCATCTCTGTTAGTGGAATACACACATCACAAACAAGTTTCTGAGAATGCTTCTGTCTAGTTTTTATGGGAAGATATTTCCTTTATCATCATAGGCCTCAAAGCGCTCCAAATGTCCACTTCCAGATAGTGCATAAAGAGTGTCTCAAACCTGGTGTATAAAAGCGAAGATTCTACTCTGTGACTTGAATGAAAACATCACAAAGCAGTTTCTGAGAATGCTTCTGTCTTGATTTTATATGAAGATATTCCCGTTTCCAAAGAAACCTTCAAAGCTATCCAAATATCCACCTGCAGATCCTACAAAAAGAGTGTTTCCAAAATGCTGTATCAAAACAAAGGTTGAACTCTGTTAGCTGAGAACACACATCGCAAATAAGTTTCTGAGAATGCTTCTGTCTAGTTTTTATTTGAAGATATTTCCTTTTTCACCACAGGCCTGAAAGCGCTTGAAACGTCCACTTGCAGATACTACAGAAAGAGTGTTTCAAACCTGCTCTATGAAAGGGAATGTTCAGTTCTGTGACTTGAATGCAAACATCACAAAGAAGTTCCTGAGAATGCTTCTCTCTAGATTTTATATGTAATCCCGTTTCCAACGAAATCCTCAAAGCTATCCAAATATCCACTTTCAGATTCCACAAAAAGAGTGTTTCAAAACTGCTCTGTAAAAAGAAAGGTTCATCTCTGTTAGTTGAATACACACATCACAAACAAGTTTCTGAGAATGCTTCTGTCTAGTTTTTATGGGAAGATATTTCCTTTTTCAACATAGGCCTCAAAGCGCTCCAAACGTCCACTTCCAGGTTGTGCAGAAAGAGTGTCTCAAACCTGGTATATAACAGGGAACATTCTACTCTGTGACTTGAATGAAAACATCACAAAGCAGTTTCTGAGAATGCTTCCGTCTAGATTTTATATGAAGATATTCCCGTTTCCAACGAAACCTTCAAAGCTATCCGAATATCCACCTGCAGATTCTACAAAAAGAGTGTTTCCAAAATGCCGTATCAAAACAAAGGTTCAACTCTGTTAGTTGAGAACACACATGGCAAATAAGTTTCTGAGAATGCTTCTGTCTAGTTTTTACTTGAAGATATTTCCTTTCTCACCATAGGCCTGAAAGCGCTTGAAACGTCAGCTTGCAGATACTACAGAAAGAGTGTTTCAAACCTGCTCTATGAAAGGGAATGTTCAGTTCTGTGACTTGAATGCAAACATCACAAAGAAGTTCCTGAGAATGCTTCTCTCTAGGTTTTATATGTAATCCCGTTTCCAACGAAATCCTCAAAGCTATCCAAATATCCACTTTCAGATTCCACAAAAAGAGTGTTTCAAAACTGCTCTGTAAAAAGAAAGGTTCATCTCTGTTAGTTGAATACACACATCACAAACAAGTTTCTGAGAATGCTTCTGTCTAGTTTTTATGGGAAGATATTTCCTTTTTCATCATAGGCCAAAAAGCGCTGCAAATGTCCACTTCCAAATATTACAAAAAGAGTGTTTCAAACCTGCTGTATGAAGGGAAGTGTTCAACTCTATGAGTTGAATGCAAACATCACAGGGAAGTTTCTGAGAATGCTTCTGTCTTGATTTTATATGAAGATATTCCCGTTTCCAACGAAACCTTCAAAGCTATTCAAATATCCACTTGCAGATTCTACAAAAAGAGTGTTTCCAAAATGGTGTATCAAAAGAAAGGTTCAACTCTGTTAGTTGAGGACACACATCGCAAATAAGTTTCTGAGAATGCTTCTGTCTAGTTTTTACTTGAAGATATTTCCTTTCTCACCATAGGCCTGAAAGCGCTTGAAACGTCAGCTTGCAGATACTACAGAAAGAGTGTTTCAAACCTGCTCTATGAAAGGGAATGTTCAGTTCTGTGACTTGAATGCAAACATCACAAAGAAGTTCCAGAGAATGCTTCTCCCTAGATTTTATATGTAATCCCGTTTCCAACGAAATCCGCAAAGCTATCCAAATATCCACTTTCAGATTCCACAAAAACAGTGTTTCAAAACTGCTCTGTAAAAAGAAAGGTTCATCTCTGTTAGTTGAATACACACATCACAAACAAGTTTCTGAGAATGCTTCTGTCTAGTTTTTATGGGAAGATATTACCTTTTTCATCATAGGCCTCAAAGCGCTGCAAATGTCCACTTCCAAATATTACAAAAAGAGTGTTTCAAACCTGCTGTATGAAGGGAAGTGTTCAACTCTATGAGTTGAATGCAAACATCACAGAGAAGTTTCTGAGAATGCTTCCGTCTAGATTTTATATGAAGATATTCCCGTTTCCAAGGAAATCTTCCTAGCTATCTAAATATCAACTTGTAGATTCTACTAAAGGAATGTTTCCAAAATGCTGTATCGAAACAAAGGTTCAACTCTGTTAATTGAGGACATACAGCACAAAGAAGTTTCTGAGAATGCTTCTGTCTAGTTTTTACTTGAAGATATTTCCTTTCTCACCATAGGCCTGAAAGCGCTTGAAACGTCCGCTTGCAGATACTACAGAAAGAGTGTTTCAAACATGCTCTATGAAAGGGAATGTTCAGTTCTGTGACTTGAATGCAAACATCACAAAGAAGTTCCTGAGAATGCTTCTCTCTAGATTTTATATGTAATCCCGTTTCCAACGAAATCCTCAAAGCCATCCAAATATCCACTTTCAGATTCCACAAAAAGAGTGTTTCAAAACTGCTCTGTAAAAAGAAAGGTTCATCTCTGTTAGTTGAATACACACATCACAAACAAGTTTCTGAGAATGCTTCTGTCTAGTTTTTATGGGAAGATATTTCCTTTTTCAACATAGGCCTCAAAGCGCTCCAAACGTCCACTTCCGGGTAGTGCAGAAAGAGTGTCTCAAACCTGGTATATAACAGGGAACATTCTACTCTGTGACTTGAATGAAAACATCACAAAGCAGTTTCTGAGAATGCTTCCGTCTAGATTTTATATGAAGATATTCCCGTTTCCAACGAAACCTTCAAAGCTATCCGAATATCCACCTGCAGATTCTACAAAAAGAGTGTTTCCAAAATGCCGTATCAAAACAAAGGTTCAACTCTGTTAGTTGAGAACACACATGGCAAATAAGTTTCTGAGAATGCTTCTGTCTAGTTTTTACTTGAAGATATTTCCTTTCTCACCATAGGCCTGAAAACGCATGAAACGTCAGCTTGCAGATACTACAGAAAGAGTGTTTCAAACCTGCTCTATGAAAGGGAACGTTCAGTCCTGTGACTTGAATGCAAACATCACAAAAAAGTTCCTGAGAATGCTTCTCTCTAGGTTTTATATGTAATCCCGTTTCCAACGAAATCCTCAAAGCTATCCAAATATCCACTTTCAGATTCCACAAAAAGAGTGTTTCAAAACTGCTCTGTAAAAAGAAAGGTTCATCTCTGTTAGTTGAATACACACATCACAAACAAGTTTCTGAGAATGCTTCTGTCTAGTTTTTATGGGAAGATATTTCCTTTTTCAACATAGGCCTCAAAGCCCTCCAAATGTCCACTTCCAGGTAGTGCAGAAAGAGTGTTTCAAACCTGCTCTATAAAAGGGAATATTCAACTCTGTGACTTGAATGCAAACATCACAAAGCACTTTCTGAGAATGCTTCCGTCTAGATTTTATATGAAGATATTCCCGTTTCCAAGGAAATCTTCCTAGCTATCTAAATATCAACTTGCAGATTCTACTAAAGGAATGTTTCCAAAATGCTGTATCCACACAAAGGTTCAACTCTGTTAATTGAGGACATACAGCACAAAGAAGTTTCTGAGAATGCTTCTGTCTAGATTTTATATGAAGATATCCCGTGTCCAACGAAATCCTCAAAGGTATCAAAATATCCACTTGCAGATTCTACAAAAAGAGTGCTTCAAAACTGCTCTGTCAAAAGGAAGGTTCAACTCTGTTACTTGAGTACACACATCACAAGGAAGTTTCTGAGAATGCTTCTGTCTGGTTTTTAGGAGAAGATATTTCCTTTTTCAACATAGGCCTCAAAGCGCTGCAAATGTCCACTTCCAAATATTAGAAAAAGAGTGTTTCAAACCTGCTGTATGAAGGGAAGTGTTCAACTCTATGAGTTGAATGCAAACATCACAGAGAAGTTTCTGAGAATGCTTCTGTCTTGATTTCATATGAAGATATTCCCGTTTCCAACGAAACCTTCAAAGCTATCCAAATATCCACTTGCAGATTCTACAAAAAGAGTGTTTCCAAAATGTTGTATCAAAAGAAAGGTTCAACTCTGTTAGTTGAGGACACACATCGCAAATAAGTTTCTGAGAATGCTTCTGTCTAGTTTTTATTTGAAGATATTTCCTTTCTCACCACAGGCCTGAAAGCGCTTAAAACGTCCGCTTGCAGATACTACAGAAAGAGTGTTTCAAACCTGCTCTATGAAAGGGAATGTTCAGTTCTGTGACTTGAATGCAAACATCACAAAGAAGTTCCTGAGAATGCTCTTCTCCCTAGGATTTTATATGTAATCCCGTTTCCAACGAAATCCGCAAAGCTATCCAAATATCCACTTTCAGATTCCACAAAAAGAGTGTTTCAAAACTGCTCTGTAAAAAGAAAGGTTCATCTCTGTTAGTTGAATACACACATCACAAACAAGTTTCTGAGAATGCTTCTGTCTAGTTTTTATGGGAAGATATTTCCTTTTTCATCATAGGCCTCAAAGCGCTGCAAATGTCCACTTCCAAATATTACAAAAAGAGTGTTTCAAACCTGCTGTATGAAGGGAAGTGTTCAACTCTATGAGTTGAATGCAAACATCACAGAGAAGTTTCTGAGAATGCTTCTGTCTTGATTTTATATGAAGATATTCCCGTTTCCAACGAAACCTTCAAAGCTATTCAAATATCCACTTGCAGATTCTACAAAAAGAGTGTTTCCAAAATGTTGTATCAAAAGAAAGGTTCAACTCTGTTAGTTGAGGACACACATCGCAAATAAGTTTCTGAGAATGCTTCTGTCTAGTTTTTACTTGAAGATATTTCCTTTCTCACCAAAGGCCTGAAAGCGTTTGAAATGTCCGTTTGCAGATACTACAGAAAGAGTGTTTCAAACATGCTCTATGAAAGGGAATGTTCAGTTCTGTGACGTGAATGCAAACATCACAAAGAAGTTCCTGAGAATGCTTCTCTCTAGATTTTATATGTAATCCCGTTTCCAACGAAATCCTCAAAGCTATCCAAATATCCACTTTCAGATTCCACAAAAAGAGTGTTTCAAAACTGCTCTGTAAAAAGAAAGGTTCATCTCTGTTAGTTGAATACACACATCACAAACAAGTTTCTGAGAATGCTTCTGTCTAGTTTTTATGGGAAGATATTTCCTTTTTCAACATAGGCCTCAAAGCGCTCCAAACGTCCACTTCCAGGTAGTGCAGAAAGAGTGTCTCAAACCTGGTATATAACAGGGAACATTCTACTCTGTGACTTGAATGAAAACATCACAAAGCAGTTTCTGAGAATGCTTCCGTCTAGATTTTATATGAAGATATTCCCGTTTCCAACGAAACCTTCAAAGCTATCCGAATATCCACCTGCAGATTCTACAAAAAGAGTGTTTCCAAAATGCCATATCAAAACAAAGGTTCAACTCTGTTAGTTGAGAACACACATCGCAAATAAGTTTCTGAGAATGCTTCCGTCTAGTTTTTATTTGAAGATATTTCCTTTTTCTCCACAGGCCTGAAAGCGCTTGAAACGTCCGCTTGCAGATACTACTGAAAGAGTGTTTCAAACCTGCTCTATGAAAGGGAATGTTCAGTTCTGTGACTTGAATGCAAACATCACAAAGAAGTTCCTGAGAATGCTTCTGTCTAGATTTTATATGACGATATCCCGTGTCCAACGAAATCCTCAAAGGTATCAAAATATCCACTTGCAGATTCTACAAAAAGAGTGCTTCAAAACTGCTCTGTCAAAAGGAAGGTTCAACTCTGTTACTTGAGTACACACATCACAAGGAAGTTTCTGAGAATGCTTCTGTCTGGTTTTTAGGAGAAGATATTTCCTTTTTCAACATAGGCCTCAAAGCGCTGCAAATGTCCACTTCCAAATATTAGAAAAAGAGTGTTTCAAACCTGCTGTATGAAGGGAAGTGTTCAACTCTATGAGTTGAATGCAAACATCACAGAGAAGTTTCTGAGAATGCTTCTGTCTTGATTTTATATGAAGATATTCCCGTTTCCAACGAAACCTTCAAAGCTATCCAAATATCCACTTGCAGATTCTACAAAAAGAGTGTTTCCAAAATGCTGTATCAAAAGAAAGGTTCAACTCTTTTAGTTGAGAACACACATCGCTAATAAGTTTCTGAGAATGCTTCTGTCTAGTTTTTATTTGAAGATATTTCCTTTCTCACCACAGGCCTGAAAGCGCTTAAAACGTCCGCTTGCAGATACTACAGAAAGAGTGTTTCAAACCTGCTCTATGAAAGGGAATGTTCAGTTCTGTGACTTGAATGCAAACATCACAAAGAAGTTCCTGAGAATGCTTCTGTCTAGATTTTATATGAAGATATACCGTTTCCAAAGAAATCCTCAAAGGTATCCAAATATCTACTTCCAGATTCTACAAAAAGACTGTTTCAAAACGGCTCTGTCCAAAGTAAGGTTCAACTCTGTTACTTGAGTACACACATCACAAGGAAGTTTCTGAGAATGCTTCTGTCTGGTTTTTAGGAGAAGATATTTCCTTTTTCAACATAGGCCTCAAAGCGCTGCAAATGTCCACTTCCAAATATTACAAAAAGAGTGTTTCAAACCTGCTGTATGAAGGGAAGTGTTCAACTCTATGAGTTGAATGCAAACATCACAGAGAAGTTTCTGAGAATGCTTCTGTCTTGATTTTATATGAAGATATTCCCGTTTCCAACGAAACCTTCAAAGCTATCCAAATATCCACTTGCAGATTCTACAAAAAGAGTGTTTCCAAAATGTTGTATCAAAACAAAGGTTCAACTCTGTTAGTTGAGGACACACATCGCAAATAAGTTTCTGAGAATGCTTCTGTCTAGTTTTTATTTGAAGATATTTCCTTTCTTACCATAGGCCTGAAAGCACTTGAAATGTCCGTTTGCAGATACTACAGAAAGAGTGTTTCAAACATGCTCTATGAAAGGGAATGTTCAGTTCTGTGACGTGAATGCAAACATCACAAAGAAGTTCCTGAGAATGCTTCTCTCTAGATTTTATATGTAATCCCGTTTCCAACGAAATCCTCAAAGCTATCCAAATATCCACTTTCAGATTCCACAAAAAGAGTGTTTCAAAACTGCTCTGTAAAAAGAAAGGTTCATCTCTGTTAGTTGAATACACACATCACAAACAAGTTTCTGAGAATGCTTCTGTCTAGTTTTTATGGGAAGATATTTCCTTTTTCAACATAGGCCTCAAAGCGCTCCAAACGTCCACTTCCAGGTAGTGCAGACAGAGTGTCTCAAACCTGGTATATAACAGGGAACATTCTACTCTGTGACTTGAATGAAAACATCACAAAGCAGGTTCTGAGAATGCTTCCGTCTAGATTTTATATGAAGATATTCCCGTTTCCAACGAAACCTTCAAAGCTATCCGAATATCCACCTGCAGATTCTACAAAAAGAGTGTTTCCAAAATGCCATATCAAAACAAAGGTTCAACTCTGTTAGTTGAGAACACACATCGCAAATAAGTTTCTGAGAATGCTTCTGTCTAGTTTTTACTTGAAGATATTTCCTTTCTCACCATAGGCCTGAAAGCGCTTGAAACGTCAGCTTGCAGATACTACAGAAAGAGTGTTTCAAACCTGCTCTATGAAAGGGAATGTTCAGTTCTGTGACTTGAATGCAAACATCACAAAGAAGTTCCTGAGAATGCTTCTCTCTAGGTTTTATATGTAATCCCGTTTCCAACAAAATCCTCAAAGCTATCCAAATATCCACTTTCAGAATCCACAAAAAGAGTGTTTCAAAACTGCTCTGTAAAAAGAAAGGTTCATCTCTGTTAGTTGAATACACACATCACAAACAAATTTCTGAGAATCCTTCTGTCTAGTTTTTATGGGAAGATATTTCCTTTTTCAACATAGGCCTCAAAGCGCTCCAAATGTCCACTTCCAGGTAGTGCAGAAAGAGTGTTTCAAACCTGCTCTATAAAAGGGAATATTCAACTCTGTGACTTGAATGCAAACATCACAAAGCACTTTCTGAGAATGCTTCCGTCTAGATTTTATATGAAGATATTCCCGTTTCCAAGGAAATCTTCCTAGCTATCTAAATATCAACTTGCAGATTCTACTAAAGGAATGTTTCCAAAATGCTGTATCCACACAAAGGTTCAACTCTGTTAATTGAGGACATACAGCACAAAGAAGTTTCTGAGAATGCTTCTGTCTAGATTTTATATGAAGATATCCCGTGTCCAACGAAATCCACAAAGGTATCAAAATATCCACTTGCAGATTCTACAAAAAGACTGCTTCAAAACTGCTCTGTCAAAAGGAAGGTTCAACTCTGTTACTTGAGTACACACATCACAAGGAAGTTTCTGAGAATGCTTCTGTCTGGTTTTTAGGAGAAGATATTTCCTTTTTCAACATAGGCCTCAAATTGCTGCAAATGTCCACTTCCAAATATTAGAAAAAGAGTGTTTCAAACCTGCTGTATGAAGGGAAGTGTTCAACTCTATGAGTTGAATGCAAACATCACAGAGAAGTTTCTGAGAATGCTTCTGTCTTGATTTCATATGAAGATATTCCCGTTTCCAACGAAACCTTCAAAGCTATCCAAATATCCACTTGCAGATTCTACAAAAAGAGTGTTTCCAAAATGTTGTATCAAAAGAAAGGTTCAACGCTGTTAGTTGAGGACACACATCGCAAATAAGTTTCTGAGAATGCTTCTGTCTAGTTTTTATTTGAAGATATTTCCTTTCTCACCACAGGCCTGAAAGCGCTTAAAACGTCCGCTTGCAGATACTACAGAAAGAGTGTTTCAAACCTGCTCTATGAAAGGGAATGTTCAGTTCTGTGACTTGAATGCAAACATCACAAAGAAGTTCCTGAGAATGCTTCTCCCTAGATTTTATATGTAATCCCGTTTCCAACGAAATCCGCAAAGCTATCCAAATATCCACTTTCAGATTCCACAAAAAGAGTGTTTCAAAACTGCTCTGTAAAAAGAAAGGTTCATCTCTGTTAGTTGAATACACACATCACAAACAAGTTTCTGAGAATGCTTCTGTCTAGTTTTTATGGGAAGATATTACCTTTTTCATCATAGGCCTCAAAGCGCTGCAAATGTCCACTTCCAAATATTACAAAAAGAGTGTTTCAAACCTGCTGTATGAAGGGAAGTGTTCAACTCTATGAGTTGAATGCAAACATCACAGAGAAGTTTCTGAGAATGCTTCTGTCTTGATTTTATATGAAGATATTCCCGTTTCCAACGAAATCTTCAAAGCTATCCAAATATCCACTTGCAGATTCCACAAAAAGAGTGTTTCCAAAATGTTGTATCAAAAGAAAGGTTCAACTCTGTTAGTTGAGGACACACATCGCAAATAAGTTTCTGAGAATGCTTCTGTCTAGTTTTTATTTGAAGATATTTCCTTTCTAACCATAGGCCTGAAAGCGCTTGAAACGTCTGCTTGCAGATACTACAGAAAGAGTGTTTCAAACCTGCTCTATGAAAGGGAATGTTCAGTTCTGCGACTTGAATGCAAACATCACAAAGAAGATCCTGAGAATTCTTCTCTCGTAGGATTTTATATGTAATCCCGTTTCCAACGAAATCCTCAAAGCTATCCAAATATCCACTTTCAGATTCCACAAAAAGAGTGCTTCAAAACTGCTCTGTAAAAAGAAAGGTTCATCTCTGTTAGTTGAATACACACATCACAAACAAGTTTCTGAGAATGCTTCTGTCTAGTTTTTATGGGAAGATATTTCCTTTTTCATCATAGGCCTCAAAGCGCTGCAAATGTCCACTTCCAGGTAGTGCAGAAAGAGTGTCTCAAACCTGGTATATAACAGGGAACATTCTTCTCTGTGACTTGAATGAAAACATCACAAAGCAGTTTCTGAGAATGCTTCTGTCTTGATTTTATATGAGGATATTCCCGTTTCCAACGAAACCATCAAAGCTATCCAAATATCCACCTGCAGATCCTACAAAAAGAGTGTTTCCAAAATGCTGTATCAAAACAAAGGTTCAACTCTGTTAGCTGAGAACACACATCGCAAATAAGTTTCTGAGAATGCTTCTGTCTAGTTTTTATTTGAAGATATTTCCTTTTTCACCACAGGCCTGAAAGCGCTTGAAACGTCCGCTTGCAGATACTACAGAAAGAGTGTTTCAAACCTGCTCTATGAAAGGGAATGTTCAGTTCTGTGACTTGAATGCAAACATCACAAAGAAGTTCCTGAGAATGCTTCTCCCTAGATTTTATATGTAATCCCGTTTCCAACGAAATCCTCAAAGCTATCCAAATATCCACTTTCAGATTCCACAAAAAGAGTGTTTCAAAACTGCTCTGTAAAAAGAAAGGTTCATCTCTGTTAGTTGAATACACACATCACAAACAAGTTTCTGAGAATGCTTCTGTCTAGTTTTTATGGGAAGATATTCCCTTTTTCAACATAGGCCTCAAAGCGCTCCAAATGTCCACTTCCAGGTAGTGCAGAAAGAGTGTTTCAAACCTGCTCTATAAAAGGGAATATTCAACTCTGTGACTTGAATGCAAACATCACAAAGCACTTTCTGAGAATGCTTCCGTCTAGATTTTATATGAAGATATTCCCGTTTCCAAGGAAATCTTCCTAGCTATCTAAATATCAACTTGCAGATTCTACTAAAGGAATGTTTCCAAAATGCTGTATCCACACAAAGGTTCAACTCTGTTAATTGAGGACATACAGCACAAAGAAGTTTCTGAGAATGCTTCTGTCTAGATTTTATATGAAGATATCCCGTGTCCAACGAAATCCTCAAAGGTATCAAAATATCCACTTGCAGATTCTACAAAAAGAGTGCTTCAAAACTGCTCTGTCAAAAGGAAGGTTCAACTCTGTTACTTGAGTACACACATCACAAGGAAGTTTCTGAGAATGCTTCTGTCTGGTTTTTAGGAGAAGATATTTCCTTTTTCAACATAGGCCTCAAAGCGCTGAAAATGTCCACTTCCAAATATTAGAAAAAGAGTGTTTCAAACCTGCTGTATGAAGGGAAGTGTTCAACTCTATGAGTTGAATGCAAACATCACAGAGAAGTTTCTGAGAATGCTTCTGTCTTGATTTCATATGAAGATATTCTCGTTTCCAACGAAACCTTCAAAGCTATCCAAATATCCACTTGCAGATTCTACAAAAAGAGTGTTTCCAAAATGTTGTATCAAAAGAAAGGTTCAACTCTGTTAGTTGAGGACACACATCGCAAATAAGTTTCTGAGAATGCTTCTGTCTAGTTTTTATTTGAAGATATTTCCTTTCTCACCACAGGCCTGAAAGCGCTTAAAACGTCCGCTTGCAGATACTACAGAAAGAGTGTTTCAAACCTGCTCTATGAAAGGGAATGTTCAGTTCTGTGACTTGAATGCAAACATCACAAAGAAGTTCCTGAGAATGCTTCTCCCTAGATTTTATATGTAATCCCGTTTCCAACGAAATCCGCAAAGCTATCCAAATATCCACTTTCAGATTCCACAAAAAGAGTGTTTCAAAACTGCTCTGTAAAAAGAAAGGTTCATCTCTGTTAGTTGAATACACACATCACAAACAAGTTTCTGAGAATGCTTCTGTCTAGTTTTTATGGGAAGATATTACCTTTTTCATCATAGGCCTCAAAGCGCTGCAAATGTCCACTTCCAAATATTACAAAAAGAGTGTTTCAAACCTGCTGTATGAAGGGAAGTGTTCAACTCTATGAGTTGAATGCAAACATCACAGAGAAGTTTCTGAGAATGCTTCTGTCTTGATTTTATAAGAAGATATTCCCGTTTCCAACGAAACCTTCAAAGCTATTCAAATATCCACTTGCAGATTCTACAAAAAGAGTGTTTCCAAAATGTTGTATCAAAAGAAAGGTTCAACTCTGTTAGTTGAGGACACACATCGCAAATAAGTTTCTGAGAATGCTTCTGTCTAGTTTTTATTTGAAGATATTTCCTTTCTCACCATAGGCCTGAAAGCGTTTGAAATGTCCGTTTGCAGATACTACAGAAAGAGTGTTTCAAACATGCTCTATGAAAGGGAATGTTCAGTTCTGTGACGTGAATGCAAACATCACAAAGAAGTTCCTGAGAATGCTTCTCCCTAGATTTTATATGTAATCCCGTTTCCAACGAAATCCGCAAAGCTATCCAAATATCCACTTTCAGATTCCACAAAAAGAGTGTTTCAAAACTGCTCTGTAAAAAGAAAGGTTCATGCTCTGTTAGTTGAATACACACATCACAAACAAGTTTCCTGAGAATGCTTTCTGTCTAGTTTTTATGGGAAGATATTTCCTTTTTCATCATAGGCCTCAAAGCGCTGCAAATGTCCACTTCCAAATATTACAAAAAGAGTGTTTCAAACCTGCTGTATGAAGGGAAGTGTTCAACTCTATGAGTTGAATGCAAACATCACAGAGAAGTTTCTGAGAATGCTTCTGTCTTGATTTTATATGAAGATATTCCCGTTTCCAACGAAACCTTCAAAGCTATTCAAATATCCACTTGCAGATTCTACAAAAAGAGTGTTTCCAAAATGTTGTATCAAAAGAAAGGTTCAACTCTGTTAGTTGAGGACACACATCGCAAATAAGTTCTGAGAATGCTTCTGTCTAGTTTTTATTTGAAGATATTTCCTTTTTCACCACAGGCCTGAAAGCGCTTGAAACGTCCGCTTGCAGATACTACAGAAAGAGTGTTTCAAACCTGCTCTATGAAAGGGAATGTTCAGTTCTGTGACTTGAACGCAAACATCACAAAGAAGTTCCTGAGAATGCTTCTCCCTAGATTTTATATGTAATCCCGTTTCCAACGAAATCCGCAAAGCTATCCAAATATCCACTTTCAGATTCCACAAAAAGAGTGTTTCAAAACTGCTCTGTAAAAAGAAAGGTTCATCTCTGTTAGTTGAATACACACATCACAAACAAGTTTCTGAGAATGCTTCTGTCTAGTTTTTATGGGAAGATATTTCCTTTTTCATCATAGGCCTCAAAGTGCTGCAAATGTCCACTTCCAAATATTACAAAAAGAGTGTTTCAAACCTGCTGTATGAAGGGAAGTGTTCAACTCTATGAGTTGAATACAAACATCACAGAGAAGTTTCTGAGAATGCTTCTGTCTTGATTTTATATGAAGATATTCCCGTTTCCAACGAAACCTTCAAAGCTATCCAAATATCCACTTGCAGATTCTACAAAAAGAGTGGTTCCAAAATGTTGTATCAAAAGAAAGGTTCAACTCTGTTAGTTGAGGACACACATCGCAAATAAGTTTCTGAGAATGCTTCTGTCTAGTTTTTATTTGAAGATATTTCCTTTCTCACCATAGGCCTGAAAGCGTTTGAAATGTCCGTTTGCAGATACTACAGAAAGAGTGTTTCAAACATGCTCTATGAAAGGGAATGTTCAGTTCTGTGACGTGAATGCAAACATCACAAAGAAGTTCCTGAGAATGCTTCTCTCTAGATTTTATATGTAATCCCGTTTCCAACGAAATCCTCAAAGCTATCCAAATATCCACTTTCAGATTCCACAAAAAGAGTGTTTCAAAACTGCTCTGTAAAAAGAAAGGTTCATCTCTTGTTAGTTGAATACACACATCACAAACAAGTTTCTGAGAATGCTTCTGTCTAGTTCTTATGGGAAGATATTTCCTTTTTCATCATAGGCCTCAAAGCGCTGCAAATGTCCAATTCCAGGTAGTGCAGAAAGAGTGTCTCAAACCTGGTATATAACAGGGAACATTCTACTCTGTGACTTGAATGAAAACATCACAAAGCAGTTTCTGAGAATGCTTCCGTCTAGTATTTTATATGAAGATATTCCCGTTTCCAACGAAACCTTCAAAGCTATCCGAATATCCACCTGCAGATTCTACAAAAAGAGTGTTTCCAAAATGCCATATCAAAACAAAGGTTCAACTCTGTTAGTTGAGAACACACATCGCAAATAAGTTTCTGAGAATGCTTCTGTCTAGTTTTTACTTGAAGATATTTCCTTTCTCACCATAGGCCTGAAAGCGCTTGAAACGTCAGCTTGCAGATACTACAGAAAGAGTGTTTCAAACCTGCTCTATGAAAGGGAATGTTCAGTCCTGTGACTTGAAGGCAAACATCACAAAGAAGTTCCTGAGAATGCTTCTCTCTAGGTTTTATATGTAATCCCGTTTCCAACGAAATCCTCAAAGCTATCCAAATATCCACTTTCAGATTCCACAAAAAGAGTGTTTCAAAACTGCTCTGTAAAAAGAAAGGTTCATCTCTGTTAGTTGAATACACACATCACAAACAAGTTTCTGAGAATGCTTCTGTCTAGTTTTTATGGGAAGATATTTCCTTTTTCATCATAGGCCTCAAAGCGCTCCAAATGTCCACTTCCAGGTAGTGGAGAAACAGTGTCTCAAACCTGGTATATAACAGGGAACATTCTACTCTGTGACTTGAATGAAAACATCACAAAGCATTTTCTGAGAATGCTTCCGTCTAGTATTTTATATGAAGATATTCCCGTTTCCAACGAAACCTTTAAAGCTATCCGAATATCCACCTGCAGATTCTACAAAAAGAGTGTTTCCAAAATGCCGTATGAAAACAAAGCTTCAACTCTGTTAGTTGAGAACACACATGGCAAATAAGTTTCTGAGAATGCTTCTGTCTAGTTTTTACTTGAAGATATTTCCTTTCTCACCATAGGTCTGAAAGCGCTTGAAACGTCAGCTTGCAGATACTACAGAAAGAGTGTTTCAAATCTGCTCTATGAAAGGGAATGTTCAGTTCTGTGACTTGAATGCAAACATCACAAAGAAGTTCCTGAGAATGCTTCTCCCTAGATTTTATATGTAATCCCGTTTCCAAGGAATCCGCAAAGCTATCCAAATATCCACTTTCAGATTCCACAAAAAGAGTGTTTCAAAACTGCTCTGTAAAAAGAAAGGTTCATCTCTGTTAGTTGAATACACACATCACAAACAAGTTTCTGAGAATGCTTCTGTCTAGTTTTTATGGGAAGATATTTCCTTTTTCATCATAGGCCTCAAAGCGCTCCAAATGTCCACTTCCAGGTAGTGCAGAAAGAGTATCTCAAACCTGGTATATAACAGGGAACATTCTACTCTGTGACTTGAATGAAAACATCACAAAGCAGTTTCTGAGAATGCTTCCGTCTAGATTTTATATGAAGATATTCCCGTTTCCAACGAAACGTTCAAAGCTATCCGAATATCCACCTGCAGATTCTACAAAAAGAGTGTTTCCAAAATGCCATATCAAAACAAAGGTTCAACTCTGTTAGTTGAGAACACACATCGCAAATAAGTTTCTGAGAATGCTTCTGTCTAGTTTTTATTTGAAGATATTTCCTTTCTCACCATAGGCCTGAAAGCGCTTGAAACGTCAGCTTGCAGATACTACAGAAAGAGTGTTTCAAACCTGCTCTATGAAAGGGAATGTTCAGTTCTGTGACTTGAATGCAAACGTCGCAAAGAAGTTCCTGAGAATGCTTCTCTCTAGGTTTTATATGTAATCCCGTTTCCAACGAAATCCGCAAAGCTATCCAAATATCCACTTTCAGATTCCACAAAAAGTGTGTTTCAAAACTGCTCTGTAAAAAGAAAGGTTCATCTCTGTTAGTTGAATACACACATCACAAACAAGTTTCTGAGAATGCTTCTGTCTAGTTTTTATGGGAAGATATTTCCTTTTTCAACATAGGCCTCAAAGCGCTCTAAATGTCCACCTCCAGGTAGTGCAGAAAGAGTGTTTCAAACCTGCTCTATAAAAGGGAATATTCAACTCTGTGACTTGAATGCAAACATCACAAAGCACTTTCTGAGAATGCTTCCGTCTAGATTTTATGTGAAGATATTCCCGTTTCCAAGGAAATCTTCCTAGCTATCTAAATATCAACTTGCAGATTCTACTAAAGGAACGTTTCCAAAATGCTGTATCCAAACAAAGGTTCAACTCTGTTAATTGAAGACATACAGCACAAAGAAGTTTCTGAGAATGCTTCTGTCTAGATTTTATATGAAGATATCCCGTTTCCAAAGAAATCCTCAAAGGTATCCAAATATCTACTTGCAGATTCTACAAAAAGAGTGTTTCAAAACGGCTCTGTCAAAAGGAAGGTTCAACTCTGTTACTTGAGTACACACATTACAAGGAAGTTTCTGAGAATGCTTCTGTCTGGTTTTTAGGAGAAGATATTTCCTTTTTCAACATAGGCCTCAAAGCGCTGCAAATGTCCACTTCCAAATATTACAAAAAGAGTGTTTCAAACCTGCTCTATGAAGGGAAGTGTTCACCTCTATGAGTTGAATGCAAACATCACAGAGAAGTTTCTGAGAATGCTTCTGTCTTGATTTTATATGAAGATATTCCCGTTTCCAACGAAACCTTCAAAGCTATCCAAATATCCACTTGCAGATTCTACAAAAAGAGTGTTTCCAAAATGTTGTATCAAAACAAAGGTTCAACTCTGTTAGTTGAGGACACACATGGCAAATAAGTTTCTGAGAATGCTTCTGTCTAGTTTTTATTTGAAGATATTTCCTTTCTCACCATAGGCCTGAAAGCGTTTGAAATGTCCGTTTGCAGATACTACAGTAAGAGTGTTTCAAACATGCTCTATGAAAGGGAATGTTCAGTTCTGTGACGTGAATGCAAACATCACAAAGAAGTTCCTGAGAATGATTCTCTCTAGATTTTATATGTAATCCCGTTTCCAACGAAATCCTCAAAGCTATCCAAATAACCACTTTCAGATTCCACAAAAAGAGTGTTTCAAAACTGCTCTGTAAAAAGAAAGGTTCATCTCTCTTAGTTGAATACACACATCACAAACAAGTTTCTGAGAATGCTTCTGTCTAGTTTTTATGGGAAGATATTTCCTTTTTCAACATAGGCCTCAAAGCGCTCCAAACGTCCACTTCCAGGTAGTGCAGAAAGAGTGTCTCAAACCTGGTATATAACAGGGAACATTCTACTCTGTGACTTGAATGAAAACATCACAAAGCAGTTTCTGAGAATGCTTCCGTCTAGATTTTATATGAAGGTATTCCCGTTTCCAACGAAACCTTCAAAGCTATCCGAATATCCACCTGCAGATTCTACAAAAAGAGTGTTTCCAAAATGCCGTATCAAAACAAAGGTTCAACTCTGTTAGTTGAGAACACACATGGCAAATAAGTTTCTGAGAATGCTTCTGTCTAGTTTTTACTTGAAGATATTTCCTTTCTCACCATAGGCCTGAAAGCGCTTGAAACGTCAGCTTGCAGATACTACAGAAAGAGTGTTTCAAACCTGCTCTATGAAAGGGAATGTTCAGTTCTGTGACTTGAATGCAAACATCACAAAGTAGTTCCTGAGAATGCTTCTCTCTAGATTTTATATGTAATCCCGTTTCCTACGAAATCCTCAAAGCTATCCAAATATGCACTTTCAGATTCCACAAAAAGAGTGTTTCAAAACTGCTCTGTAAAAAGAAAGGTTCATCTCTGTTAGTTGAATACACACATCACAAACAAGTTTCTGAGAATGCTTCTGTCTAGTTTTTATGGGAAGATATTTCCTTTTTCATCATAGGCCTCAAAGCGCTCCAAATGTCCACTTCCAGATAGTGCAGAAAGAGTGTCTCAAACCTGGTATATAAAAGAGAACATTCTACTCTGTGACTTGAATGAAAACATCACAAAGCAGTTTCTGAGAATGCTTCCGTCTAGATTTTCTATGAAGGTATTCCCGTTTCCAACGAAACCTTCAAAGCTATCCGAATATCCACCAGCAGATTCTACAAAAAGAGTGTTTCCAAAATGCCGTATCAAAACAAAGGTTCAACTCTGTTAGTTGAGAACACACATGTTAAATAAGTTTCTGAGAATGCTTCTGTCTAGTTTTTACTTGAAGATATTTCCTTTCTCACCATAGGCCTGAAAGCGCTTGAAACGTCCGCTTGCAGATACTACAGAAAGAGTGTTTCAAACATGCTCTATGAAAGGGAATGTTCAGTTCTGTGACTTGAATGCAAACATCACAAAGAAGTTCCTGAGAATGCTTCTCTCTAGATTTTATATGTAATCCCGTTTCCAACGAAATCCTCAAAGCTATCCAAATATCCACTTTCAGATTCCACAAAAAGAGTGTTTCAAAACTGCTCTGTAAAAAGAAAGGTTCATCTCTGTTAGTTGAATACACACATCACAAACAAGTTTCTGAGAATGCTTCTGTCTAGTTTTTATGGGAAGATATTTCCTTTTTCATCATAGGCCTCAAAGCGCTCCAAATGTCCACTTCCAGATAGTGCAGAAAGAGTGTCTCAAACCTGGTATATAAAAGGGAACATTCTACTCTGTGGCTTGAATGAAAACATCACAAAGCAGTTTCTGAGAATGCTTCCGTCTAGATTTTATATGAAGATATTCCCGTTTCCAACGAAACTTTCAAAGCTATCCGAATATCCACCTGCAGATTCTACAAAAAGAGTGTTTCCAAAATGCCGTATCAAAACAAAGGTTCAACTCTGTTAGTTGAGAACACACATGGCAAATAAGTTTCTGAGAATGCTTCTGTCTAGTTTTTACTTGAAGATATTTCCTTTCTCACCATAGGCCTGAAAGCGCTTGAAACGTCTGCTTGCAGATACTACAGAAAGAGTGTTTCAAACATGCTCTATGAAAGGGAATGTTCAGTTCTGTGACTTGAATGCAAACATCACAAAGAAGTTCCTGAGAATGCTTCTGTCTAGATTTTATATGAAGATATCCCGTTTCCAAAGAAATCCTCAAAGGTATCCAAATATCTAGTTCCAGATTCTACAAAAAGACTGTTTCAAAACGGCTCTGTCAAAAGTAAAGTTCAACTCTGTTACTTGAGTACACACATCACAAGGAAGTTTCTGAGAATGCTTCTGTCTAGTTTTTATGGGAAGATATTACCTTTTTCATCATAGGCCTCAAAGCGCTGCAAATGTCCACTTCCAAATATTACAAAAAGAGTGTTTCAAACCTGCTGTATGAAGGGAAGTGTTCAACTCTATGAGTTGAATGCAAACATCACATAGAAGTTTCTGAGAATGCTTCCGTCTAGATTTTATGTGAAGATATTCCCGTTTCCAAGGAAATCTTCCTAGCTATCTAAATATCAACTTGCAGATTCTACTAAAGGAGTGTTTCCAAAATGCTGTATCCACACAAAGGTTCAACTCTGTTAATTGAGGACATACAGCACAAAGAAGTTTCTGAGAATGCTTCTGTCTAGATTTTATATGAAGATATCCCGTTTCCAAAGAAATCCTCAAAGGTATCCAAATATCTACTTCCAGATTCTACAAAAAGACTGTTTCAAAACGGCTCTGTCAAAAGGAAGGTTCAACTCTGTTACTTGAGTACACACATCACAAGGAAGTTTCTGAGAATGCTTCTGTCTGGTTTTTAGGAGAAGATATTTCCTTTTTCAACATAGGCCTCAAAGCGCTGCAAATGTCCACTTCCAAATATTACAAAAAGAGTGTTTCAAACCTGCTGTATGAAGGGAAGTGTTCAACTCTATGAGTTGAATGCAAACATCACAGAGAAGTTTCTGAGAATGCTTCTGTCTTGATTTTATATGAAGATATTCCCGTTTCCAACGAAACCTTCAAAGCTATTCAAATATCCACTTGCAGATTCTACAAAAAGAGTGGTTCCAAAATGTTGAATCAAAAGAAAGGTTCAACTCTGATAGTTGAGGACACACATCGCAAATAAGTTTCTGAGAATGCTTCTGTCTAGTTTTTATTTGAAGATATTTCCTTTCTCACCATAGGCCTGAAAGCGTTTGAAATGTCCGTTTGCAGATACTACAGAAAGAGTGTTTCAAACATGCTCTATGAAAGGGAATGTTCAGTTCTGTGACGTGAATGCAAACATCACAAAGAAGTTCCTGAGAATGCTTCTCTCTAGATTTTATATGTAATCCCGTTTCCAACGAAATCCTCAAAGCTATCCAAATATCCACTTTCAGATTCCACAAAAAGAGTGTTTCAAAACTGCTCTGTAAAAAGAAAGGTTCATCTCTGTTAGTTGAATACACACATCACAAACAAGTTTCTGAGAATGCTTCTGTCTAGTTTTTATGGGAAGATATTTCCTTTTTCAACATAGGCCTCAAAGCGCTCCAAACGTCCACTTCCAGGTAGTGCAGAAAGAGTGTCTCAAACCTGGTATATAACAGGGAACATTCTACTCTGTGACTTGAATGAAAACATCACAAAGCAGTTTCTGAGAATGCTTCCGTCTAGATTTTATATGAAGATATTCCCGTTTCCAACGAAACCTTCAAAGCTATCCGAATATCCACCTGCAGATACTACAAAAAGAGTGTTTCCAAAATGCCGTATCAAAACAAAGGTTCAACTCTGTTAGTTGAGAACACACATGGCAAATATGTTTCTGAGAATGCTTCTGTCTAGTTTTTACTTGAAGATATTTCCTTTCTCACCATAGGCCTGAAAGCGCTTGAAACGTCAGCTTGCAGATACTACAGAAAGAGTGTTTCAAACCTGCTCTATGAAAGGGAATGTTCAGTTCTGTGACTTGAATGCAAACATCACAAAGAAGTTCCTGAGAATGCTTCTCTCTAGGTTTTATATGTAATCCCGTTTCCAACGAAATCCTCAAAGCTATCCAAATATCCACTTTCAGATTCCACAAACAGAGTGTTTCAAAACTGCTCTGTAAAAAGAAAGGTTCATCTCTGTTAGTTGAATACACACATCACAAACAAGTTTCTGAGAATGCTTCTGTCTAATTTTTATGGGAAGATATTTCCTTTTTCAACATACGCCTCAAAGCGCTCCAAACGTCCACTTCCAGGTAGTGCAGAAAGAGTGTCTCAAACCTGGTATATAACAGGGAACATTCTACTCTGTGACTTGAATGAAAACATCACAAAGCAGTTTCTGAGAATGCTTCCGTCTAGATTTTATATGAAGATATTCCCGTTTCCAACGAAACCTTCAAAGCTATCCGAATATCCACCTGCAGATTCTACAAAAAGAGTGTTTCCAAAATGCCGTATCAAAACAAAGGTTCAACTCTGTTAGTTGAGAACACACATGGCAAATAAGTTTCTGAGAATGCTTCTGTCTAGTTTTTACTTGAAGATATTTCCTTTCTCACCATAGGCCTGAAAGCGCTTGAAACGTCAGCTTGCAGATACTACAGAAAGAGTGTTTCAAACCTGCTCTATGAAAGGGAATGTTCAGTCCTGTGACTTGAAGGCCAACATCACAAAGAAGTTCCTGAGAATGCTTCTCTCTAGGTTTTATATGTAATCCCGTTTCCAACGAAATCCTCAGAGGTATCAAAATATCCACTTGCAGATTCTACAAAAAGAGTGCTTCAAAACTGCTCTGTCAAAAGGAAGGTTCAACTCTGTTACTTGAGTACACACATCACAAGGAAGTTTCTGAGAATGCTTCTGTCTGGTTTTTAGGAGAAGATATTTCCTTTTTCAACATAGGCCTCAAAGCGCTGCAAATGTCCACTTCCAAATATTACAAAAAGAGTGTTTCAAACCTGCTGTATGAAGGGAAGTGTTCAACTCTATGAGTTGAATGCAAACATCACAGAGAAGTTTCTGAGAATGCTTCTGTCTTGATTTTATATGAAGATATTCCCGTTTCCAACGAAACCTTCAAAGCTATCCAAATATCCACTTGCAGATTCTACAAAAAGAGTGTTTCCAAAATGTTGTATCAAAAGAAAGGTTCAACTCTGTTAGTTGAGGACACACATCGCAAATAAGTTTCTGAGAATGCTTCTGTCTAGTTTTTATTTGAAGATATTTCCTTTCTCACCATAGGCCTGAAAGCGTTTGAAATGTCCGTTTGCAGATACTACAGAAAGAGTGTTTCAAACATGCTCTATGAAAGGGAATGTTCAGTTCTGTGACGTGAATGCAAACATCACAAAGAAGTTCCTGAGAATGCTTCTCTCTAGATTTTATATGTAATCCCGTTTCCAACGAAATCCTCAAAGCTATCCAAATATCCACTTTCAGATTCCACAAAAAGAGTGTTTCAAAACTGCTCTGTAAAAAGAAAGGTTCATCTCTGTTAGTTGAATACACACATCACAAACAAGTTTCTGAGAATGCTTCTGTCTAGTTTTTATGGGAAGATATTTCCTTTTTCATCATAGGCCTCAAAGCGCTGCAAATGTCCACTTCCAGGTAGTGCAGAAAGAGTGTCTCAAACCTGGTATATAACAGGGAAGATTCTACTCTGTGACTTGAATGAAAACATCACAAAGCAGTTTCTGAGAATGCTTCCGTCTAGATTTTATATGAAGATATTCCCGTTTCCAACGAAACCTTCAAAGCTATCCGAATATCCACCTGCAGATTCTACAAAAAGAGTGTTTCCAAAATGCCATATCAAAACAAAGGTTCAACTCTGTTAGTTGAGAACACACATCGCAAATAAGTTTCTGAGAATGCTTCTGTCTGGTTTTTAGGAGAAGATATCTCCTTTTTCACCATAGGCTTCAAAGCGCTGCCAATGTCCACTTCCAAATATTACAAAAACAGTATTTCAAACCAGCTCTATGAAAGGAAGTGTTCAACTCTGTGAGTTGAATGCAAACATCACAGAGAAGTTTCTGAGAATGCTTCTCTCTAGGTTTTATATGTAATCCCGTTTCCAACAAAATCCTCAAAGCTATCCAAATATCCACTTTCAGAATCCACAAAAAGAGTGTTTCAAAACTGCTCTGTAAAAAGAAAGGTTCATCTCTGTTAGTTGAATACACACATCACAAACAAATTTCTGAGAATGCTTCTGTCTAGTTTTTATGGGAAGATATTTCCTTTTTCAACATAGGCCTCAAAGCGCTCCAAATGTCCACTTCCAGGTAGTACAGAAAGAGTGTTTCAAACCTGCTCTATAAAAGGGAATATTCAACTCTGTGACTTGAATGCAAACATCACAAAGCACTTTCTGAGAATGCTTCTGTCTTGATTTTATATGAAGATATTCCCGTTTCCAACGAAACCTTCAAAGCTATCCAAATATCCACTTGCAGATTCTACAAAAAGAGTGGTTCCAAAATGTTTTATCAAAAGAAAGGTTCAACTCTGTTAGTTGAGGACACACATCGCAAATAAGTTTCTGAGAATGCTTCTGTCTAGTTTTTATTTGAAGATATTTCCTTTCTCACCACAGGCCTGAAAGCGCTTAAAACGTCCGTTTGCAGATACTACAGAAAGAGTGTTTCAAACATGCTCTATGAAAGGGAATGTTCAGTTCTGTGACTTGAATGCAAACATCACAAAGAAGTTCCTGAGAATGCTTCTGCCTAGATTTTATATGAAGATATCCCGTGTCCAACGAAATCCTCAAAGGTATCAAAATATCCACTTGCAGATTCTACAAAAAGAGTGCTTCAAAACTGCTCCGTCAAAAGGAAGGTTCAACTCTGTTATTTGAGTACACACATCACAAGGAAGTTTCTGAGAATGCTTCTGTCTGGTTTTTAGGAGAAGATATTTCCTTTTTCAACATAGGCCTCAAAGCGCTGCAAATGTCCACTTCCAAATATTAGAAAAACAGTGTTTCAAACCTGCTGTATGAAGGGAAGTGTTCAACTCTATGAGTTGAATGCAAACATCACAGAGAAGTTTCTGAGAATGCTTCTGTCTTGATTTCATATGAAGATATTCCCGTTTCCAACGAAACCTTCAAAGCTATCCAAATATCCACTTGCAGATTCTACAAAAAGAGTGTTTCCAAAATGTTGTATCAAAAGAAAGGTTCAACTCTGTTAGTTGAGGACACACATCGCAAATAAGTTTCTGAGAATGCTTCTGTCTAGTTTTTATTTGAAGATATTTCCTTTCTCACCACAGGCCTGAAAGCGCTTAAAACGTCCGCTTGCAGATACTACAGAAAGAGTGTTTCAAACCTGCTCTATGAAAGGGAATGTTCAGTTCTGTGACTTGAATGCAAACATCACAAAGAAGTTCCTGAGAATGCTTCTCCCTAGATTTTATATGTAATCCCGTTTCCAACGAAATCCGCAAAGCTATCCAAATATCCACTTTCAGATTCCACAAAAAGAGTGTTTCAAAACTGCTCTGTAAAAAGAAAGGTTCATCTCTGTTAGTTGAATACACACATCACAAACAAGTTTCTGAGAATGCTTCTGTCTAGATTTTATGGGAAGATATTACCTTTTTCATCATAGGCCTCAAAGCGCTGCAAATGTCCACTTCCAAATATTACAAAAAGAGTGTTTCAAACCTGCTGTATGAAGGGAAGTGTTCAACTGTATGAGTTGAATGCAAACATCGCAGAGAAGTTTCTGAGAATGCTTCCGTCTAGATTTTATATGAAGATATTCCCGTTTCCAACGAAACCTTCAAAGCTATCCGAATATCCACCTGCAGATTCTACAAAAAGAGTGTTTCCAAAATGCCGTATCAAAACAAAGGTTCAACTATGTTAGTTGAGAACACACATGGCAAATAAGTTTCTGAGAATGCTTCTGTCTAGTTTTTACTTGAAGATATTTCCTTTCTCACCATAGGCCTGAAAGCGCTTGAAACGTCAGCTTGCAGATACTACAGAAAGAGTGTTTCAAACCTGCTCTATGAAAGGGAATGTTCAGTTCTGTGACTTGAATGCAAACATCACAAAGAAGTTCCTGAGAATGCTTCTCTCTAGGTTTTATATGTAATCCCGTTTCCAACGAAATCCTCAAAGCTATCCAAATATCCACTTTCAGATTCCACAAAAAGAGTGTTTCAAAACTACTCTGTAAAAAGAAAGGTTCATCTCTGTTAGTTGAATACACACATCACAAACAAGTTTCTGAGAATGCTTCTGTCTAGTTTTTATGGGAAGATATTTCCTTTTTCAACATAGGTCTCAAAGCGCTCCAAATGTCCACTTCCAGGTAGTGCAGAAAGAGTGTTTCAAACCTGCTCTATAAAAGGGAACATTCTACTCTGTGACTTGAATGAAGACATCACAAAGCACTTTCTGAGAATGCTTCCGTCTAGATTTTATATGAAGATATTCCCGTTTCCAAGGAAATCTTCCTAGCTATCTAAATATCAACTTGCAGATTCTACTAAAGGAATGTTTCCAAAATGCTGTATCCACACAAAGGTTCAACTCTGTTAATTGAGGACATACAGCACAAAGAAGTTTCTGAGAATGCTTCTGTCTAGTTTTTATTTGAAGATATTTCCTTTCTCACCATAGGCCTGAAAGCGTTTCAAATGTCCGTTTGCAGATACTACAGAAAGAGTGTTTCAAACATGCTCTATGAAAGGGAATGTTCAGTTCTGTGACTTGAATGCAAACATCACAAAGAAGTTCCTGAGAATGCTTCTCTCTAGGTTTTATATGTAATCCCGTTTCCAACGAAATCCTCAAAGCTATCCAAATATCCACTTTCAGATTCCACAAAAAGAGTGTTTCAAAACTGCTCTGTAATAAGAAAGGTTCATCCCTGTTAGTTGAATACACACATCACAAACAAGTTTCTGAGAATGCTTCTGTCTAGTTTTTATGGGAAGATATTTCCTTTTTCAACATAGGCCTCAAAGCGCTCCAAACGTCCACTTCCAGGTAGTGCAGAAAGAGTGTCTCAAACCTGGTATATAACAGGGAACATTCTACTCTGTGACTTGAATGAAAACATCACAAAGCAGTTTCTGAGAATGCTTCTGTCTTGATTTTATATGAAGATATTCCCGTTTCCAACGAAACCTTCAAAACTATCCAAATATCCACTTGCAGATTCTAGAAAAAGAGTGGTTCCAAAATGTTGTATCAAAAGAAAGGTTCAACTCTGTTAGTTGAGGACACACATCGCAAATAAGTTTCTGAGAATGCTTCTGTCTAGTTTTTATTTGAAGATATTTCCTTTCTCACCATAGGCCTGAAAGCGTTTGAAATGTCCGTTTGCAGATACTACAGAAAGAGTGTTTCAAACATGCTCTATGAAAGGGAATGTTCAGTTCTGTGACGTGAATGCAAACATCACAAAGAAGTTCCTGAGAATGCTTCTCTCTAGATTTTATATGTAATCCCGTTTCCAACGAAATCCTCAAAGCTATCTAAATATCCACTTTCAGATTCCACAAAAAGAGTGTTTCAAAACTGCTCTGTAAAAAGAAAGGTTCATCTCTGTTAGTTGAATACACACATCACAAACAAGTTTCTGAGAATGCTTCTGTCTAGTTTTTATGGGAAGATATTTCCTTTTTCATCATAGGCCTCAAAGCGCTGCAAATGTCCACTTCCAGGTAGTGCAGAAAGAGTGTCTGAAACCTGGTATATAACAGGGAAGATTCTACTCTGTGACTTGAATGAAAACATCACAAAGCAGTTTCTGAGAATGCTTTCGTCTAGATTTTATATGAAGATATTCCCGTTTCCAAAGAAACCTTCAAAGCTATCCGAATATCCACCTGCAGATTCTACAAAAAGAGTGTTTCCAAAATGCCGTATCAAAACAAAGGTTCAACTCTGTTAGTTGAGAACACACATGGCAAATAAGTTTCTGAGAATGCTTCTGTCTAGTTTTTACTTGAAGATATTTCCTTTCTCACCATAGGCCTGAAAGCGCTTGAAACGTCAGCTTGCAGATACTACAGAAAGAGTGTTTCAAACCTGCTCTATGAAAGGGAATGTTCAGTCCTGTGACTTGAAGGCAAACATCACAAAGAAGTTCCTGAGAATGCTTCTGTCTAGATTTTATATGAAGATATCCCGTTTCCAACGAAATCCTCAAAGGTATCAAAATATCCACTTGCAGATTCTACAAAAAGAGTGCTTCAAAACTGCTCTGTCAAAAGGAAGGTTCAACTCTGTTACTTGAGTACACACATCACAAGGAAGTTTCTGAGAATGCTTCTGTCTGGTTTTTAGGAGAAGATATTTCCTTTTTCAACATAGGCCTCAAAGCGCTGCAAATGTCCACTTCCAAATATTAGAAAAAGAGTGTTTCAAACCTGCTGTATGAAGGGAAGTGTTCAACTCTATGAGTTGAATGCAAACATCACAGAGAAGTTTCTGAGAATGCTTCTGTCTTGATTTCATATGAAGATATTCCCGTTTCCAACGAAACCTTCAAAGCTATCCAAATATCCACTTGCAGATTCTACAAAAAGAGTGTTTCCAAAATGTTGTATCAAAAGAAAGGTTCAACTCTGTTAGTTGAGGACACACATCGCAAATAAGTTTCTGAGAATGCTTCTGTCTAGTTTTTATTTGAAGATATTTCCTTTCTCACCACAGGCCTGAAAGCGCTTAAAACGTCCGCTTGCAGATACTACAGAAAGAGTGTTTCAAACCTGCTCTATGAAAGGGAATGTTCAGTTCTGTGACTTGAATGCAAACATCACAAAGAAGTTCCTGAGAATGCTTCTCTCTAGGTTTTATATGTAATCCCGTTTCCAACGAAATCCTCAAAGCTATCCAAATATCCACTTTCAGATTCCACAAAAAGAGTGTTTCAAAACTGCTCTGTAAAAAGAAAGGTTCATCTCTGTTAGTTGAATACACACATCACAAACAAGTTTCTGAGAATGCTTCTGTCTAGTTTTTATGGGAAGATATTTCCTTTTTCAACATGGGCCTCAAAGCGCTCCAAATGTCCACTTCCAGGTAGTGCAGAAAGAGTGTTTCAAACCTGCTCTATAAAAGGGAATATTCAACTCTGTGACTTGAATGCAAACATCACAAAGCACTTTCTGAGAATGCTTCCGTCTAGATTTTATATGAAGATATTCCCGTTTCCAAGGAAATCTTCCTAGCTATCTAAATATCAACTTGCAGATTCTACTAAAGGAATGTTTCCAAAATGCTGTATCCACACAAAGGTTCAACTCTGTTAATTGAGGACATACAGCACAAAGAAGTTTCTGAGAATGCTTCTGTCTAGATTTTATATGAAGATATCCCGTTTCCAAAGAAATCCTCAAAGGTATCCAAATATCTACTTCCAGATTCTACAAAAAGACTGTTTCAAAACGGCTCTGTCAAAAGCAAGGTTCATCTCTGTTACTTGAGTACACACATCACAAGGAAGTTTCTGAGAATGCTTCTGTCTGGTTTTTAGGAGAAGATATTTCCTTTTTCAACATAGGCCTCAAAGCGCTGCAAATGTCCACTTCCAAATATTACAAAAAGAGTGTTTCAAACCTGCTCTATGAAGGGAAGTGTTCAACTCTATGAGTTGAATGCAAACATCACAGAGAAGTTTCTGAGAATGCTTCTGTCTTGATTTTATATGAAGATATTCCCGTTTGCAACGAAACCTTCAAAGCTATCCAAATATCCACTTGCAGATTCTACAAAAAGAGTGTTTCCAAAATGTTGTATCAAAACAAAGGTTCAACTCTGTTAGTTGAGGACACACATCGCAAATAAGTTTCTGAGAATGCTTCTGTCTAGTTTTTATTTGAAGATATTTCCTTTCTTACCATAGGCCTGAAAGCCCTTGAAATGTCCGTTTGCAGATACTACAGAAAGAGTGTTTCAAACATGCTCTATGAAAGGGAATGTTCAGTTCTGTGACGTGAATGCAAACATCACAAAGAAGTTCCTGAGAATGCTTCTCTCTAGATTTTATATGTAATCCCGTTTCCAACGAAATCCTCAAAGCTATCCAAATATCCACTTTCAGATTCCACAAAAAGAGTGTTTCAAAACTGCTCTGTAAAAAGAAAGGTTCATCTCTGTTAGTTGAATACACACATCACAAACAAGTTTCTGAGAATGCTTCTGTCTAGTTTTTATGGGAAGATATTTCCTTTTTCATCATAGGCCTCAAAGCGCTCCAAATGTCCACTTCCAGATAGTGCAGAAAGAGTGTCTCAAACCTGGTATATAAAAGGGAACATTCTACTCTGTGACTTCAATGAAAACATCACAAAGCAGTTTCTGAGAATGCTTCCGTCTAGACTTTATATGAAGATATTCCCGTTTCCAACGAAACCTTCAAAGCTATCCGTATATCCACCTGCAGATTCTACAAAAAGAGTGTTTCCAAAATGCCGTATCAAAACAAAGGTTCAACTCTGGTAGTTGAGAACACACATGGCAAATAAGTTTCTGAGAATGCTTCTGTCTAGTTTTTACTTGAAGATATTTCCTTTCTCACCATAGGCCTGAAAGCGCTTGAAACGTCAGCTTGCAGATACTACAGAAAGAGTGTTTCAAACCTGCTCTATGAAAGGGAATGTTCAGTCCTGTGACTTGAAGGCAAACATCACAAAGGAGTTCCTGAGAATGCTTCTCTCTAGGTTTTATATGTAATCCCGTTTCCAACGAAATCCTCAAAGCTATCCAAATATCCACTTTCAGATTCCACAAAAAGAGTGTTTCAAAACTGCTCTGTAAAAAGAAAGGTTCATCTCTGTTAGTTGAATACACACATCACAAACAAGTTTCTGACAATGCTTCTGTCTAGTTTTTATAGGAAGATATTTCCTTTTTCAACATAGGCCTCAAAGCGCTCCAAATGTCCACTTCCAGGTAGTGCAGAAAGAGTGTTTCAAACCTGCTCTATAAAAGGGAATATTCAACTCTGTGACTTGAATGCAAACATCACAAAGCACTTTCTGAGAATGCTTCCGTCTAGATTTTATATGAAGATATTCCCGTTTCCAAGGAAATCTTCCTAGCTATCTAAATATCAACTTGCAGATTCTACTAAAGGAATGTTTCCAAAATGCTGTATCCACACAAAGGTTCAACTCTGTTAATTGAGGACATACAGCACAAAGAAGTTTCTGAGAATGCTTCTGTCTAGATTTTATATGAAGATATCCCGTGTCCAACGAAATCCTCAAAGGTATCAAAATATCCACTTGCAGATTCTACAAAAAGAGTGCTTCAAAACTGCTCTGTCAAAAGGAAGGTTCAACTCTGTTACTTGAGTACACACATCACAAGGAAGTTTCTGAGAATGCTTCTGTCTGGTTTTTAGGAGAAGATATTTCCTTTTTCAACATAGGCCTCAAAGCGCTGCAAATGTCCACTTCCAAATATTAGAAAAAGAGTGTTTCAAACCTGCTGTATGAAGGGAAGTGTTCAACTCTATGAGTTGAATGCAAACATCACAGAGAAGTTTCTGAGAATGCTTCTGTCTTGATTTCATATGAAGATATTCCCGTTTCCAACGAAACCTTCAAAGCTATCCAAATATCCACTTGCAGATTCTACAAAAAGAGTGTTTCCAAAATGTTGTATCAAAAGAAAGGTTCAACTCTGTTAGTTGAGGACACACATCGCAAATACGTTTCTGAGAATGCTTCTGTCTAGTTTTTATTTGAAGATATTTCCTTTCTCACCACAGGCCTGAAAGCGCTTAAAACGTCCGCTTGCAGATACTACAGAAAGAGTGTTTCAAACCTGCTCTATGAAAGGGAATGTTCAGTTCTGTGACTTGAATGCAAACATCACAAAGAAGTTCCTGAGAATGCTTCTCCCTAGATTTTATATGTAATCCCGTTTCCAACGAAATCCGCAAAGCTATCCAAATATCCACTTTCAGATTCCACAAAAAGAGTGTTTCAAAACTCCTCTGTAAAAAGAAAGGTTCATCTCTGTTAGTTGAATACACACATCACAAACAAGTTTCTGAGAATGCTTCTGTCTAGTTTTTATGGGAAGATATTACCTTTTTCATCATAGGCCTCAAAGCGCTGCAAATGTCCACTTCCAAATATTACAAAAAGAGTGTTTCAAACCTGCTGTATGAAGGGAAGTGTTCAACTCTATGAGTTGAATGCAAACATCACAGAGAAGTTTCTGAGAATGCTTCTGTCTTGATTTTATATGAAGATATTCCCGTTTCCAAAGAAACCTTCAAAGCTATCCAAATATCCACTTGCAGATTCTACAAAAAGAGTGTTTCCAAAATGTTGTATCAAAAGAAAGGTTCAACTCTGTTAGTTGAGGAAACACATCGCAAACAAGTTTCTGAGAATGCTTCTGTCTAGTTTTTATTTGAAGATATTTCCTTTCTCACCATAGGCCTGAAAGCGTTTGAAATGTCCGCTTGCAGATACTACAGAAAGAGTGTTTCAAACATGCTCTATGAAAGGGAATGTTCAGTTCTGTGACGTGAATGCAAACATCACAAAGAAGTTCCTGAGAATGCTTCTGTCTAGATTTCATATGAAGATATCCCGTGTCCAACGAAATCCTCAAAGGTATCAAAATATCCACTTGCAGATTCTACAAAAAGAGTGCTTCAAAACTGCTCTGTCAAAAGGAAGGTTCAACTCTGTTACTTGAGTACACACATCACAAGGAAGTTTCTGAGAATGCTTCTGTCTGGTTTTTAGGAGAAGATATTTCCTTTTTCAACATAGGCCTCAAAGCGCTGCAAATGTCCACTTCCAAATATTACAAAAAGAGTGTTTCAAACCTGCTGTATGAAGGGAAGTGTTCAACTCTATGAGTTGAATGCAAACATCACAGAGAAGTTTCTGAGAATGCTTCTGTCTTGATTTCATATGAAGATATTCCCGTTTCCAACGAAACCTTCAAAGCTATCCAAATATCCACTTGCAGATTCTACAAAAAGAGTGTTTCCAAAATGTTGTATCAAAAGAAAGGTTCAACTCTGTTAGTTGAGGACACACATCGCAAATAAGTTTCTGAGAATGCTTCTGTCTAGTTTTTATTTGAAGATATTTCCTTTCTCACCACAGGCCTGAAAGCGCTTAAAACGTCCGCTTGCAGATACTACAGAAAGAGTGTTTCAAACCTGCTCTATGAAAGGGAATGTTCAGTTCTGTGACTTGAATGCAAACATCACAAAGAAGTTCCTGAGAATGCTTCTCCCTAGATTTTATATGTAATCCCGTTTCCAACGAAATCCGCAAAGCTATCCAAATATCCACTTTCAGATTCCACAAAAAGAGTGTTTCAAAACTGCTCTGTAAAAAGAAAGGTTCATCTCTGTTAGTTGAATACACACATCACAAACAAGTTTCTGAGAATGCTTCTGTCTAGTTTTTATGGGAAGATATTACCTTTTTCATCATAGGCCTCAAAGCGCTGCAAATGTCCACTTCCAAATATTACAAAAAGAGTGTTTCAAACCTGCTGTATGAAGGGAAGTGTTCAACTCTATGAGTTGAATGCAAACATCACAGAGAAGTTTCTGAGAATGCTTCTGTCTTGATTTTATATGAAGATATTACCGTTTCCAACGAAACCTTCAAAGCTATTCAAATATCCACTTGCTGATTCTACAAAAAGAGTGTTTCCAAAATGTTGTATCAAAAGAAAGGTTCAACTCTGTTAGTTGAGGACACACATCGCAAATAAGTTTCTGAGAATGCTTCTGTCTAGTTTTTACTTGAAGATATTTCCTTTCTCACCATAGGCCTGAAAGCGTTTGAAATGTCCGTTTGCAGATACTACAGAAAGAGTGTTTCAAACATGCTCTATGAAAGGGAATGTTCAGTTCTGTGACGTGAATGCAAACATCACAAAGAAGTTCCTGAGAATGCTTCTCTCTAGATTTTATATGTAATCCCGTTTCCAACGAAATCCTCAAAGCTATCCAAATATCCACTTTCAGATTCCACAAAAAGAGTGTTTCAAAACTGCTCTGTAAAAAGAAAGGTTCATCTCTGTTAGTTGAATACACACATCACAAACAAGTTTCTGAGAATGCTTCTGTCTAGTTTTTATGGGAAGATATTTCCTTTTTCATCATAGGCCTCAAAGCACTCCAAATGTCCACTTCCAGATAGTGCAGAAAGAGTGTCTCAAACCTGGTATATAAAAGGGAACATTCTACTCTGTGACTTCAATGAAAACATCACAAAGCAGTTTCTGAGAATGCTTCCGTCTAGATTTTATATGAAGATATTCCCGTTTCCAACGAAACCTTCAAAGCTATCCGAATATCCACCTGCAGATTCTACAAAAAGAGTGTTTCCAAAATGCCGTATCAAAACAAAGGTTCAACTCTGTTAGTTGAGAACACACATGGCAAATAAGTTTTCTGAGAATGCTTTCTGTCTAGTTTTTACTTGAAGATATTTCCTTTCTCACCATAGGCCTGAAAGCACTTGAAACGTCAGCTTGCAGATACTACAGAAAGAGTGTTTCAAACCTGCTCTATGAAAGGGAATGTTCAGTTCTGTGACTTGAATGCAAACATCACAAAGAAGTTCCTGAGAATGCTTCTCTCTAGGTTTTATATGTAATCCCGTTTCCAACGAAATCCTCAAAGCTATCCAAATATCCACTTTCAGATTCCACAAAAAGAGTGTTTCAAAACTGCTCTGTAAAAAGAAAGGTTCATCTCTGTTAGTTGAATACACACATCACAAACAAGTTTCTGAGAATGCTTCTGTCTAGTTTTTATGGGAAGATATTTCCTTTTTCAACATACGCCTCAAAGCGCTCCAAACGTCCACTTCCAGGTAGTGCAGAAAGAGTGTCTCAAACCTGGTATATAACAGGGAACATTCTACTCTGTGACTTGAATGAAAACATCACAAAGCAGTTTCTGAGAATGCTTCTGTCTTGATTTCATATGAAGATATTCCCGTTTCCAACGAAACCTTCAAAGTTATCCAAATATCCACTTGCAAATTCTACAAAAAGAGTGTTTCCAAAATGTTGTATCAAAAGAAAGGTTCAACTCTGTTAGTTGAGGACACACATCGCAAATAAGTTTCTGAGAATGCTTCTGTCTAGTTTTTATTTGAAGATATTTCCTTTCTCACCACAGGCCTGAAAGCGCTTAAAACGTCCGCTTGCAGATACTACAGAAAGAGTGTTTCAAACCTGCTCTATGAAAGGGAATGTTCAGTTCTGTGACTTGAATGCAAACATCACAAAAAAGTTCCTGAGAATGCTTCTCTCTAGGTTTTATATGTAATCCCGTTTCCAACGAAATCCTCAAAGCTATCCAAATATCCACTTTCAGATTCCACAAAAAGAGTGTTTCAAAACTGCTCTGTAAAAAGAAAGGTTCATCTCTGTTAGTTGAATACACACATCACAAACAAGTTTCTGAGAATGCTTCTGTCTAGTTTTTATGGGAAGATATTTCGTTTTTCAACATAGGCCTCAAAGCGCTCCAAATGTCCACTTCCAGGTAGTGCAGAAAGAGTGTTTCAAACCTGCTCTATAAAAGGGAACATTCTACTCTGTGACTTGAATGAAGACATCACAAAGCACTTTCTGAGAATGCTTCCGTCTAGATTTTATATGAAGATATTCCCGTTTCCAAGGAAATCTTCCTAGCTATCTAAATATCAACTTGCAGATTCTACTAAAGGAATGTTTCCAAAATGCTGTATCCACACAAAGGTTCAACTCTGTTAATTGAGGACATACAGCACAAAGAAGTTTCTGAGAATGCTTCTGTCTAGTTTTTATTTGAAGATATTTCCTTTCTCACCACAGGCTTGAAAGCGCTTAAAACGTCCGCTTGCAGATACTACAGAAAGAGTGTTTCAAACATGCTCTATGAAAGGGAATGTTCAGTTCTGTGACGTGAATGCAAACATCACAAAGAAGTTCCTGAGAATGCTTCTCTCTAGATTTTATATGTAATCCCGTTTCCAACGAAATCCTCAAAGCTATCCAAATATCCACTTTCAGATTCCACAAAAAGAGTGTTTCAAAACTGCTCTGTAAAAAGAAAGGTTCATCTCTGTTAGTTGAATACACACATCACAAACAAGTTTCTGAGAATGCTTCTGTCTAGTTTTTATGGGAAGATATTTCCTTTTTCATCATAGGCCTCAAAGCGCTGCAAATGTCCACTTCCAGGTAGTGCAGAAAGAGTGTCTGAAACTTGGTATATAACAGGGAAGATTCTACTCTGTGACTTGAATGAAAACATCACAAAGCACTTTCTGAGAATGCTTCCGTCTAGATTTTATATGAAGATATTCCCGTTTCCAACGAAACCTTCAAAGCTATCCGAATATCCACCTGCAGATTCTACAAAAAGAGTGTTTCCAAAATGCCATATCAAAACAAAGGTTCAACTCTGTTAGTTGAGAACACACATCGCAAATAAGTTTCTGAGAATGCTTCTGTCTAGTTTTTACTTGAAGATATTTCCTTTCTCACCATAGGCCTGAAAGCGCTTGAAACGTCAGCTTGCAGATACTACAGAAAGAGTGTTTCAAACCTGCTCTATGAAAGGGAATGTTCAGTTCTGTGACTTGAATGCAAACATCACAAAGAAGTTCCTGAGAATGCTTCTCTCTAGGTTTTATATGTAATCCCGTTTCCAACAAAATCCTCAAAGCTATCCAAATATCCACTTTCAGAATCCACAAAAAGAGTGTTTCAAAACTGCTCTGTAAAAAGAAAGGTTCATCTCTGTTAGTTGAATACACACATCACAAACAAATTTCTGAGAATGCTTCTGTCTAGTTTTTATGGGAAGATATTTCCTTTTTCAACATAGGCCTCAAAGCGCTCCAAATGTCCACTTCCAGGTAGTGCAGAAAGAGTGTTTCAAACCTGCTCTATAAAAGGGAATATTCAACTCTGTGACTTGAATGCAAACATCACAAAGCACTTTCTGAGAATGCTTCTGTCTAGATTTTATATGAAGATATCCCGTTTCCAAAGAAATCCTCAAATGTGTCCAAATATCTACTTCCAGATTCTACAAAAAGACTGTTTCAAAACGGCTCTGTCAAAAGTAAGGTTCAACTCTGTTACTTGAGTACACACATCACAAGGTAAGTTTCTGAGAATGCTTCTGTCTAGATTTTATATGAAGATATCCCGTGTCCAACGAAATCCTCAAAGGTATCAAAATATCCACTTGCAGATTCTACAAAAAGAGTGCTTCAAAACTGCTCTGTCAAAAGGAAGGTTCAACTCTGTTACTTGAGTACACACATCACAAGGAAGTTTCTGAGAATGCTTCTGTCTGGTTTTTAGGAGAAGATATATCCTTTTTCAACATAGGCCTCAAAGCGCTGAAAATGTCCACTTCCAAATATTAGAAAAAGAGTGTTTCAAACCTGCTGTATGAAGGGAAGTGTTCAACTCTATGAGTTGAATGCAAACATCACAGAGAAGTTTCTGAGAATGCTTCTGTCTTGATTTCATATGAAGATATTCCCGTTTCCAACGAAACCTTCAAAGCTATCCAAATATCCACTTGCAGATTCTACAAAAAGAGTGTTTCCAAAATGTTGTATCAAAAGAAAGGTTCAACTCTGTTAGTTGAGGACACACATCGCAAATAAGTTTCTGAGAATGCTTCTGTCTAGTTTTTATTTGAAGATATTTCCTTTTTCACCACAGGCCTGAAAGCGCTTCAAACGTCCGCTTGCAGATACTACAGAAAGAGTGTTTCAAACCTGCTCTATGAAAGGGAATGTTCAGTTCTGTGACTTGAATGCAAACATCACAAAGAAGTTCCTGAGAATGCTTCTCCCTAGATTTTATATGTAATCCCGTTTCCAACGAAATCCTCAAAGCTATCCAAATATCCACTTTCGGATTCCACAAAAAGAGTGTTTCAAAACTACTCTGTAAAAAGAAAGGTTCATCTCTGTTAGTTGAATACACACATCACAAACAAGTTTCTGAGAATGCTTCTGTCTAGTTTTTATGGGAAGATATTTCCTTTTTCAACATAGGCCTCAAAGCGCTCCAAATGTCCACTTCCAGGTAGTGCAAAAAGAGTGTTTCAAACCTGCTCTATAAAAGGGAATATTCAACTCTGTGACTTGAATGCAAACATCACAAAGCACTTTCTGAGAATGCTTCTGTCTTGATTTTATATGAAGATATTCCCGTTTCCAACGAAACCTTCAAAGCTATCCAAATATCCACTTGCAGATTCTACAAAAAGAGTGTTTCCAAAATGTTGTATCAAAACAAAGGTTCAACTCTGTTAGTTGAGGACACACATCGCAAATAAGTTTCTGAGAATGCTTCTGTCTAGTTTTTACTTGAAGATATTTCCTTTCTTACCATAGGCCTGAAAGCGCTTGAAATGTCCGTTTGCAGATACTACAGAAAGAGTGTTTCAAACATGCTCTATGAAAGGGAATGTTCAGTTCTGTGACGTGAATGCAAACATCACAAAGAAGTTCCTGAGAATGCTTCTCTCTAGATTTTGTATGTAATCCCGTTTCCAACGAAATCCTCAAAGCTATCCAAATATCCACTTTCAGATTCCACAAAAAGAGTGTTTCAAAACTGCTCTGTAAAAAGAAAGGTTCATCTCTGTTAGTTGAATACACACATCACAAACAAGTTTCTGAGAATGCTTCTGTCTAGTTTTTATGGGAAGATATTTCCTTTTTCAACATAAGCCTCAAAGCGCTCCAAATGTCCACTTCCAGATAGTGCAGAAAGAGTGTCTCAAACCTGGTATATAAAAGGGAACATTCTACACTGTGACTTGAATGAAAACATCACAAAGCACTTTCTGAGAATGCTTCCGTCTAGATTTTATATGAAGATATTCCCGTTTCCAACGAAACCTTCAAAGCTATCCGAATATCCACCTGCAGATTCTACAAAAAGAGTGTTTCCAAAATGCCGTATCAAAACAAAGGTTCAACTCTGTTAGTTGAGAACACACATGGCAAATAAGTTTCTGAGAATGCTTCTGTCTAGTTTTTACTTGAAGATATTTCCTTTCTCACCATAGGCCTGAAAGCGCTTGAAACGTCCGCTTGCAGATACTACAGAAAGAGTGTTTCAAACATGCTCTATGAAAGGGAATGTTCAGTTCTGTGACTTGAATGCAAACATCACAAAGAAGTTCCTGAGAATGCTTCTCTCTAGATTTTATATGTAATCCCGTTTCCAACGAAATCCTCAAAGCTATCCAAATATCCACTTTCAGATTCCACAAAAAGAGTGTTTCAAAACTGCTCTGTAAAAAGAAAGGTTCATCTCTGTTAGTTGAATACACACATCACAAACAAGTTTCTGAGAATGCTTCTGTCTAGTTTTTATGGGAAGATATTTCCTTTTTCATCATAGGCCTCAAAGCGCTCCAAATGTCCACTTCCAGATAGTGCAGAAAGAGTGTCTCAAACCTGGTATATAAAAGGGAACATTCTACTCTGTGGCTTGAATGAAAACATCACAAAGCAGTTTCTGAGAATGCTTCCGTCTAGATTTTATATGAAGATATTCCCGTTTCCAACGAAACTTTCAAAGCTATCCGAATATCCACCTGCAGATTCTACAAAAAGAGTGTTTCCAAAATGCCGTATCAAAACAAAGGTTCAACTCTGTTAGTTGAGAACACACATGGCAAATAAGTTTCTGAGAATGCTTCTGTCTAGTTTTTATTTGAAGATATTTCCTTTCTCACCATAGGCCTGAAAGCGTTTGAAATGTCCGTTTGCAGATACTACAGAAAGAGTGTTTCAAACATGCTCTATGAAAGGGAATGTTCAGTTCAGTGACGTGAATGCAAACATCACAAAGATGTTCCTGAGAATGCTTCTCTCTAGATTTTATATGTAATCCCGTTTCCAACGAAATCCTCAAAGCTATCCAAATATCCACTTTCAGATTCCACAAAAAGAGTGTTTCAAAACTGCTCTGTAAAAAGAAAGGTTCATCTCTGTTAGTTGAATACACACATCACAAACAAGTTTCTGAGAATGCTTCTGTCTAGTTTTCATGGGAAGATATTTCCTTTTTCAACATACGCCTCAAAGCGCTCCAAACGTCCACTTCCAGGTAGTGCAGAAAGAGTGTCTCAAACCTGGTATATAACAGGGAACATTCTACTCTGTGACTTGAATGAAAACATCACAAAGCAGTTTCTGAGAATGCTTCCGTCTACATTTTATATGAAGATATTCCCGTTTCCAACGAAACCTTCAAAGCTATCCGAATATCCACCTGCAGATTCTACAAAAAGAGGGTTTCCAAAATGCCGTATCAAAACAAAGGTTCAACTCTGTTAGTTGAGAACACACATGGCAAATAAGTTTCTGAGAATGCTTCTGTCTAGTTTTTACTTGAAGATATTTCCTTTCTCACCATAGGCCTGAAAGCGCTTGAAACGTCAGCTTGCAGATACTACAGAAAGAGTGTTTCAAACCTGCTCTATGAAAGGGAATGTTCAGTTCTGTGACTTGAATGCAAACATCACAAAGAAGTTCCTGAGAATGCTTCTCTCTAGGTTTTATATGTAATCCCGTTTCCAACGAAATCCTCAAAGCTATCCAAATATCCACTTTCAGATTCCACAAAAAGAGTGTTTCAAAACTGCTCTGTAAAAAGAAAGGTTCATCTCTGTTAGTTGAATACACACATCACAAACAAGTTTCTGAGAATGCTTCTGTCTAATTTTTATGGGAAGATATTTCCTTTTTCAACATACGCCTCAAAGCGCTCCAAACGTCCACTTCCAGGTAGTGCAGAAAGAGTGTCTCAAACCTGGTATATAACAGGGAACATTCTACTCTGTGACTTGAATGAAAACATCACAAAGCAGTTTCTGAGAATGCTTCCGTCTAGATTTTATATGAAGATATTCCCGTTTCCAACGAAACCTTCAAAGCTATCCGAATATCCACCTGCAGATTCTACAAAAAGAGTGTTTCCAAAATGCCGTATCAAAACAAAGGTTCAACTCTGTTAGTTGAGAACACACATGGCAAATAAGTTTCTGAGAATGCTTCTGTCTAGTTTTTACTTGAAGATATTTCCTTTCTCACCATAGGCCTGAAAGTGCTTGAAACGTCCGCTTGCAGATACTACAGAAAGAGTGTTTCAAACCTGCTCTATGAAAGGGAATGTTCAGTTCTGTGACTTGAATGCAAACATCACAAAGAAGTTCCTGAGAATGCTTCTCTCTAGGTTTTATATGTAATCCCGTTTCCAACGAAATCCTCAAAGCTATCCAAATATCCACTTTCAGATTCCACAAAAAGAGTGTTTCAAAACTGCTCTGTAAAAAGAAAGGTTCATCTCTGTTAGTTGAATACACACATCACAAACAAGTTTCTGAGAATGCTTCTGTCTAGTTTTTATGGGAAGATATTTCCTTTTTCAACATAGGCCTCAAAGCGCTCCAAATGTCCACTTCCAGGTAGTGCAGAAAGAGTGTTTCAAACCTGCTCTATAAAAGGGAACATTCAACTCTGTGACTTGAATGCAAACATCACAAAGCACTTTCTGAGAATGCTTCTGTCTTGATTTTATAAGAAGATATTCCCGTTTCCAACGAAACCTTCAAAGCTATTCAAATATCCACTTACAGATTCTACAAAAAGAGTGTTTCCAAAATGTTATATCAAAAGAAAGGTTCAACTCTGTTAGTTGAGGACACACATCGCAAATAAGTTTCTGAGAATGCTTCTGTCTAGTTTTTACTTGAAGATATTTCCTTTCTCACCATAGGCCTGAAAGCGCTTGAAACGTCAGCTTGCAGATACTACAGAAAGAGTGTTTCAAACCTGCTCTATGAAAGGGAATGTTCAGTTCTGTGACTTGAATGCAAACATCACAAAGAAGTTCCTGAGAATGCTTCTCTCTAGGTTTTATATGTAATCCCGTTTCCAACGAAATCCTCAAAGCTATCCAAATATCCACTTTCAGATTCCACAAAAAGAGTGTTTCAAAACTGCTCTGTAAAAAGAAAGGTTCATCTCTGTTAGTTGAATACACACATCACAAACAAGTTTCTGAGAATGCTTCTGTCTAGTTTTTATGGGAAGATATTTCCTTTTTCAACATAGGCCTCAAAGCGCTCCAAATGTCCACTTCCAGGTAGTGCAGAAAGAGTGTTTCAAACCTGCTCTATAAAAGGGAATATTCAACTCTGTGACTTGAATGCAAACATCACAAAGCACTTTCTGAGAATGCTTCCGTCTAGATTTTATATGAAGATATTCCCGTTTCCAAGGAAATCTTCCTAGCTATCTAAATATCAACTTGCAGATTCTACTAAAGGAATGTTTCCAAAATGCTGTATGCACACAAAGGTTCAACTCTGTTAATTGAGGACATACAGCACAAAGAAGTTTCTGAGAATGCTTCTGTCTAGATTTTATATGAAGATATCCCGTGTCCAACGAAATCCTCAAAGGTATCAAAATATCCACTTGCAGATTCTACAAAAAGAGTGCTTCAAAACTGCTCTGTCAAAAGGAAGGTTCAACTCTGTTACTTGAGTACACACATCACAAGGAAGTTTCTGAGAATGCTTCTGTCTGGTTTTTAGGAGAAGATATTTCCTTTTTCATCATAGGCCTCAAAGCGCTGCAAATGTCCACTTCCAAATATTAGAAAAAGAGTGTTTCAAACCTGCTGTATGAAGGGAAGTGTTCAACTCTATGAGTTGAATGCAAACATCACAGAGAAGTTTCTGAGAATGCTTCTGTCTTGATTTTATATGAAGATATTCCCGTTTCCAACGAAACCTTCAAAGCTATTCAAATATCCACTTGCAGATTCTACAAAAAGAGTGTTTCCAAAATGTTGTATCAAAAGAAAGGTTCAACTCTGTTAGTTGAGGACACACATCGCAAATAAGTTTCTGAGAATGCTTCTGTCTAGTTTTTATTTGAAGATATTTCCTTTCTCACCATAGGCCTGAAAGCGTTTGAAATGTCCGTTTGCAGATACTACAGAAAGAGTGTTTCAAACATGCTCTATGAAAGGGAATGTTCAGTTCTGTGACGTGAATGCAAACATCACAAAGAAGTTCCTGAGAATGCTTCTGTCTAGATTTTATATGAAGATATCCCGTGTCCAACGAAATCCTCAATGGTATCAAAATATCCACTTGCAGATTCTACAAAAAGAGTGCTTCAAAACTGCTCTGTCAAAAGGAAGGTTCAACTCTGTTACTTGAGTACACACATCACAAGGAAGTTTCTGAGAATGCTTCTGTCTGGTTTTTAGGAGAAGATATTTCCTTTTTCAACATAGGCCTCAAAGCGCTGCAAATGTCCACTTCCAAATATTAGAAAAAGAGTGTTTCAAACCTGCTGTATGAAGAGAAGTGTTCAACTCTATGAGTTGAATGCAAACATCACAGAGAAGTTTCTGAGAATGCTTCTGTCTTGATTTCATATGAAGATATTCCCGTTTCCAACGAAACCTTCAAAGCTATCCAAATATCCACTTGCAGATTCTACAAAAAGAGTGTTTCCAAAATGTTGTATCAAAAGAAAGGTTCAACTCTGTTAGTTGAGGACACACATCGCAAATAAGTTTCTGAGAATGCTTCTGTCTAGTTTTTATTTGAAGATATTTCCTTTCTCACCACAGGCCTGAAAGCGCTTAAAACGTCCGCTTGCAGATACTACAGAAAGAGTGTTTCAAACCTGCTCTATGAAAGGGAATGTTCAGTTCTGTGACGTGAATGCAAACATCACAAAGAAGTTCCTGAGAATGCTTCTGTCTAGATTTTATATGAAGATATCCCGTATCCAACGAAATCCTCAAAGGTATCAAAATATCCACTTGCAGATTCTACAAAAAGAGTGCTTCAAAACTGCTCTGTCAAAAGGAAGGTTCAACTCTGTTACTTGAGTACACACATCACAAGGAAGTGTCTGAGAATGCTTCTGTCTAGTTTTTATGGGAAGATATTTCCTTTTTCAACATAGGCCTCAAAGCGCTCCAAACGTCCACTTCCAGGTAGTGCAGAAAGAGTGTCTCAAACCTGGTATATAACAGGGAACACTCCACTCTGTGACTTGAATGAAAACATCACAAAGCACTTTCTGAGAATGCTTCCGTCTAGATTTTATATGAAGATATTCCCGTTTCCAACGAAACCTTCAAAGCTATCCGAATATCCACCTGCAGATACTACAAAAAGAGTGTTTCCAAAATGCCGTATCAAAACAAAGGTTCAACTCTGTTAGTTGAGAACACACATGGCAAATAAGTTTCTGAGAATGCTTCTGTCTAGTTTTTACTTGAAGATATTTCCTTTCTCACCATAGGCCTGAAAGCGCTTGAAACGTCAGCTTGCAGATACTACAGAAAGAGTGTTTCAAACCTGCTCTATGAAAGGGAATGTTCAGTCCTGTGACTTGAAGGCAAACATCACAAAGAAGTTCCTGAGAATGCTTCTCTCTAGGTTTTATATGTAATCCCGTTTCCAACGAAATCCTCAAAGCTATCCAAATATCCACTTTCAGATTCCACAAAAAGAGTGTTTCAAAACTGCTCTGTAAAAAGAAAGGTTCATCTCTGTTAGTTGAATACACACATCACAAACAAGTTTCTGAGAATGCTTCTGTCTAGTTTTTATGGGAAGATATTTCCTTTTTCAACATAGGCCTCAAAGCGCTCCAAATGTCCACTTCCAGGTAGTGCAGAAAGAGTGTTTCAAACCTGCTCTATAAAAGGGAATATTCAACTCTGTGACTTGAATGCAAACATCACAAAGCACTTTCTGCGAATGCTTCCGTCTAGATTTTATATGAAGATATTCCCGTTTCCAAGGAAATCTTCCTAGCTATCTAAATATCAACTTGCAGATTCTACTAAAGGAATGTTTCCAAAATGCTGTATCCACACAAAGGTTCAACTCTGTTAATTGAGGACATACAGCACAAAGAAGTTTCTGAGAATGCTTCTGTCTAGATTTTATATGAAGATATCCCGTGTCTAACGAAATCCTCAAAGGTATCAAAATATCCACTTGCAGATTCTACAAAAAGAGTGCTTCAAAACGGCTCTGTCAAAAGGAAGGTTCAACTCTGTTACTTGAGTACACACATCACAAGGAAGTTTCTGAGAATGCTTCTGTCTGGTTTTTAGGAGAAGATATTTCCTTTTTCAACATAGGCCTCAAAGCGCTGCAAATGTCCACTTCCAAATATTAGAAAAAGAGTGTTTCAAACCTGCTGTATGAAGGGAAGTGTTCAACTCTATGAGTTGAATGCAAACATCACAGAGAAGTTTCTGAGAATGCTTCTGTCTTGATTTCATATGAAGATATTCCCGTTTCCAACGAAACCTTCAAAGTTATCCAAATATCCACTTGCAGATTCTACAAAAAGAGTGTTTCCAAAATGTTGTATCAAAAGAAAGGTTCAACTCTGTTAGTTGAGGACACACATCGCAAATAAGTTTCTGAGAATGCTTCTGTCTAGTTTTTATTTGAAGATATTTCCTTTCTCACCACAGGCCTGAAAGCGCTTAAAACGTCCGCTTGCAGATACTACAGAAAGAGTGTTTCAAACCTGCTCTATGAAAGGGAATGTTCAGTTCTGTGACTTGAATGCAAACATCACAAAGAAGTTCCTGAGAATGCTTCTCCCTAGATTTTATATGTAATCCCGTTTCCAACGAAATCCGCAAAGCTATCCAAATATCCACTTTCAGATTCCACAAAAAGAGTGTTTCAAAACTGCTCTGTAAAAAGAAAGGTTCATCTCTGTTAGTTGAATACACACATCACAAACAAGTTTCTGAGAATGCTTCTGTCTAGTTTTTATGAGAAGATATTACCTTTTTCATCATAGGCCTCAAAACGCTGCAAATGTCCACTTCCAAATATTACAAAAAGAGTGTTTCAAACCTGCTGTATGAAGGGAAGTGTTCAACTCTATGAGTTGAATGCAAACATCACAGAGAAGTTTCTGAGAATGTTTCTGTCTTGATTTTATATGAAGATATTCCCGTTTCCAACGAAACCTTCAAAGCTATTCAAATATCCACTTGCAGATTCTACAAAAAGAGTGTTTCCAAAATGTTGTATCAAAAGAAAGGTTCAACTCTGTTAGTTGAGGACACACATCGCAAATAAGTTTCTGAGAATGCTTCTGTCTAGTTTTTATTTGAAGATATTTCCTTTCTCACCATAGGCCTGAAAGCGTTTGAAATGTCCGTTTGCAGATACTACAGAAAGAGTGTTTCAAACATGCTCTATGAAAGGGAATGTTCAGTTCTGTGACGTGAATGCAAACATCACAAAGAAGTTCCTGAGAATGCTTCTCTCTAGATTTTATATGTAATCCCGTTTCCAACGAAATCCTCAAAGCTATCCAAATATCCACTTTCAGATTCCACAAAAAGAGTGTTTCAAAACTGCTCTGTAAAAAGAAAGGTTCATCTCTGTTAGTTGAATACACACATCACAAACAAGTTTCTGAGAATGCTTCTGTCTAGTTTTTATGGGAAGATATTTCCTTTTTCATCATAGGCCTCAAAGCGCTGCAAATGTCCACTTCCAGGTAGTGCAGAAAGAGTGTCTGAAACCTGGTATATAACAGGGAACATTCTACTCTGTGACTTGAATGAAAACATCACAAAGCAGTTTCTGAGAATGCTTCCGTCTAGATTTTATATGAAGATATTCCCGTTTCCAACGAAACCTTCAAAGCTATCCGAATATCCACCTGCAGATTCTACAAAAAGAGTGTTTCCAAAATGCCATATCAAAACAAAGGTTCAACTCTGTTAGTTGAGAACACACATCGCAAATAAGTTTCTGAGAATGCTTCTGTCTAGTTTTTACTTGAAGATATTTCCTTTCTCACCATAGGCCTGAAAGCGCTTGAAACGTCAGCTTGCAGATACTACAGAAAGAGTGTTTCAAACCTGCTCTATGAAAGGGAATGTTCAGTTCTGTGACTTGAATGCAAACATCACAAAGAAGTTCCTGAGAATGCTTCTCTCTAGGTTTTATATGTAATCCCGTTTCCAACGAAATCCTCAAAGCTATCCAAATATCCACTTTCAGATTCCACAAAAAGAGTGTTTCAAAACTGCTCTGTAAAAAGAAAGGTTCATCTCTGTTAGTTGAATACACACATCACAAACAAGTTTCTGAGAATGCTTCTGTCTAGTTTTTATGGGAAGATATTTCCTTTTTCAACATAGGCCTCAAAGCGCTCCAAACGTCCACTTCCAGGTAGTGCAGAAAGAGTGTCTCAAACCTGGTGTATAACAGGGAACATTCTACTCTGTGACTTGAATGAAAACATCACAAAGCAGTTTCTGAGAATGCTTCCGTCTAGATTTTATATGAAGATATTCCCGTTTCCAACGAAACCTTCAAAGCTATCCGAATATCCACCTGCAGATTCTACAAAAAGAGTGTTTCCAAAATGCCGTATCAAAACAAAGGTTCAACTCTGTTAGTTGAGAACACACATGGCAAATAAGTTTCTGAGAATGCTTCTGTCTAGTTTTTACTTGAAGATATTTCCTTTCTCACCATAGGCCTGAAAACGCATGAAACGTCAGCTTGCAGATACTACAGAAAGAGTGTTTCAAACCTGCTCTATGAAAGGGAACGTTCAGTCCTGTGACTTGAATGCGAACATCACAAAGAAGTTCCTGAGAATGCTTCTCTCTAGGTTTTATATGTAATCCCGTTTCCAACGAAATCCTCAAAGCTATCCAAATATCCACTTTCAGATTCCACAAAAAGAGTGTTTCAAAACTGCTCTGTAAAAAGAAAGGTTCATCTCTGTTAGTTGAATACACACATCACAAACAAGTTTCTGAGAATGCTTCTGTCTAGTTTTTATGGGAAGATATTACCTTTTTCATCATAGGCCTCAAAGCGCTGCAAATGTCCACTTCCAAATATTACAAAAAGAGTGTTTCAAACCTGCTGTATGAAGGGAAGTGTTCAACTCTATGAGTTGAATGCAAACATCACAGAGAAGTTTCTGAGAATGCTTCCGGCTAGATTTTATATGAAGATATTCCCTTTTCCAAGGAAATCTTCCTAGCTATCTAAATATCAACTTGCAGATTCTACTAAAGGAATGTTTCCAAAATGCTGTATCCACACAAAGGTTCAACTCTGTTCATTGAGGACATACAGCACAAAGAAGTTTCTGAGAATGCTTCTGTCTAGATTTTATATGAAGATATCCCGTTTCCAAAGAAATCCTCAAAGGTATCCAAATATCTACTTCCAGATTCTACAAAAAGACTGTTTCAAAACGGCTCTGTCAAAAGGAAGGTTCAACTCTGTTACTTGAGTACACACATCACAAGGAAGTTTCTGAGAATGCTTCTGTCTGGTTTTTAGGAGAAGATATTTCCTTTTTCAACATAGGCCTCAAAGCGCTGCAAATGTCCACTTCCAAATATTACAAAAAGAGTGTTTCAAACCTGCTCTATGAAGGGAAGTGTTCACCTCTATGAGTTGAATGCAAACATCACAGAGAAGTTTCTGAGAATGCTTCTGTCTTGATTTTATATGAAGATATTCCCGTTTCCAACGAAACCTTCAAAGCTATCCGAATATCCACCTGCAGATTCTACAAAAAGAGTGTTTCCAAAATGTTGTATCAATAGAAAGGTTCAACTCTGTTAGTTGAGGACACACATCACAAATAAGTTTCTGAGAATGCTTCTGTCTGGTTTTTATTTGAAGATATTTCCTTTCTCACCATAGGCCTGAAAGCGCTTGGAATGTCCGTTTGCAGATACTACAGAAACAGTGTTTCAAACCTGCTCTATGAAAGGGAATGTTCAGTTCTGTGACTTGAATGCAAACATCACAAAGAAGTTCCTGAGAATGCTTCTCCCTAGATTTTATATGTAATCCCGTTTCCAACGAAATCCTCAAAGCTATCCAAATATCCACTTTCAGATTCCACAAAAAGAGTGTTTCAAAACTGCTCTGTAAAAAGAAAGGTTCATATCTGTTAGTTGAATACACACATCACAAACAAGTTTCTGAGAATGCTTCTGTCTAGTTTTTATGGGAAGATATTTCCTTTTTCAACATAGGCCTCAAAGCGCTCGAAATGTCCACTTCCAGGTAGTGCACAGAGTGTTTCAAACCGGCTCTATGAAAGGAAGTCTTCAACTCTATGAGTTGAATGCAAACATCACAGAGAAGTTTCTGAGAATGCTTCTGTCTTGATTTTATATGAAGATATTCCCGTTTCCAACGAAACCTTAAAAGCTATCCAAATATCCACCTGTAGATCCTACAAAAAGAGTGTTTCCAAAATGCTGTATCAAAACAAAGGTTCAACTCTGTTAGTTGAGAACACACATGGCAAATAAGTTTCTGAGAATGCTTCTGTCTAGTTTTTACTTGAAGATATTTCCTTTCTCACCATAGGCCTGAAAGCGCTTGAAACGTCAGCTTGCAGATACTACAGAAAGAGTGTTTCAAACCTGCTCTATGAAAGGGAATGTTCAGTTCTGTGACTTGAATGCAAACATCACAAAGAAGTTCCTGAGAATGCTTCTCTCTAGGTTTTATCTGTAATCCCGTTTCCAACGAAATCCTCAAAGCTATCCAAATATCCACTTTCAGATTCCACAAAAAGAGTGTTTCAAAACTGCTCTGTAAAAGGAAAGGTTCATCTCTGTTAGTTGAATACACACATCACAAACAAGTTTCTGAGAATGCTTCTGTCTAGTTTTTATGGGAAGATATTTCCTTTTTCAACATTGGCCTCAAAGCGCTCCAAACGTCCACTTCCGGGTAGTGCAGAAAGAGTGTCTCAAACCTGGTATATAACAGGGAACATTCAACTCTGTGACTTGAATGAAAACATCACAAAGCAGTTTCTGAGAATGCTTCCGTCTAGATTTTATATGAAGATATTCCCGTTTCCAACGAAACCTTCAAAGCTATCCGAATATCCACCTGCAGATTCTACAAAAAGAGTGTTTCCAAAATGCCGTATCAAAACAAAGGTTCAACTCTGTTAGTTGAGAACACACATGGCAAATAAGTTTCTGAGAATGCTTCTGTCTAGTTTTTACTTGAAGATATTTCCTTTCTCACCATAGGCCTGAAAGCGCTTGAAACGTCAGCTTGCAGATACTACAGAAAGAGTGTTTCAAACCTGCTCTATGAAAGGGAATGTTCAGTCCTGTGACTTGAAGGCAAACATCACAAAGAAGTTCCTGAGAATGCTTCTCTCTAGGTTTTATATGTAATCCCGTTTCCAACGAAATCCTCAAAGCTATCCAAATATCCACTTTCAGATTCCACAAAAAGAGTGTTTCAAAACTGCTCTGTAAAAAGAAAGGTTCATCTCTGTTAGTTGAATACACACATCACAAACAAGTTTCTGAGAATGCTTCTGTCTAGTTTTTATGGGAAGATATTTCCTTTTTCAACATAGGCCTCAAAGCGCTCCAAATGTCCACTTCCAGGTAGTGCAGAAAGAGTGTTTCAAACCTGCTCTATAAAAGGGAATATTCAACTCTGTGACTTGAATGCAAACATCACAAAGCACTTTCTGAGAATGCTTCCGTCTAGATTTTATATGAAGATATTCCCGTTTCCAAGGAAATCTTCCTAGCTATCTAAATATCAACTTGCAGATTCTACTAAAGGAATGTTTCCAAAATGCTGTATCCACACAAAGGTTCAACTCTGTTAATTGAGGACATACAGCACAAAGAAGTTTCTGAGAATGTTTCTGTCTAGATTTTATATGAAGATATCCCGTGTCCAACGAAATCCTCAAAGGTATCAAAATATCCACTTGCAGATTCTACAAAAAGAGTGCTTCAAAACTGCTCTGTCAAAAGGAAGGTTCAACTCTGTTACTTGAGTACACACATCACAAGGAAGTTTCTGAGAATGCTTCTGTCTGGTTTTTAGGAGAAGATATTTCCTTTTTCAACATAGGCCTCAAAGCGCTGCAAATGTCCACTTCCAAATATTACAAAAAGAGTGTTTCAAACCTGCTGTATGAAGGGAAGTGTTCAACTCTATGAGTTGAATGCAAACATCACAGAGAAGTTTCTGAGAATGCTTCTGTCTTGATTTCATATGAAGATATTCCCGTTTCCAACGAAACCTTCAAAGCTATCCAAATATCCACTTGCAGATTCTACAAAAAGAGTGTTTCCAAAATGTTGTATCAAAAGAAAGGTTCAACTCTGTTAGTTGAGGACACACATCGCAAATAAGTTTCTGAGAATGCTTCTGTCTAGTTTTTATTTGAAGATATTTCCTTTCTCACCACAGGCCTGAAAGCGCTTAAAACGTCCGCTTGCAGATACTACAGAAAGAGTGTTTCAAACCTGCTCTATGAAAGGGAATGTTCAGTTCTGTGACTTGAATGCAAACATCACAAAGAAGTTCTTGAGAATGCTTCTCTCTAGATTTTTTATGTAATCCCGTTTCCAAAGAAATCCGCAAAGCTATCCAAATATCCACTTTCAGATTCCACAAAAAGAGTGTTTCAAAACTGCTCTGTAAAAAGAAAGGTTCATCTCTGTTAGTTGAATACACACATCACAAACAAGTTTCTGAGAATGCTTCTGTCTAGTTTTTATGGGAAGATATTACCTTTTTCGTCATAGGCCTCAAAGCGCTGCAAATGTCCACTTCCAAATATTACAAAAAGAGTGTTTCAAACCTGCTGTATGAAGGGAAGTGTTCAACTCTATGAGTTGAATGCAAACATCACAGAGAAGTTTCTGAGAATGCTTCTGTGTTGATTTTATATGAAGATATTCCCGTTTCCAACGAAACCTTCAAAGCTATGCAAATATCCACCTGCAGATCCTACAAAAAGAGTGTTTCCAAAATGCTGTATCAAAACAAAGGTTCAACTCTGTTAGTTGAGAACACACATCGCAAATAAGTTTCCGAGAATGCTTCTGTCTAGTTTTTACTTGAAGATATTTCCTTTCTCACCATAGGCCTGAAAGCGTATGAAATGTCCGTTTGCAGATACTACAGAAAGAGTGTTTCAAACATGCTCTATGAAAGGGAATGTTCAGTTCTGTGACGTGAATGCAAACATCACAAAGAAGTTCCTGAGAATGCTTCTCCCTAGATTTTATATGTAATCCCGTTTCCAACGAAATCCTCAAAGCTATCCAAATATCCACTTTCAGATTCCACAAAAAGAGTGTTTCAAAACTGCTCTGTAAAAAGAAAGGTTCATCTCTGTTAGTTGAATACACACATCTCAAACAAGTTTCTGAGAATGCTTCTGTCTAGTTTTTATGGGAAGATATTACCTTTTTCATCACAGGCCTCAAAGCGCTGCAAATGTCCACTTCCAAATATTACAAAAAGAGTGTTTCAAACCTGCTGTATGAAGGAAGTGTTCAACTCTATGAGTTGAAGGCAAACATCACAGAGAAGTTTCTGAGAATGCTTCTGTCTTGATTTTATATGAAGATATTCCCGTTTCCAACGAAACCTTCAAAGCTATTCAAATATCCACTTGCAGATTCTACAAAAAGAGTGTTTCCAAAATGTTGTATCAAAAGAAAGGTTCAACTCTGTTAGTTGAGGACACACATCGCAAATAAGTTTCTGAGAATGCTTCTGTCTAGTTTTTACTTGAAGATATTTCCTTTCTCACCATAGGCCTGAAAGCGCTTGAAACGTCCGCTTGGAGATACTACAGAAAGAGTGTTTCAAACATGCTCTATGAAAGGGAATGTTCAGTTCTGTGACTTGAATGCAACCATCACAAAGAAGTTCCTGAGAATGCTTCTCCCTAGATTTTATATGTAATCCCGTTTCCAACGAAATCCGCAAAGCTATCCAAATATCCACTTTCAGATTCCACAAAAAGAGTGTTTCAAAACTGCTCTGTAAAAAGAAAGGTTCATCTCTGTTAGTTGAATACACACATCACAAACAACTTTCTGAGAATGCTTCTGTCTAGTTTTTATGGGAAGATATTACCTTTTTCATCATAGGCCTCAAAGCGCTGCAAATGTCCACTTCCAAATATTACAAAAAGAGTGTTTCAAACCTGCTGTATGAAGGGAAGTGTTCAACTCTATGAGTTGAATGCAAACATCACAGAGAAGTTTCTGAGAATGCTTCTGTCTTGATTTTATATGAAGATATTCCCGTTTCCAACGAAATCTTCAAAGCTATCCAAATATCCACTTGCAGATTCCACAAAAAGAGTGTTTCCAAAATGTTGTATCAAAAGAAAGGTTCAAGTCTGTTAGTTGAGGACACACATCGCAAATAAGTTTCTGAGAATGCTTCTGTCTAGTTTTTATTTGAAGATATTTCCTTTCTCACCATAGGCCTGAAAGCGTTTGAAATGTCCGTTTGCAGATACTACAGAAAGAGTGTTTCAAACATGCTCTATGAAAGGGAATGTTCAGTTCTGTGACGTGAATGCAAACATCACAAAGAAGTTCCTGAGAATGCTTCTCTCCAGATTTTCTATGTAATCCCGTTTCCAACGAAATCCTCAAAGCTCTCCAAATATCCACTTTCAGATTCCACAAAAAGAGTGTTTCAAAACTGCTCTGTAAAAAGAAAGGTTCATCTCTGTTAGTTGAATACACACATCACAAACAAGTTTCTGAGAATGCATCTGTCTAGTTTTTATGGGAAGATATTTCCTTTTTCATCATAGGCCTCAAAGCGCTACAAATGTCCACTTCCAGGTAGTGCAGAAAGAGTGTCTCAAACCTGCTCTATAAAAGGGAACATTCTACTCTGTGACTTGAATGAAAACATCACAAAGCAGTTTCTGAGAATGCTTCCGTCTAGCATTTTATATGAAGATATTCCCGTTTCCAACGAAACCTTCAAAGCTATCCGAATATCCACCTGCAGATTCTACAAAAAGAGTGTTTCCAAAATGCCGTATCAAAACAAAGGTTCAACTCTGTTAGTTGAGAACACACATGGCAAATAAGTTTCTGAGAATGCTTCTGTCTAGTTTTTACTTGAAGATATTTCCTTTCTCACCATAGGCCTGAAAGCGCTTGAAACGTCAGCTTGCAGATACTACAGAAAGAGTGTTTCAAACCTGCTCTATGAAAGGGAATGTTCAGTCCTGTGACTTGAAGGCAAACATCACAAAGAAGTTCCTGAGAATGCTTCTCTCTAGGTTTTATATGTAATCCCGTTTCCAACGAAATCCTCAAAGCTATCCAAATATCCACTTTCAGATTCCACAAAAAGAGTGTTTCAAAACTGCTCTGTAAAAGAAAGGTTCATCTCTGTTAGTTGAATACACACATCACAAACAAGTTTCTGAGAATGCTTCTGTCTAGTTTTTATGGGAAGATATTTCCTTTTTCAACATAGGCCTCAAAGCGCTCCAAATGTCCACTTCCAGGTAGTGCAGAAAGAGTGTTTCAAACCTGCTCTATAAAAGGGAATATTCAACTCTGTGACTTGAATGCAAACATCACAAAGCACTTTCTGAGAATGCTTCCGTCTAGATTTTATATGAAGATATTCCCGTTTCCAAGGAAATCTTCCTAGCTATCTAAATATCAACTTGCAGATTCTACTAAAGGAATGTTTCCAAAATGCTGTATCCACACAAAGGTTCAACTCTGTTAATTGCGGACATACAGCACAAAGAAGTTTCTGAGAATGCTTCTGTCTAGATTTTATATGAAGATATCCCGTGTCCAACGAAATCCTCAAAGGTATCAAAATATCCACTTGCAGATTCTACAAAAAGAGTGCTTCAAAACTGCTCTGTCAAAAGGAAGGTTCAACTCTGTTACTTGAGTACACACATCACAAGGAAGTTTCTGAGAATGCTTCTGTCTGGTTTTTAGGAGAAGATATTTCCTTTTTCAACATAGGCCTCAAAGCGCTGCAAATGTCCACTTCCAAATATTACAAAAAGAGTGTTTCAAACCTGCTGTATGAAGGGAAGTGTTCAACTCTATGAGTTGAATGCAAACATCACAGAGAAGTTTCTGAGAATGCTTCTGTCTTGATTTTATATGAAGATATTCCCGTTTCCAAAGAAACCTTCAAAGCTATCCAAATATCCACTTGCAGATTCTACAAAAAGAGTGTTTCCAAAATGTTGTATCAAAAGAAAGGTTCAACTCTGTTAGTTGAGGAAACACATCGCCAACAAGTTTCTGAGAATGCTTCTGTCTAGTTTTTATTTGAAGATATTTCCTTTCTCACCACAGGCCTGAAAGCGCTTAAAACGTCCGCTTGCAGATACTACAGAAAGAGTGTTTCAAACATGCTCTATGAAAGGGAATGTTCAGTTCTGTGACTTGAATGCAAACATCACAAAGAAGTTCCTGAGAATGCTTCTCTCTAGATTTTATATGTAATCCCGTTTCCGACGAAATCCTCAAAGCTATCCAAATATCCACTTTCAGATTCCACAAAAAGAGTGTTTCAAAACTGCTCTGTAAAAAGAAAGGTTCATCTCTGTTAGTTGAATACACACATCACAAACAAGTTTCTGAGAATGCTTCTGTCTGGTTTTTAGGAGAAGATATTTCCTTTTTCAACATAGGCCTCAAAGCGCTGCAAATGTCCACTTCCAAATATTACAAAAAGAGTGTTTCAAACCTGCTGTATGAAGGGAAGTGTTCAACTCTATGAGTTGAATGCAAACATCACAGAGAAGTTTCTGAGAATGCTTCTGTCTTGATTTCATATGAAGATATTCCCGTTTCCAACGAAACCTTCAAAGCTATCCAAATATCCACTTGCAGATTCTACAAAAAGAGTGTTTCCAAAATGTTGTATCAAAAGAAAGGTTCAACTCTGTTAGTTGAGGACACACATCGCAAATAAGTTTCTGAGAATGCTTCTGTCTAGTTTTTATTTGAAGATATTTCCTTTCTCACCACAGGCCTGAAAGCGCTTAAAACGTCCGCTTGCAGATACTACAGAAAGAGTGTTTCAAACCTGCTCTATGAAAGGGAATGTTCAGTTCTGTGACTTGAATGCAAACATCACAAAGAAGTTCCTGAGAATGCTTCTCCCTAGATTTTATATGTAATCCCGTTTCCAACGAAATCCGCAAAGCTATCCAAATATCCACTTTCAGATTCCACAAAAAGAGTGTTTCAAAACTGCTCTGTAAAAAGAAAGGTTCATCTCTGTTAGTTGAATACACACATCACAAACAAGTTTCTGAGAATGCTTCTGTCTAGTTTTTATGGGAAGATATTACCTTTTTCATCATAGGCCTCAAAGCGCTGCAAATGTCCACTTCCAAATATTACAAAAAGAGTGTTTCAAACCTGCTGTATGAAGGGAAGTGTTCAACTCTATGAGTTGAATGCAAACATCACAGAGAAGTTTCTGAGAATGCTTCTGTCTTGATTTTATATGAAGATATTCCCGTTTCCAACGAAACCTTCAAAGCTATTCAAATATCCACTTGCAGATTCTACAAAAAGAGTGTTTCCAAAATGTTGTATCAAAAGAAAGGTTCAACTCTGTTAGTTGAGGACACACATCGCAAATAAGTTTCTGAGAATGCTTCTGTCTAGTTTTTACTTGAAGATATTTCCTTTTTCACCATAGGCCTGAAAGCGTTTGAAATGTCCGTTTGCAGATACTACAGAAAGAGTGTTTCAAACATGCTCTATGAAAGGGAATGTTCAGTTCTGTGACGTGAATGCAAACATCACAAAGAAGTTCCTGAGAATGCTTCTCTCTAGATTTTATATGTAATCCCGTTTCCAACGAAATCCTCAAAGCCATCCAAATATCCACTTTCAGATTCCACAAAAAGAGTGTTTCAAAACTGCTCTGTAAAAAGAAAGGTTCATCTCTGTTAGTTGAATACACACATCACAAACAAGTTTCTGAGAATGCTTCTGTCTAGTTTTTATGGGAAGATATTTCCTTTTTCAACATAGGCCTCAAAGCGCTCCAAACGTCCACTTCCGGGTAGTGCAGAAAGAGTGTCTCAAACCTGGTATATAACAGGGAACATTCTACTCTGTGACTTGAATGAAAACATCACAAAGCAGTTTCTGAGAATGCTTCCGTCTAGATTTTATATGAAGATATTCCCGTTTCCAACGAAACCTTCAAAGCTATCCGAATATCCAGCTGCAGATTCTACAAAAAGAGTGTTTCCAAAATGCCGTATCAAAACAAAGGTTCAACTCTGTTAGTTGAGAACACACATGGCAAATAAGTTTCTGAGAATGCTTCTGTCTAGTTTTTACTTGAAGATATTTCCTTTCTCACCATAGGCCTGAAAGCGCTTGAAACGTCAGCTTGCAGATACTACAGAAAGAGTGTTTCAAACCTGCTCTATGAAAGGGAATGTTCAGTCCTGTGACTTGAAGGCAAACATCACAAAGAAGTTCCTGAGAATGCTTCTCTCTAGGTTTTATATGTAATCCCGTTTCCAACGAAATCCTCAAAGCTATCCAAATATCCACTTTCAGATTCCACAAAAAGAGTGTTTCAAAACTGCTCTGTAAAAAGAAAGGTTCATCTCTGTTAGTTGAATACACACATCACAAACAAGTTTCTGAGAATGCTTCTGTCTAGTTTTTATGGGAAGATATTTCCTTTTTCAACATAGGCCTCAAAGCGCTCCAAATGTCCACTTCCAGGTAGTGCAGAGAGAGTGTTTCAAACCTGCTCTATAAAAGGGAATATTCAACTCTGTGACTTGAATGCAAACATCACAAAGCACTTTCTGAGAATGCTTCCGTCTAGATTTTATATGAAGATATTCCCGTTTCCAAGGAAATCTTCCTAGCTATCTAAATATCAACTTGCAGATTCTACTAAAGGAATGTTT